>NC_000011.10:131675552-131984740 GCF_000001405.40 Homo sapiens
TCTCATTTTAACCAAAGGAGACTCTGAGGCCGAGGGAGGCTGAGCGGCTTACTCGAGTTCTCGCAGCTGCTATATCCTAGAGGAGACCAAATTCACACCCAGCTTGGACTCCAAAGCTTGTACATTTCTCATCATGTGACCCTCCACCCACAGACTGTCTGAGTACAAAATTCCACAGAGGGCCTTGACTTAGAAGACCCTCTGCCAGCATTTTGTCTGTGGTTTTGTGTGTCGTCTCAGATGAAGGTGACTCAAGACTTCAGGCAGAGGATGTTTTCCATTTAAATCCCCTAAAAGAAAATGGCCCTGTTTCTAGAAGAGAGAAAAGCCCAGACGTCTGCTTGACTTTGCTTCCAGGGGCAAGGACTGGGGTCCAGATCCATAATCTGGGAGAGTCTTTTATGGCTTTCACCTTTGGTGTTGAAGAGGACTGGCAAGCAAACCCCTTGGACCAATGGTTTCACCCTTGGAAACTTAGCTGGGTAGGTCCATGTCACCATGGGACTGGACTGACATTTAGCCAGATTTTGAAATGAGAGACTTGAACCTGAACCCTTGCTTTTCTCTTCTGGATAATTTGATTTTTAGCAAGAGGCTGTTGGAAGACACAAAGGTCCATTTTGTCTCAAAACAGGTGAACATAGGGAAGAGAAACTGAAAAGGGAGGCTTTGGGAGCACATAACTGTTTTCAGATATTTAAGTGCTGTTTGGTAGAAAAGGAATGAGATGTTTTCTGTATAATTACATAAAACAAAACCAAGACTGATGGACAGAAGTTATTTGGGAGCAATCTGTTCAATATAAAGGAAATTTTAAGGGTCTAAGCTACCCAAAGAAGTGAAGGGCTGCGTTGGAGTTTTTCTAGCACTGAGGGTGTGTGTATCTGTGTGTGTGTGTGTGTCTGTGCCTGTGTACATGCGTGTGCGGGGGTATGCCTGTGTGTGCGCATGCATGCGTGACTGTGAACCTGCATATGCACATAGTGGAGGGAGCACATAAGAGACAGAAGGTTTTATCAGACGACCTTCACAATTCCATATTTTCAGGAAGTCTATAATTAAATGTTTTAACATGGGCCTTCAGGCACCACAATTAGCCATTGGAGAGACAGATTTGCTCAAGAAGTCTGCCTGGTGCACTTTTTCTTCGTTGAAAATTTTAAACCTTCAAAAATGTAATAAAAGTAGTGTATTGAACAGCTTCCCTCCATATTTACTATGCACCTTCTAAGAACAAGGCGTCTTCTTCCACAGCCACAACACAAGGTATGAATTCCAGAGACTTAGCCCAGATCCACTTCAGCCTCTGGAGTAGTCTGAATAATGTCCGTTATTACAGTCGCCTCACGACGGACCTGTCCACTTAGCTGCGTTCTGTTGCCATATCTCTTTAGACTCTTCGTATCTGGAGCAGTGCTGTTGCCTTTGTCTTTCCTGACACTGACATTTTTGATGATGACAGACTGATTGGTAGTGTTGGGCACTTTTCAGATGTTGCCCAAATCACCAGCAGCTAGATCTGCCTCTGGCATCTAATACATATGGAAACCGCACGGTGGGATAGGAGGAACTCTGTGCCCTGGTGGCCTCAGGTCCCCGAGCCCTGCCCTGCTTGCAAGCACAACTTATGTGGGAGGCAGTGAGTGCCAGGAATGGATGCTCAAGGCCTGAAGTCTGTCCTGCCACTTCAGGCCATTTGAGTTTGCGCAGATCACCCGCCTCCCGTGGAGGTCCACTTCCTCTTCTCTGCAGTGAGGACCTTTCGTGGCAGTGTTGGGAATGACATGGCATATTACAGGTAGAAGTCCTTAATAAACTCTAGCAAAGTGCTAGACCAATGCAATCGTTTATTATTTATTTTTAACATATCAGCGAGGTGCCTGAAGCTAGAACTGCATAGTGAGATTGAAAAACTTGTGAGGAAAACTATGGGGAAAGATGAAAGCCAGGCTGGCCAGGCAGGACGGCTGCATACGCAGCCATACATGACCCTGAGCTCCTCTCCAGTTGTCAAGTGGTGATCCCTCTGTGCCCACTTCCAAAGCCTCTGGTACCAGCAATGTCCATGGCTTATTGAGCATTTACTGAGGGTCAAGCGCTTTGCCAAGAGAAGCCCAAATTCTCATAAGAACCCAGAAAGTTCCTATGAGCAATATGTTAAGATGCAGAGATAGAGTTTCAGAGAGGTTACGCCATTTGCTCAACCTCATGCAGTCAGGAAATGTCAGGACTGAACAGCACATTACCAGCGCCCTGCAGAGGCCTGGCATCCTTGTCCCCTCCACTCCTCCTATGCCATCCTTGGTGGCCCTATAACACAGAGCCTTGTGACACACAGCTGGTCAGCAAGCCCTACTATAAAGTCACAGGGTTGATTTGAATCTGCAAGTGATCAGCTCTCCTGAAGCAGGACCTTGTCTCTTCACTGATATGCAGATGTATGCTAATAGGCTCCAGAGTCACCCTTCCCTCCACCACCTTCTCAGCTTTATTTATTTACTGACTTGATGAAGTGAAGAGGCTGGAGAACTAAGGAATTCATGAGCATTGCAGCTTCCGGGGCCCCTGGTAACAAACTCCCTGTCTCCCTTTTCCTGCCTGGGGCCCAGACTGGACCGGGGTTTGAGGGAGGAGAGAACACAGGTGCCTGACCATGTGCTGATGAGGCCCTGGACAGCCTTCTAAGGGCACACCCTGGGCACTCGTGAGTTGTCTCCATGTGGGTTTCAGTGGGGTCTGGTGGCTGGATGGCCTGACCATCACAGGGGTAGGTGGCTCAGCCCTCTGGCTCTGGGCAGTGCCCAGGTCTGGCCCAGCGCTGACCACTCAGCTTTCTGCTCTCTGGTATTTCTGCTCTATTCAACACAGAAGCCATGAGGGCAGCTGAGGCCCCAAGGGCAAGGTCTTCTGAGTCCTGCTTGATCATGGCAGAGAAAGAGGAGCATTTGAAACAGATGCCCTTCCTCCTGTACTCCCTCTCCCAGTGTGGAGCTGTGAGATGCAGGAAAGGCCTGACTACTGGGGCTAGGAGTTTTAGACATTCTACTGCCCAATGCTGCTACATGTCACAGTTCCTCAAGGGCATTGCTCTTTTCTTCCTTCTCTCTCTCTTCCTCTTCTCCCATCTCTTTCTTTGGCAAGAGCTCTTGGAGCTCCTGTTTCTTTTCCACCTTGGGGAAGAGGTTGTCACTGGATCTGTCCACTTTCTATGACTGAGCCTCTCGTGTCTGGACTTCTGACGCTCCGTGTGAAGCAGAGGCATGGCCAGAAGCGAGGCTAGAACAAGGCTGTCCGGGACGGGGCCTGCACATCGGTGCATGGAGAGAGAGTGGTTCAGGAGCCCCACAAGCAGCTACCTTCGGCTAACACGTCCGTCTTCTTGCACACAGCTTCCTCTGACATCATTTTATCATAGTTATTGCAGCTATCATGTTACATGATTGCTTTTAAAATAAAAAATATCTCATTTCTGGAGAAAGTGCTCACAGAGAGCAGCTGCTGCCCCTGTCCACTCTCTTCTCCATTCATGCTCTGTGCCCACTCAGGGCTGGAATCCCCTCTAGGCCACCGTCGTTTGCTCCATGATCTGCTCACAGATGGAAGTCAGCCCCCCTGACATTTGGGAATCTGCTGCCTCCCACATCAGAACCTGCTCCCTCCAGCTCTTCACCCATCTCCTCCCCTGTGCTTGAGTCCAGATAGCCTCCATGTGCAAAGACACAGAAGGGCGTTCCATGCATGAAAAGAAGAAAGTGCAATGGAAAGAAGTAGGGAGGGGGTGCCTGTGGAGTCAAGCCCAAACTCTAGATCAAATGGAGGAAAGGGTTGTCATCGTGCCTGCCAATCCCAATCATTTTTACGGCCTTTAGAAGGTACTGGGTTGAGAAGGATTCCAAAGCCAAGTCTGGGCTCCACAAGATAGGCAGCCGTGATTGATTGATAATGTCCACTTCTGGGCGTGGACACAGAAGTGCGGGCATGCTGCCTGCCCAGCTTTCAGCGGTGCCTTTCCCAGGAGCTGATCGCTGTGCCTCTGATTATGCTTCTTCCTCTGCCATTTGTGTCCAGTTTCTCCCATTTCCCTCTGATGGCTTCTAGATAACTAGTGCCCCCTAGTAAGGTAGTAAGAAATATTGTAAAAATGTTACAGCATCTGTATCGCTTGAAACTTCTTTGAAATGTAAAATCTTGGGTCTCACCACAGATAATACTGACTTGGAAACTCTGGGGTGAGCTCCAGAGAGCTGGGTTCTGACGGCCCTCCCAGTCACCCTGATGCAGGCTGACATTGAGAACCACTGTTTGTTAGGAGAATTTTGAGGCATGGGCTTTCCGATGGAGAAGGCTAGTGCTGATGTTTGACTAACTCCTTTTTTGTTTTTAACAAAGTCATGCAAAGGTGAATCTACTAGTTTAGGATTCTCTGAGTGAAGCGCCTTGAGAAAGAATGATATTTTATAGCAATATTCAGCGGCAGATTTTTATCGAGCTTCAGTAAATCCCTCCTGGACAAGGGGAGATGAGGCTCTCTGGGTGACTGCAAGATGTGAACCCAGACAAAGACAGTCCAGGAGCCCTGACCCCCCATCCTTCTCTGGTATTTACGTCTCTGTGTTGGCCGTCACAGCACCTTGCCCTCCCTCACCAAGGGCTGGCCTGCTCATGAAATTGACATTTTGGATTTTACCAAAATGAATCGGAAAAGATACCAGATATGGGCTGTTAGAGAAACATGGGAATACCTAATAACATGAACTTTTCTGTGGATTTGAGCACATCTATGTATGTGTCTATGTACTTGTCTGTGTATGTGTGTTTCTGTGTCTGTGAGTGCCTGTGTGTGTGTGCGTCTGTGTAGGCATGTGTGCCTCTGTGTCTGTGTGTGAGATCATATCTGTGTCTGTGTCTGTGAGTGCCTGTGTGTGTGCACGTCTGTGTAGGCATGTGTGCCTCTGTGTCTGTGTGAGATCATGGCTGTGTCTGTGTCTGTGAGTGCCTGTGTGTGTGTCTGTGTAGGCATGTGTGCCTCTGTGTCTGTGTGTGAGATCATGCCTGTGTCTGTGTCTGTGAGTGCCTGTGTGTGTGTCTGTGTAGGCATGTGTGCCTCTGTGTCTGTGTGTGAGATCATGCCTGTGTCTGTGTCTGTGAGTGCCTGTGTGTGTGTGCATATGTTTGCATAGGCATGTGTGCCTCTGTGTCTGTGTGTGAGATCATGCCTATGTCTATGTGAGTGCCTGTGTGTGTGTGTGTGTGTGTGTGTATGTGAGCTTGTTTCTGTGTCTGTGTGTATGTCTCCCTGTGTGTGTGAGCGTGTGTGTTTCTGTGTCTGTGTGTGTGTCTCCCTGTGTGTGTGAGCATGTGTGTTTCTGTGTCTGTATGTCTCCCTGTGTGTGTGAGCGTGTGTGTTTCTGTGTCTGTATGTCTCCCTGTGTGTGTGAGCGTGTGTGTTTCTGTGTCTGTATGTCTCCCTGTGTGTGTGAGCGTGTGTGTTTCTGTGTCTGTATGTCTCCCTGTGTGAGCGTGTGTGTTTCTGTGTCTGTGTGTATGTCTCCCTGTGTGTGTGAGCGTGTGTGTTTCTGTGTATGTATGTTTCCCTGTGTGTGTGAGCATGTGTGTTTCTGTGTCTGTATGTCTCCCTGTGTATGTGAGTGTGTGTTTCTGTGTCTGTGTGTATGTCTCCCTGTGTATGTGAGCGTGTGTTTCTGTGTCTGTGTGTATGTCTCCCTGTGTGTGTGAGCGTGTGTGTTTCTGTGTCTGTATGTCTGTGTGTGTGAGCGTGTGTGTTTCTGTGTCTGTGTGTATGTCTCCCTGTGTGTGTGAGCATGTGTGTTTCTGTGTCTGTGTGTATGTCTCCCTGTGTGTGTGAGCGTGTGTGTTTCTGTGTCTGTATGTCTGTGTGTGTGAGCGTGTGTGTTTCTGTGTCTGTGTGTATGTCTCCTTGTGTGTGTGAGCATGTGTTTCTGTGTCTGTGTGTATGTCTCCCTGTGTATGTGAGCGTGTGTATTTCTGTGTCTGTGTGTATGTCTCCCTGTGTATGTGAGCTTGTTTCTGTGTCTGTGCGTATGTCTCCCTGTGTGTGTGAGCGTGTGTGTTTCTGTGTCTGTGTGTATGTCTCCCTGTGTGTGTGAGCGTGTGTGTTTCTGTGTCTGTGTGTGTATCTCCCTGTGTATGTGAGCTTGTTTCTGTGTCTGTGTGTATGTCTCCCTGTGTGTGTGAGCGTGTGTGTTTCTGTGTCTGTGTGTATGTCTCCCTGTGTGTGTGAGCGTGTGTGTTTCTGTGTCTGTGTGTATGTCTCCCTGTGTGTGTGAGCGTGTGTGCGTCTGTGTCTGTGTGTCTCCTTGCGTGTGTCTGTGTGTGTGTCGTGTGTGTGTGTGTGTTCTCACCCTCACCCTGTGGCTAGAGAACCCGGCTAAGTGAAAAGCAATTGGTAGGCTGAGCTGACCAGTCCTTCCAATCTCAAGTGCTGTCTCTGGAAAAAGTACACCGAGGACCCAGCCCCTAGGGCTGCAGGCAGAACCGACGCACCTAGTGACACCTTTCACCCGCCCTCCACGGGCAGTGGCTGGGTCATCACTGGGTCATCTCCCTGGCACGAGGGATGCCTGGCTGACTCCTGCAAGGTCTCACCCGTTCCTGATCTGAACGCCTTCCTCTGTGAGCTACTGATGGAGGCAGCCCTGCTGGCATGCTGTATAGCTGAGGAGCCTCTGGTTTCCTTCCTGGAAAATGGGGCAATACCTGCCTGGAAGGCTGCTGTGAGGACTAATCTAAGAATCTCTGTACAAAAACAGCAGCTGTGGTTGCAGGCCACAGGGGGTGTTCTGCAAGGACCCCGAAGGACCCATTCAGAAGAGCCTTCACCTGCTCCTGCTATCCTAACCCCATCGGCTGCAGGGAGTCCTGGGAGGCTGAGGGCCCTCCCTCCTCGTGGCACGCATGCAGCTGCAGAGCTGGAGAGCGGAGCCCTCTCCTCTGCCAGCCTGCTCAGGACTGTGACCCTGGGTGGGGACCAGGGAGCCTGCCGGCCTTAAACCCTGCAAAGTAGAGGAGCCCAGCATGAGCCCGGTTCTCACTTCCCCTGCAGGCCACTGACACGGAGAGCGGGTCCTTCCTTGTTACTGCACCCTGAGCGCATCTCTGCTGCAATTTGCTCTCAGCGCCTCCACTGAAAGTTGCCTGCATCCATTCAGTTCTGACAGCCATATCCGAAATCAGCTCCCTCTCGGTGCTGGATCCCCTTTGGCTCCTGGAGGCCCAAGAGAGGGGCCGACCCAGTACCTACTGGATCACGGTGGCAGCCGCTGTTTCCTGGGAAGCATGTTGCGCCCACACTCCCTCTGCACATTTTACCTACCAGCCGGGACTGAGATGTGAAATGGGATGAGCTGGAAAAGGCAGGTAGATGTCGTACACATCCCAACACCAGCTCCCCACCGTTCTCTCTCTATCACGCAAGCACGTGCAAGGACGCAGGCCCATACCACTTTCTAGGAATTCTGTGGCGAAAATAACAACCCACAGTCATCTGCACAGCAATTATTATTCATTATAACTGAACTTTCCCTCTAAAACCGAAGCTTCCCTTTCTTACTGCAAAACCCAACCAGAAGGTCTGCATGCTTTATTCCTAATCAAAAGAAGAATGCTAACACCTCCCTGGCAGAGCATCACTCTCCGCGCTTCAGCAGCCCCTGGCTTTGTTTCTCTGGTTTTTGCTCCTCTGAAGTGAGGTGAGAAAGGGACTGGGGATGTGCACATCACAGGAGCCCCTTCGGCAGGGCTGTCTGCAGCGGGGCACTGTGCAGGGTGCACGGGAGGAGGGGAAACAACCTCTGCCCTCCAGCTCTGGTACCTAAGTCCCCTCTTGGGAAATGAAGGGATAATGCAATAGGCTCCAGAAGGAATCTGACCAGGTTGATGCCTTAGGAGCTGAGAGTGGAGGTGAAGGGGAGGAGGCACATCAAGGGGGCTGATGGACCCTAATTGTGCATGATAGGGTGGGTTTGTAGTTGCAGAAATAGACCCTGGATGTGTCCGAGGTTCACTCTGTCAATGTATTCACACTAAACCTGCCCTGCAGAGGGCTGGAACGTGAATAAAAAATCCTATCATGATTGCTCTGGAGGGGGCTGGCACGAGTGAGGCGACCTGATCCCCACGTCAGCATTCATGCTCATATTTTGGGGTGATGCAGGGCGATGCCAAAGAGCAGGTGGCTGGAAGTTTTAGAGGAAGGTCCCCTGGGGGGCACTCTGGGTTGTCCTTTGTCATTGGAGCTGATGGCGTCCTAGGCTGACTTCTCCCCGGGGTCTTCCCAGCCCTGGTGCGTGTTGCTTTGTGAGGCGCTGATCTGCTGGAGGGTGGGATGTACTTGCACTTAGAAAGGGCGTTCTGAAGGGCAGGCGGTGGCAAGAGGTTATTGGGACTGAATCAAACCCCACTTGCTTTGGAGTTCAGCAGAGTTGGGTTCTAATTCTAACTCTACTACTTACTGGCTGGCCGTGTGAGGAGAATTCAAGATCACTTAACCTCGCCTAACTTCATTGCTTCATTCTGTCTGTGGAATTGGGAGAACCCCCTCTGGATTTTGCTGTGGGAGTGAAATGAGCTCCTGTGTGTGGGGCTCTGAGGCACGGGCCCCGGGGAGAGCAACGTGGGGTGAGCAGCCTTCACCACGAGGACGTCCTGACGACAGTGACTCTCTCTGGCTCTGCCAACCTGACCACAGCGATCCAGGGAGGATCCTCCTGGCTGGGTGGCAAGTGACGTCTCTGAGATTATAAAGCTATAGTCACACACCCCCTCCCCACCTGGAAACTATAGAAAGGCAGTTCCCCCACACTCCCTAGTGGGTAGCCTGCTCCACTCTGCCTGGAAACCTTTTCTCAACAGCCTCTGAGCTGCTGGCAGCATCCCCTGGTGCCCTCCCCAGCCTGCAGCTTCCAGGGAGCTGGGAGGAGCATGCCCTTGGACTGTCTCTGTCCTCTGGCTGACACAGCCGCTTCCTTTATGTAGGACACTGGCCCCTCATTTGCTCAGCTTTGGGACCTGCAGGTGGACATTTGGCCCAGTCCCAGGCTGGAGGCCCTGCGGCTTTCCCAGGCCAGCTCATCATGCCACCTCCCTGCCTCTGTTTGAGAAGCCTCCTTTCCCTAACATTCCTGCATTCCTAGAGAGCAGAGGGCCTCTGGAGGCAGCAGTGCATACCCTGGCCCTGGAGATGACCCGTGCAAGATACAGGCTGGGCCAACTCCTTGGGACTCCATGTCTCCAGCTGTGTAGGACAACGACACTCCCAGCCCCACCATGGTGAAGAGCCTGAGTTGGAGGTGGGCAAGAAGACCAAGGGCATGAGTGAGCCTCAGGGGTGAGTGAGCCCCCACTAGGGTGAACGTGAATCTGTTCTGTGGACGCTGGCCCAGAGCCCAGAAGGAAGACCCACTCCGAGCTGCTCAGGGCTGGGATAGGACCATCTAGGTGGAAGGCTCAACCCAAGAATGAGCTTTCTAGAAATTCTAAGTTGGAGTGAATTTTTAAAACAATAGCTTCCATAGGTGTCATGTGTAATTGTTACAAAGCCCCTGGGAAGAGGGATTAATGGTGGCCCTTTGAGATCCTTGCAGAAGCCCAGCAGTTGGGCCCTTGACAAGAACAATCAGCTTGGGGGGCAGCTAGCACTGCCCAACCCCAGTCAGTCCTTCCTGATGCACTCCTCAAGCCAGATGAGGCTCCCCAGCCAGCATCCATGGGAAGCAGCTGGGGGCTCATGGAGAGTCGGGCATCCATGGGAAGCAGCTGGGGGCTCATGGAGAGTCGGGCAGGCAGGCTGACAGCACTCAGACTTCCCCAGAACTGAATGGCAATGTGGGGTCATGGCAGTTTGTCTCTGATCCCGTCTGTTTCTGACCCTCTATTTACTCTGCTGCAAACACATTGGCCTCCATCTTCAGCTGGTCCCCTGTACGCCAAGCACATTCCTGCCTCAGGGCCTTTGTGCTTTCTACTTTTCTGCTGGCAGTGCTCCGCCCCCTCGTAGCAAGTGAATAGCTCCTTCACTTCTTATCAGAAATGCCCGCCAATCGCCCTATTTCAGTAGACACAGAGCCACAGCACACTCTCTCCTTACCTTTTTTTAAAAAAATCATTTTGCTTAAGGATTTCAATGTGACATAGTAGCATTCACTTGTTTATTTGTTTAGTGTCAATCTACCTCCACAAAAATAGAAGTTCCACACGAGCAGGGACATTGTTTTGTTCACTTTTTCACCCATAGTGTCTAGAATATCGGCATAAAGAAGACACTCAATATATAAGTTTTTAGAATCAAGTCATGGTAACTAGAGGGTTTTTCCAGCTCTGACATCCCACAGCCTTGTCCTACATAAGAAGTGCTATCCTGGGCTCAGGATGCTTACAAAGAAGTCTGGAGTTGGCCCTGCCTCCCAGGATCTTCCCATGTCAAAGGAGTGGGAGGAGGAACACATAAGGGGCTAAACAGACAGGGGCTGATGAGGGTCCCCTCCCCAGTCCCCACCAGAGAGCTACAGGCCACAGGCCACAGACCACGGTCTCCCAGGAGGCCTCTCTCAGAGCAGGCTGGGCCTGGGAACTTGCTCACCATCCTGTCAGGAACTACAGTTGACCCTCAAATAATGCGGTGGTTGGGGGTGCCGACCCCTTGCTTAGTTGAAAATTCATGTATAACTTTTGACTTCTCAAAAATTTAAGTCCTAATAATTTACTGTTGCCCAGAAGCCTTGCTGAGAACATGAACTGTCAATTAACATGGATTTTGCATGTTATGTGTTATATACCATAATCTCACAATAAAGTAAGCTAGAGGAAAGAAAATGGTATTAAGAAAATAGTAAGGAAGGGAAAATGTATTTACTATTAATCAAATGGAAGTGGACCATCATAAAGGTCTTCATCCTCGCCATGTTCACCATGAGTAGGCTGAGGAGGAAGAGGAGGAGGAGGAAGGAGAATCGGTCCTGCTGTCTCAAGGGTGGCGGAGGCAGAAGAGGAGGAGGCAGGAAGTGCAGGCACTCTTGGTGTAACTTTTACTTTATGTGGATCCACGTATAAGTGGATCCGTGCAGTTCAAATCATGTTGTTCAAGGGTCAACCGCATCTGGTTCAGAAACTCCTCTATGTGCCCCTCATGGCTCAGTCCCACCTGAATACGGCCATAACGAGGCTGGCCGAGAGGCACAGATCGGAATGGGGTCATTTCCTTTGATTTCCTTTGATGTTTTCAAAGGTAGAAAATAATTTCGGGCCTTTTCTAAGAAGCACTTAGCTGTGGGCTGGAGGTTGGAGAATGTTCCATCTGCTGGAAATGCTAATTAGAGGCAATCATAACCCAGACTTGACCTGCCAGGGCACACTGGAGTGAAGCGGCGCCCTGGTGGGAGGGTGTGGGGGCAGCGGAGCCCAGGCCGCAGGGCCACGTTCTGCCCCAGTTCGGGACAACCTGAACTGCTGGACTCAGAGACAGCAGGGACTGAGCTGGGAAACACTCACCTCACTTGCGGGTCAGGACTCAGGGGCAGGTCAGGGCTCAGTCCCAGGGCCCCTCCACGTCATGCAATGCTTCCCACTGCTGTTAGAAAGTAGCAAATGATTTCACTAACCCCATGTTCCAGGGGAGAAGGAAAATTGTACCTGCATGAAACGTGACAACACCGTCACGCGTGGTGTCAGCTGGTTGACAGCCATTTGCACCCTCCCAGCGCCCCTCCCACCCCAGTTGCTTGAATGTGATCTCGCTACCCAGAGGGATGCCTGCCCCTTCCAATTGCGGCTTCGGGCAGGGACACGGGACATCAGTGCTGGGTGACTCTAATGAGGGCTGTAAGGTTTGCGACCCGCTGTGGCCTGGGCCTTCCAGGGTCCCGGCAGAGCCCTCTGCTCCTCAGACCATCACCGGCCTGGCCCCAGGCTAGGGGCCTTCATGGGCGTCAGCGTGGGGCCGGCGTCCCGCCTTGCCTGTCTTCCCTGTCCACCTCACCTTCGCCCCCGGGGGTGGCTGCCGAGTGGGGCAGCCACAAGTTACTTGAATTAGTGCCGCCCAAGTGCCTCGGGTGGGAGTGGGGGATGCTGCAAGGGACGCACCGAAATATGAATGTCCAAGGTTTGTGCTCCTCAAAGAACAAAACCATTCCACAGGAGTGCCACTGGGAGAGGGACAGGCGGCCACAGGCGAGGGGGCCCCTGGGTCTGGTGGCGGAAGGGCTGTGAAGTCCCGCTGCTCCTCCCTGGCCTCTGCTGTAGATCTTTGGATGGTTTCCACCCCGCTCCCACCCCACGTATCCTCCAGCCCCACACTCACATCCCCTTGGTGCCGAATGTGTCCTAGCAAAGCAATCAGTGGACGTATTTTTAAAAGAAAACTCATTTACCACGCAGGCCTCTGGAGTCGTTGATGGAATAGCCCTCCTCTGAATGGAAATAGTGGTGTGATAGCCTCCCAGGAGTTATTATTGCACTGACACTGCAGCAGGCTAATAAACCCCGGAGGGGTGCGACGCGCGCTGCCAGGCAGTTCTCACATCTGGATGAGGAGCCGCAGATGCCGCGGGGGCGCGCCTGCAGCTCCCCAGAACGGCCACCGGAGGGCACCCGCGCCCCCCGAGCCGCGAGGCTGCCTCCACCGAGCTGGAGAACAGGCTCCCGGGGCGGGGGAGGGCCCCTCTCAGCGGACTCCAGACAGGGGGGAAAGCAGCTTGCCCGTCCTCCTTCCGTGCCCCTCCTGGGTTTCTGAAAGCGGGTTTCAAAGCAGGGTTGGAAGGAGCTTGGATAGCACACGCCACTAACTCAGAAAAACCTTGTTAATGGTTACTTTGAAAGTCCATGAAAAATGCCTTCCAAACACATCAGAATGGGATGGCACATGTCATTTCTCTTTTGGAGAAGTCAGTGAGTTTAGCTCCAAAACCCCAAAGGCGTTAAGAGTCGCGGCTCCTCCCTCCGCCTGCTGCTCCCAGGCACACGCTGGGCAGGCTCTTCTCTGGCTGCCCCCTCTGTGCCCCGGGTTGCTCTTGCCCTGCGGCAGCGCCTGGCCTGTCGGCTTCACACCCCCAGTGACTGTCCAGCATCTACCAGGCAGCAGGGCCCAGTTCATGCTGTGGGTTGAGCTTGATGCTGCTTCTTCAGGGGTGGGGGTGATGCGTGTGTGGAAGACACCAGCTGCTCCTAGAGATCAGACACCCAAACCGTCAGTCCTGCTGTCTGGAGCACCATTTTGAAACAGAAACTAGGACCCTCAGAAAATATTACCATCTTGCAGACCAATGGGCAGGTGTCCCATCCCCGTCTGAGATGGTGTCACCCCTGCTCAGAGGCCTGTGAAGCCCCACACATTGTAGAGGTGTTTCCTTAGGATTGTTAGAGCCCTGGTGCGTTCTGCAGGACACACTCTTAGTTAGCTAGTTGGTTTTTAAAAATGCATTTAGTTAGTTTTAATTTTACACGTGCATGCCTTCAGTGAAAACGAGAGCTACCAATAAATTGGATGTTTGTTAAGGAAAATCCCCGCAGCCCCCGAGGAAGGAAGGAACACTCTCCAAGGATGTCTCCCTACCCGGAGCTCTGCTTTTTACTTGTGAGGACCGAGCCCCTTCTCCTGGGAGCCAGTGCACTGCCTGTGGCTCAGCATGAGGCAGCGGGGAGGGCCCAGGACCAGAGCCAGGCAGGAACACAGGTGGCCCGGCAGGGAAGGCTGCTCTGGCCCTGCCTTGCCTCCCCACCCAGTATTGCCCAGCCCCTCAGAAGCTAGCCATGGTAAAAAGGCTTGGCTCAGGAGGGGCTGGAAGGACTGAGAAAGGAGAAGGGTCAGAGCCAGGGCAGAGTGAATCTGTGTCTCTTCTGATCCCAGCACAGGACAAAAGCTCTTTAGAAAAACAACTTTCAGGGGTTTAATTCAACACTATCTCAGTCCCTAGGCCAGACTCATGAGATTCATCCCCTGGAATTCAGTTTCCCCACAGATGTTGCTTTTGGCCCCATTGCCCTGGAAGCACTCAGTCCTTCACAGATGTTCTGAGGACAGGTGGAGGTGAAGTCCTTTAGGAGGGGCTGGCTGGGCCTCAGCAGCCTTCTGAGAGGACGGAAAACGGAAGGCCAGCAAGGGTGCCATGGATCTTGGGTCCTCTCTGTCCCATCTCCCCTCCCATACCGCAGGCTTGGACTGCACTCCTCAGAAGGTGGGGTCAAAGCTGTTCTCACCCTTCCTGCTGGCAGCTGGCACCCCAGGCCACCTCCTCCCACTCTTGCCACCTGCCAGCCTTCCAGAGAGACTCAGCAATACCAGTTATTACTGGTCGTATACCTATTACCTGGGTAGAGGGATTCTCATTTACACAGTTGGCTCCCTCGTCCACATATGATGAAATTCTATGGGATAACCCTATGCTGTTGTGTTGGCAATGACAGCAGAGAGGACATGAACCTGGTGGTCTCACAGGCAGAGACCCATGTTGCTGAATTCATGATGAGATCTCATGATCACTCATGATGAGATCAGCACGTCTCTCCCCTCACACGTCTGTCCCTGAGCTCACCTATTTGTGGAACTGGGTAGAGGAGCACACCAAGATGGCAGAGAAGGCCTGGAATCCAGATGAGAGGAGAGAAAAGTATGACACGCAGCGAGGCTTCCCTGAACACCTTGGTGCAACTCACACATTCACAGATATTTCATTAGGAATATGAACAAAACTGTCAGAATTCCAGAAATCGAGGGGCAGGCATTCTCCCAGGGGGATGCATGTAGCAGGTAGAGATGTGAACCCCAGTACCAGAAGAGGTGGGCATGACACACAAACACCCCGAGATCAGATGGCAGAAACCCGGCCCAAGCCAGCCCAGCGCACCTAGTCAGTTCCCGGGGACTGTGGAGATGCTGCACGGGCTCAGCGCGAACCTTGCTGCACGGGCTCAGCATGGGCTCACGGCAGAACCCAAGCACCCAGGGGACTCCACGCTTACCCGGAAGGGAAAGCGTTCTCTGCCCTCAGAAACATACACCGTGGACGCTGCCTTGTACGGAAATACAGAACACACTTCCCATCTGCAAGGTGTCAGAGCGCGGGGCGCGGGGCCTGAGTGCGGGAGAATGGCTGGAAGCAGTGAGAAGCAGCCTGGGGTCCAAGGAAGGCAGGACGTGGGTGCTAAGCGTAGGCCGTGGCCCACATCCTTGGGGAACAAAATGGGAGGATTCCTCCTTACAGTTTGGGATCATGGAGCAGAGCCAGCCTGAGGCACACGGCGGGTGAAGACGGGGCTCAGAAGGAAGCTGTTTGTCCTGTCCACCCCGTCACTTCCCCATCAGAGCGGAGAGAAATGTCAAGGGGCGGGTGGAAGTGGAAGCTGCCTTGATCGAAACCCAGGGAGGAGAAGGGGAAATCCTCAGCGAGGGCCCTTGGAGCGGGTGGGGAGCAAGGGGCTTTGATCACTCAGCGGGGCCTTGCCCTTTCTGGAAGGGTGTGCGGTCTGGGTGGGCGAGTCTCAGACCGCAGAGGATCCGGCGCCTGCCCCACTCTGGAGCCGGGGAGCCCTGGGCTGTGCTCTAAGCAAAGCCTGCAGCCCCCGGAGGGCGCACCAGGGGCCCAGGCCACCCCCGGCCCTGCACCCACAGCCTACGGCCCGTCCCCCCGCAGTGCCAGGGCGGTTCCTTCAGTCCTTGACCTTCGCAGAACGTAGTTCAGATCCTCAGGCCCAGCAAGCGCCCCTCTGTTGGCGGCCGGGGGCCGCGGGGAGTTCGCCCCTGTGGGTCTGGGCCCAAGGCGCTGCCCGGATGATAAGGCAGCTTCTTCGGCGGCCGCTCCTTTTCCGCCCCGTGCGCCCAGGGAGTCCACGTCACGAGGAGCTCCGGGTCCAGGCTGGCCGAGCCGAGAGCCGCGGGGCGTGGGCAGGCGTGGACCCCACACCACCTTGCTCCCTCCTGGCCCCCCGCCAAGGCGATGTCGTCGCCTGGACTCCATCCCCTTGTCTTCCCTGAAAGCCCCCCCCCGACTTCCCTTCCATGTCCTTCACTGTTTTCTCTCCTCCTTCTCTTCCATGTTGTCTTCTGCTGAATATAAACCCCACAGCGGGTAAAGATGGCAACCCCAGGGCGCAGCCACCCCGCGCTCCCGCTCGGCCCCGCCAGGTGGCGCTGGCGCGTTCTTTCCGCGGCGCGGGGCTGAGCGGAGCGGGGCTGGGCTGGGCGCAGCGGTCCCGGGGCTGGGAGGGAGGCGGCGCATCCACACAGCTCCGCCAGGTGCCAGGCGTCTTTCGTGTGTCATGTTACTCATTACTCATAACACGAACAAAACAAGACTGCTGGGCGAGGTAAATATCGTTAGCTTTTCTAAATGAAGAAGTTGAACACTATGGCATCTGATCGAGAAAAAAGAGGGAGCTGGACCCCCTCCTGGATGGGACTGCGGGCAGGCGTGGGAACTGTCATCAAGGCATCCCACATGGCCCCTAGGTAAGCACGAGTGAAAAGTCTCAAAGGGAAGGGAGGAAAAACAGAGGAAACGGGCAGGGAGTCACAGGCTGACACTTCGCGGTTCTTTACAACCTCGGTCTTTCTCTTGTCCTTCCACTCTAGGGCTTGAAACCTTCCCTCCAGGATTGACTCTGATGCCCCTAGACCCTGCCTACAAGAGGTGCCACCTCCCATGCAGACCTCTGGGTGATGCTGGCACAGGGCTAGTCCATCTCCCATGCAGATCTCTGAGTGATGCTGACACAGGGCTAGCCTATCTCCCATGCAGATCTCTGGGTGATGCTGACACAGGGCTAGCCTATCTCCCATGCACATCTCTGAGTGATGCTGACACAGGGCTAGCCTATCTCCCATGCAGATCTCTGAGTGATGCTGACACAGGGCTAGCCTACCTCCCATGCAGATCTCTGGGTGATGCTGACACAAGCCTAGACCATCTCCCAGGCAGATCTCTGAATAATGCTAGGTCCTTTTTGAAGAAACTGAGAGAGAAAGAGAGGGGATAGAGAGGAGACAGAATGAGAGTAGACAGAGGAAAGAGAGAGCGTTTCCATTTTGGCATCTGGGCCAAGAAATGCAGCCATATAAAACTGTTCTTACCTAAGCTTTGATGTGGCATCAGGGATGAAAGTGCCTTCCCTAGCTTCATAAAGGATGTCACACAAATGCAGAGAATCAGGCAAGAACCCAAGAAACCAAATCACCCAAACCTCTGTGTGACTCCTTCAGGGTTATAGACCCTGAAAGTAAAGTCAGAGGCAAAAAAGGGGTTAAAAAGGAGACTCGATTGCCTAGTGATTCCAGGAAAGAATCAAAGGGGTGAATGTCACTGAGCATTCAGGGTTAGTGTCAGATGCTTCAGCCAAGAAATCGCACGGCAGGTCATTAAATGAATTTAGCTGGGATTCTGGGTTTTACATTGTGGTTAATTAATCTATGTAAGTATTTATAGTAGTAATGGCAGAGCAGGGACCATCAGCCAAGACAAGTCATTAGAAGGCCAAGTTGGGCAGGCCTGCAGATGGGTGGGGAGGGTTGGGACTGGGAGTTTGGCCTTGCAGGGAATCACTGTGTTCTGGGCATGGGGGTCAGGGCAGAGGTGGGCTGGGGAAATTCACAAACAATCCCAGAGCTCAGGAGTCAACACCCTGGGCAGGCTGACTGCGAGTGGGGCAGAGGCTGATTCAGGGGATTGCTTTCCTCTTTCTTAGTTGTTCTGTCTCTGTGAGGGATGAGGAAAAAAATCTCCAGCTGAAAAATGTCACCTTCAACCTGACACTGGAGCCAGAACATTTACAAATCTGCCTGTCACCATGACAGCCTGACGGATAGCAACCTTAGCCGGGACGGAGTTAAATCGCCAGGATAAGTCTTGCAAAAAGTTTTGGCTCTTAAGATTTTTATCATCAAGACAGGTTAAGGAATGGGGGGCATGGCTTCCAAACACGAAGGAGACTCAGGCCCCGTGCCTGACTTCCCAGGAAATCCAGCAGCTGCAGGATTATCTATTACCTGAGGGGAGGTGACAGGAGAAAATTACCCAGCACCAGCCCCATCTGTTGCTGAGCACCGTTTATTTCACCTTCACTTAATTCACTTGGTTTGTCATTTTTCCTTTGTCTCAGTGTCATCCACCCAAATCCTATGTATATATGCCCTGGTGTTCCCAGCTGGGCATTGTGGCTGCAGAGACAAAGCCTCGGGTATCTTTTCAATGAGCTGCAGTCACTATGGAGTGTCTCTCTCCTCCCCTCTCCACTGTCATTTCCTCCATAATTGATTAGAAACTGGAAGCGAGAGAGGAGAAGCTGCTTTTACAGCCTGGGTCTGCAGGTGGAAGCACATTCCTGTGTTTGACTTCGTCTCTGGAGACCTGTCTCTTTCAGGAAGAGGTGGAAGAGTATACATGAAGTATAGCAGACTTGTGTCACTAGGAGAGAGATTGCAAAATCTGGGCTCTCACACTATTCTTGGATGCTTGGTCACCCACCTCTCCCCGACTTTCGTTTTCTCCTCTGTCACATGGATCTAACACTTGTTCTCCTCCCTGCCAAGGTTGCTGTGAAGGCTCAATGAGACAGTATTTGCAGATGCTCACTACATCATATAGAGGCCTATTCAATGAGAACATGCATTTAAAGCAGTTAATGGTGCCTCGCATAGGAGAATTGTTCAATAAGGACCATTATTATTAGTGAGAATGTAAGTAATAGTGATGACTTGTTACCCTTGCAGCATCTACTCTTCCTCTAGTTCTCAAGCTACAGACCATTTTCATTCAACATTTATTCAGTCTCCACGGGCAGCACTGTATTCTGTCTTAGGGCTATGGTGATTTTTTAAAATGCAAACAAAATGCCATTGCTGGGTCTAGAAGCTGAGTCTGGTGGGAAAGGCCTGTGACAGAGTGGGAAGCAGGGCTTAGGTCTGCACCCAGCTCAGAGTAGGGGGAGTTGCCGGAGAAGTCCTGATGGAGAAAGTGACATCCCTCTGGGTTCTGAAGAGCTTAAGCCACCTGCTCGGTGGCGGGAAAGGGCGTGCAAGGCTGAAGCGGGAAGTGCAGTGAATGAGCTCAGGCAGGACAGGGAGCTGGGCCTGGGAACCACGGGCTGGCAGTACCTCCGAAGGACGGCTCCAGAGCCGAGACTGGACGTGTGGACAGAGGAGCTCTCGCTGAAGGAGCAGATTTGGTTTTATGCCAAGACCATGAGCTTTGCGGAAGGGCATAAAGGCTTTTAAACAGGATCAGGTGAGCCTGATGATCACTCAGGATTGGGTGGGGCGTGAATGCAGAGGAAAGATCAGCTGACAATGTAGGAATCTGGAACTCGCAGAGAAACTGCCTGCCCTTGGGACTCGCTCAGCGCCCTCGCAGCCGGAATGGGGCCTGGGAAGGGAGGAGCCCCAGCAGAGGGGCAGTCGGAGAGCCATGAAATTGCGACCTGCTGCCACCAGAGGGCAGTGTTGGACGGGCTGGGAGGAGCGCCGCCGCCGCCGGGAGGGTGCAGGAGAGAGCTGTCTGCCAGGGGAAACGCACGATGCGTTGTCCAGGACATTCTCACCTGAAAATGCTCTGGGCCACGGACAGGCTGAGGATTTTAGTACCCACCCCCCCGCCCTGAAAAGAAAAATCTCTGTGACGAGATAGGCACTGGGTTTGTATAAGAATTCAGAGTGTGGCCTTAGTGTCTTGGCCAGGCACCCAGATGCCACCTGCACACCTCTGGCTTGGTGTTGGTTTTATTGTGCTTGTCCTAAACCTAGCAGCTCCCCCTGAGATGATGTCAAAGACTGGACTGGGCTAGCTCAGAAAGGTTTCCTGAACGAATGACTTTACGCAAACCTTCATGCCGGCACATGTTTTCATACAGATTGTCTCATTGAATTTTTAGAGTGATCCGATGAGGCACATATTCAGGTTTTATAAATGCAATTCAGAGAAGTTACATGATTTTCCAGGAAATGAGGTTGTCGGGTTTTGATCCAATAGCTCAGACTCTTTCCTCTGTACCCAACAAACCTTGTCAGTCTCCTTTGTCCTTTGAAGTGGGGTGTTTTTCTCCTCCACAAGTGTCAAATCTGTGAATAGAGCATGTTTAGGAGCAACTTCACCGGCATGCCCACCTTGAGAACTAGGGGATGGAGCAGCGGGTCGGATGGAGAACCAGAAAGATTGAGCATTTATTGTAACAGAGGTCTTACATGGACGTTTCCCACGTAATCCTTAAGGCAACCCCATGGGTAGGATTATCATCCCAATATTCCATTGAGGAAAGAGGCTCAGAGAGGCAAACTTTCCCAAGGAAACACAGCTAGTATATATCAGAGGTCTATGTCCCTTCACTCCTGCGCTCTGGACTCTGATCCTGTCCCAAGAGTGACAGCAGCTGCAGTATGTGTGCCGCTCAAAGGACAGGGCTGGAGTGCATGAGAAAAACTGGACGTGTGGTGCAGAAAGGTGCATGTCTAATTATCATTGCAAACAACTAGCCTCTCAACAGAAAGTGTTGTTGATGTGACAGACATGAAAGAACCCACAGCCAAAGGGAGCCGGCCCCCAGGGGAAGGAGGGCGAATTGTACTTGGGACAAAAAGAGCTAACAGCCTCGGAGAGAACAAATGTCCTTGGTAGTATGGGGTGTGGGGTGATGTTGGGTGTTCATTGTCACGTGATGACTGTGGAAGGATGACACAGCACAGGACGCACCCGGGGAGGCCAGCAGGAAGGAGAGTTGAGTGCAAGTCCGGGAAAACAAGGCTTGATGATATGCTTTTGTATGGGAGTCTCAAGTTGCTTGAGTTAAGGTTGTCTGGGAGACATGAGTTACACCAGCACCCAGCACCATTACTTACTAGGCTCCAAAGAGGAAGACATATCAAGTTGTAGGGGCCTTCCCTTCTGCCCACAAGCCTGGATCAGACCACACAACATTGTGTTTCCATTTTCCATATGGATTCTGGACTCTTTCCAGAGAGTCATTCTTTCTCTATTAGTCCTTTTCTTTCGTACACCCTGTAGCTAAGTGACCCTCCACTGTACCTAACCTCTCTGAGCCTGATTCTCATGTGATAAATGTGGATGATACTGCTCTCCTAATGTGACTGCTATGAGAAGGGAAAGAATTGGCATAAATAATAGCAATTAGCTGAGGCAATGGCCCATGTTAAAGCCAAATAAATGTTGGTTTTATCTCTTGTTTCACCTTTGTGTCTCAAACAGGCACACCCACGCATGCACACACACACACACACACACACACAAGGCAAACCACAACCCTTGCCAATAAATCTATGCTAAGTCAGAGTTAACTTAGAAAATCAACATGGTGCAGAGGCTTTTAAAGGACTGACATTCCTCGGGTTATGGAAAACAATAATAATAAATCTTAAGGAATGTCACCTTGCCCCTGGCACTGAAGACAAGAACCCGTTTCGTTAGTGGAATAGCCCTGAGTATATGGAGAAAAGCGACAGAGATGATCTGTTCACAGCAAGGAGAGAGTGGCAGTTTTTAGACGAAGCCGGCTGGGGGCACGGTGGAATTGCCATGTAATTGTCAGGCTCTTTGCTTATTAATTTCTCAGATTTCCTTTCAAGATAAGGACACAAGGTAAGATGGATGTGAATATAATAAGCACAGAGATTACAGTCATTACAATTTTAGAATGAACTGGAAAATGTGGACACATCAGTCTGCAGCCAGTCGGATGGGTCTCTCAGAGCCTCTTGGAGACCACTGAGGGCTGCGGCCTGTGCCATAAGTGTGGGGCAATTTTGAAAGCCTTACTTGATCTACCGTTGCAGCTTCATCCAGAGTACTGTCTGATTGTTTTACATATTGGCTGATTATTTTCCATGCCCAGGACCTTTGGTAACCTTGGAAAATTGTTGGCCCTCCATTATCTCCTCAAGTATCACTTCTCAGCCCTCTTTCTGAAGCTCCTGTTAGGCATGCGTTGGGTCTTCTCACTCTTAACTGCTATTCCATAGTCCCCATTTCTGTATTTCTGGGTGACTTTCCGGGATTTATCTTCCAATTCAGTAATTTTATTTTTTCTGACAATGTTTAACCATTCCTTGAGATTTTGAAATTTTCCTGACTTGATTTTTTATTTTCAAAACTCTATATACTAGGAATGTACTTTTCAATGTCCTTTAATTTATGTATTTGATTCTTACGTATTTCCACATGAATTCCTGCATAGTCCCTCTTGCGTTATTTAATTACTTGCCATCCACAGGAGCCTAAGAAGGTGTGGTTTGTGATTTTTCCTCATGATCAGTTGTTTTCTCCTGTGCTTGGTAATTTGGACTATGAGAACAACTTCAGGAGGAAAACGTGGGAACTAGAACTCGTGTGTGGCCTGGGAAAGAGCATGTTCCTCCAAAAATAGTTCTATATTTGCCTCTGTCAGGGGCTCCAGGAGTGAATCCACATAGGAAGTATATATCTGAATCCCAAATTCACCTGCAGCACAGACCTGCAATTACACATTCCCTGCAGAGACACAGCTGCTTCATCCAGAGCTCAGGTCAAGACAGACAAAGTTCTTATTGCCCCCATGTTAATATTGGGATCTTTTTTCTAATTCAACTTTTAGAGGCTCTCTAAGGTTCCAACCTTATGGAACATTCCACAACCTTCCAGAGTGAAAGTGTCATTCAGTTCCTTGCCTTAGGTTCCTGCTATACCCTGGCCACCTAGGGCACAGGAACAGAAGGTGTACCCCCCACCCTACCCCAGTGCTCACACACTCACTACTCTATTTCATGACTCCTTTGTGTCCTGGGTCCTTGGAGAATTCCCTTGTTCTCTTGCAATCATAATCATCACTAGCGACATCATCATCATCATGATTGACATTGACTGAGCCCTTGTGCTACATGCGTGCTCTGCTCTAACCACTTTCCATGAATGCCTCATTTCACCCGCATAACAACACGATGAGGCAGATGCTGTAATTATTCCCATTTTACAGATGAGGGAATTGTGATTTCCTTTAAAAACCAGACATTTCCCATTGGAAAAAAAAAGTCCTAAAGATTTAGCTAATAATTTTATAAGAGGACTAGGAGAAAGCCAAGGAGGAGAAGGATAAGGAGTTCACAAAGGAAAAGGATTTTCCAAGGTGTACATGGCGAGTTCGCATCAAAGTCAGAACCAGCGCCCTCCGTCCTTGCTCTCAGCCCAGTGCCAGGCTTCCTTGTTAGGAGTATTCTTCTCATGAAATTCTACTGATTTCTTACATTGTAGCCCAGATATGATTTGCTGAGGGATATCTGAGAGAAAGCCTATGTGTCCTTTCCATAAAGCGTACCTTGACTGCTTTTTTCAAATCTCTCTCTTGCTACTGATCTTTCTAACTTACCTTGATATTGGGAAGTGTGGTCTTTGGAGCCATGAATGGAGAATTAGGGAATTAGGGAAACATGAGAGGTGGTGGAATTAATTCATTGTATCTTGATTATGGTGGCGACTATGCAGGAATATGTGATTGTCAAAATTCATTGACTTGTTCACCTAATGTGTGTTCATCTTAATGCTTGTAAATTATACCTTAACAACGTTAACTAAAGAAGTAATTAAACTCCCACATTGGACAAGGAGGGATCTAGAGCACTGAATCTGCACAGATTCTCTGAGCTCAGTCTAGGAAGAGAAGTGGGGCTGAACTATACAGAAGATGTTGAAATTAGAAACGTACTTTCCAGGAATAAATTAAAAATTGAGTTTTTGTCCACCTACAATAATCAGGCACTGTGCCAGGTCCTAGGACTGTAAAGAAAACTATCTCTGATATAAGCTTATAATCTAACAGAGAAGACAAAAAGTAGAAAGCTTAAATTCAGTGAGTAAGTGCTATGATAGAGGCAGGAGTGGGTTGCAAAGGAGAAGCATCAAATACAGATGAATGGCACAAAAGGCTTTCTGTAGGACATTCATATAGAGCCTGAGAAATCAGGAGAACTCCTCCAGGATCACTAGCTGTATTAGTTCATTCTCATGCTGCTAATAAAGACAAACCCAAGACTGGGTAACTTATAAAGGAAAGAGGTTTAGTTGACTCACAGTTCAGCAGGGCTGGGGAGGCCTCAGGCAGCTTACAATCATGGAGGAAGGGGAAGCAAACGCGTCCTCCTTCACATGAAGGCAGGAAAGAGAAGTGCCAAGCAAAAGGGGGGAAAAGTCCCTTATAAAACCATCAGATCTCATGAGAACAGCATGAAGGTAACCACCCCCATGATTAAATTACCTCCCACCAGGTCCCTCCCACTACACCTGGAGATTATAGGAACTACAATTCAAGATAGATTTGGGTGGGGACACAGTCAAACCATATCACTAGCCAAAGCAGCAGGTGTGTGTGTGTGTGTGTGTGTGTGTGTGTGTGTGTGTGTGTGTGTGTGTGTGTATTCAGTATCTTGAACTAGACCACTGCTCTTGAAGATCTCTTGACCATGTAGAAGCCAGGATAACACATTTAGCTGGAAGCTAATTGTGAAGCTGGGAAATTATGCATGTATAGTGATGTTGGGCACAAACTCATGTTATGTTCAGGTAACAAGCAGAGCATTTTGGGTTCCTTTCTTTAGGAGTTGTCTAATTTTACTTCATTTGTTATTTCTGATTATATTGGTTACCAGCCAAAAAATTGTCTTTCTTGGCCAGAGATTCAATGCCTTATTCTAAATGTAAGGAAAATCCTTCCTTTTGTTGAAACTTCAGAAACTTTCTAATTACCTGCCTTTATTCAATACCTCAAAATCAATTGTATGCCTGTCATAATGTTTGCATCCTAACACTCTCTTCTCCTCATTCCACACTTTGTCTCTAAGAGATCCCCCTTTCTCCCATAGTTTTAGCTACCTATAAGTTCACAACTGTTCATTCTATATCTCTCGCCAAGACCTGTCTTCTTAGCTCCACTTGACCCAGTTGCTTACTGGGTTGTTATGATCTTCTAGCTTCATGATGACCTACTTGTTTATTGGGTTACAATAATGGCAAAGACTTACACTGTGCTTACTGTGTGCCAGGCACATATTAATCCATTTAATCCTTACAGCAACCCTTTCAGGAAGGTGCTAGTATTGTATAGCATCCTGTTGGATGCCTTCCAGGCACCTCATCCTCAGTGTGTGCAGAACTGATGTAACCCTTATTCCCCTGAAACCTGCAACTCAACCTTCTGTACTTCACATTTTATTGACACCATCTTTTAACCAGGTGCTCAAACATGAAACCTAGAAATTGTCCTTGATCTTTTCCATACGCAACCAATAATTTACCACCAAAAGTTTTCCCTTCAACTTTTCTTAGGAGAAGTAGCATCATGTAGTGGCTGCAGGTTTTGTCTCTGGAGTCAGACAGCTTAGATGTGAATCCTGGTTCTGCCATTTAATAGCTGTGAGTCCTTACAGAAGTTTCTTAAAGTTTCTGAACCCTAGTTTTCTTGTGATAATTAAACAAGTTAAAGCATGTAATATGTTTAGGACAGTGCTCGGGAAAAAGTAATAAAATATTTCTTTGTCTTTCTCAGTTTCCAGTTGGTGGACAGTATAATATACTAAAAGAACAAAAAGCAACAAGGGTTTTGCTAAAGAACAAAACAATTGGTGACATACAGACCTGGGATTATGTCAACTTTTTACCACCACCTATATGCATGACTTGGGCAAGTTGGTGAATCCACTGAGCCTGGTTTCTTTATCTATAAAATAAAGATAATGCCACCTACCCACAGGGCCATTGCCAGGAATAAATGAGAAACTGTATGTAAATCGCCTAGAACCATGCCTGGCCTATGAGGACAGTATATGTTATTCCTTTTCTCCTCCAATCACTGCTCTTGAATTCCCTCATCTACTACTAAGAAGGAAATAATTGGCTGCCCTAGAAGCAACTGGGCATGGTAGATGGGCAAAAAGAAGGGAGCCACTCAATGCATTTGTCAGTTTTGCCAGGAGCTACAGGATCCAGAGGCACGGGCAAGGATTCTGCCTCTGCCATCCCTAGCTCTCTAGCTTTATAAATCATGGCTTATGTGTTTATTCTTCACCAATGTCCAATACTCATATTTCTGGAAAAGTATATTCCTCAACCTTACCATCCTCATTACAGCAAGTAGTGGGCTCCTTAATGCTGAGGGCCTTGTTATTTCTTCATTTAATGGTGTGTCCATGGGGTCCTAGGGCATGAGGGCCTAGACAAATGCAAGGCTGTCTCTACTCCATCAGATGGAAGGCCAGGAAAGCCAAGGGAGGGGTGGAAATAGGGGTGGAGGGGTAGATGTGTCATGGTTGGACCCCAGTGCAAAATGAAAATGTACCACCCTGGTTTTAAAAGTATCAAGTATTTCATGATGGCAATAGCAGAGCATTAAACCAAACATGGGCCCTTCTGAGCTTGAGGCCCTATGCAACTGTGTGTGTCACACAACCATGGCTCCTGTCCTTGGTGGGAAAGACGTGGCTCCCTTTCCCACAGTTTCCTGCTGCCTTCTCTCAGATGCTCACAAATAGCCCAAACCGCCCTCAGACATGGCTTTGTCTTCTTTCCTCTCTACTCAACTTGGACATTGGGAGACTACCTTACAAAGCAGAGTTCCTGACCCACATCTTCCATCTCACTTTCACCAGGGATCGGCCCACACTTGGAACTCCTGATCTATCAGGGTCTGCTTTTCCAATGAGCTTTACTCCTTCTCTCTAAAAAGAAAAAAAAGTACGGTAGTGATGAAGTGCCGATTCTTAAAAGTCAACATATAGTGAGTGCTAGTTTAATTCCACATAAACTGCTTTTAGCATAAATTCCTATTTCATCTTTAAAATGATCTCATCATCACAACAGTAGCTACTGTAATAACTCCATCTTACAGATAACATACAGATTTGGAGAGACCCAGCATCTTGTCCAAGGTCACACAACGAGCAGGTGGTGGTATTGGGTTTAGAACTCACTCTCCACTCTGGACTCCTGAGTGAGGGAAGAGTGCCCAGAGCATGGAGAGGTGCATCATGGGATGAAACAGAGAGCAGCAGCACCAGACAAACAGGAAGAAATGAACCATCTCTCTAATAGGAAGATTAAATACTATTGAGATACCATGCTTTCCCAAGTGACTATTGTTTTAAGGCAATTTTAAACAAAATAGTGATAATTTTGTTTGGTTTTGTTGGAATGGCTTTCTGAGAGAATAATGTTGATTTTTAGCTACAGGCAAGAAAACTGTAAAATTGAAAAATAATACAGGATAGGACGAATAGCCCCGACTATTTTGAAACATTTCACAAAGCTGCAATAATATAAACGGTGAGTTTTAGGCATAAGAGTTGATAGACTGATGTGTATAACAGAATAGATTGCCCTGAAACACTCTTATACAATATAGGATTTTTTTGTATGAATATGACAATCTGAGAAATCAGTTAGGGGAGAAGAGGATAGTCATAATTGTTGTAGCAATCACTGATTAACTATTAGTGAAAAATCTACATAGATCCCAACTCTTGGATTATAGAGAAGAAAGTAAAAAAGCAAAGCCATTAACATTAGAAGTATTGAGTTAGATAGGAGGAATAAGTTCTGGTGTTCCATTTCACAACACAGCTGAGTATACTTCATAATTATGTGTTGTATATTTCAAAATAGCCAAAAGACAGTATGTAAAATACTCTCTTCACAAAGAGATGATAAACATTTTAGGCGATTGATATGTTAATTACTTTGATTTGATCACTCCAGAATATATACATGTGTCATAATACCACCACTTTGTATCCCATAAATATATACAGTGATTGTTTTTCAATTAAATGTTTTTAAAAATGTAGAAGTAAATACAAATAAATATACATCAGGATTTTGGAAGGAGAAAGTCTGTGTACGCCCAAAGCAATGACATAAATAATGGATGAAAGACTGATGAATTTGGCTGCATTAAGATCAAATCTCTCTGAATGTCAAACATCATAAAATTTAAAAACAGTTATGTCAACCAGATGGCAGAACAGGAAATCCCAGCTCTTGTCTCCTCACAGAAACACTGCTTGGAACAATGCACACACAAAAACACTTTCACAGGAGCCAAAGAATCCAGATGAGAGGCCACAGCACCTTGGTGGAGCACAGAAATAAGAAAAGCTGCATTGAAGAGAGTAAGAAGGAGTTTCACATTACTGATGTCACCACCACCCAAACGTCACTCAGCCTAGTGTGAAGAAAGATAGCCTTGCATGAGGGGAAGAGAGCGAAGTGAGTAGCATACGTTGCTGCAGACCCAACACCAGGACAGCTCCAGTGGACCCCAATTCCAGGCCTATAGCCCCAGTTTCCAGGCCTGCCTCGATGGCCCCGGGCCCCAGACCCACTTCCATACCAAGCCAGCCCCCACAGCTCCAGCCTCTAGGGTTGCATCCACAGAACCAGGCTTTAGACCCACTTCAGCACCCGATCAGCACTAGTGACTCCAGACTCCAGGTTGGCTCATGTGGTTCCAGGCTCTAGGCCAGCCCTTACAACCCCCCTGGTTCCAAGCTGGTCTATATTGACTTAGGATCCCTGAGGACTCAAAGCCTAGGATAACTCAATCACCAGGCTGGTTCCCACAGAACCTGGCTCTAGGTTCATCTCCATAGACCCAGTCTCCAGGCCCATACCAGGGGACCCCAGTGCCAGGCCAGCTCCTGTGGATTCAGAATGGAGTCCCACACCTGTGGATGCAAGCCCGAGGCTCATCCATGGGGACCAAGGCTCTAGTCTTGCCCTCACAGATCCAGGCACTGGGCTGGCTCCTGTAGACCCAAGTTCCAGGCTCATTCATCCACTGACCCAGACACAGCCCCCTCCAGCATGAGGACTTCAATAGCAAGCCTCACTATGGACCTCATTAGATGGCCCCACCCAAAATCTCTGTAGAAGCTGACTGGTGAAGGACTTTACATAACAAGGCAATAAGTAAAAACTGGAAAAGATGCCTAATTTTTAAAATGCAGACACCAGTGCAAAGCCACAAGGATCACAAATAATCAGGAGAATATGACATGACCAAAGGAACAAAATGAAACACTAGTAACTGACCCCATAGAAATGGAGATCTACAAACTTCCTGACAAAGCATTTAAAATAATAATCTTAAAGAAGTGCAGTGAGCTACAAAGAGCATAAAAAGATAACTAAAAATCAGGAAAATAACGCATGAACAAAATAATAAGTTCAACAAAAAGAAACCATTTTAAAAAACAGAAATCCGGAGATGAAGAACATACTGACTGAACTGAAAAGTTCCATAGAGAACTTCAACAACAGATTTGATAAAGCAGAAAGGAGAATCAGTGAGCTCAAAGACAGGTCATTTGAAATTACCCAGGCAGAAGAATAAAGAGAAAAAAAGATTGAGAAACAGTGACAAAACCCTCTAGGACTTACAGGACACAATCAAGGAACCAATATACACATTATAGGAGTTTAAGAAGGATCAGACAAAGAGAATGGGGCAGCAAGGTCATTTAAAGACATAATGACAAAAAACTTCCAACATCTGGAGAGGGAAATGAACATCCAAATCCATGATTCCAAAACAACCCCAAATAGGTTAAACAGAAAGAGATTGTCATGAGGCACATTATAGTTAAATTTGAAAAAATCAAAAACCTAGAAAATTTCAGAAGCAGTAAGAGAAAAGTGACTTGTATTCAAGGGAAACTTCCCTGTAGGACTATCAGCAGATTTCTCAGCAGAAATCTTGCAGGTAAGGAGAGAGGGGATGATATATTCAAAGTGCTAAAAGGAAAAACACTGTCAAGCAAGAATACTTCACTCGGCAAAGCTATCCTATACAAATGTAAAAGACTAAAGACTTACCCAGACAAATGAAAGCTGAGGGCACTCAACACCACTAGATTTGCCTTTCAAGAAATGCTCAAATAAGTTCTTCAAGTTGAAATGAAAGGAGACTAACAATATAAATGAATAAAACTCATTATAAAGGTAAGATTCAGAATACTACAATGCTGTAATGATGGTGTATAAATTACCTCTAATTCTGCTATAGAAGTTAAAAGATAAAATCATTAAAAATAACCATAGCTACAATAATTTGTTAATAAATACACAATATAAAAAAGACATAAATTGTCACATCAATAACATATAATGTGGGAAGAAGAGAAGTTAAAGTGTAGAATTTATGTATGCAGTTTAAGTTAGGTTGTTTTCAGATTAAAATAGGTTTATAACTATAAGATATTTTATAGAAGCCTCATGATAACCACAAAGAAAAAACCTGTGTGAGATACACGAAAGAGAAAGTAATTAAAGCATACTATTACTACAAAAAAATCAAATCACAGAGGAAGACAGAAAGAGAGGAAGAAAGGAGAACAATGCAGTCAGAAAACAATTAACAAAATAGCCAGAACAAGTCCTTATCTATCAATAATTACTTTAAATGTAAATGGATTAAAATCTCGAATCAAAAGCCATATAATGACTGAACAAATTATAAAAGAAGATCCAACTGCATGCTACCTTTAAGAGACTCATATTAGCTTTAAGGACAGATGTAGGCAGAGAGTGAAGGAATAGAAGAAGATAATACATGCAGATGGTAGCCAAACAAGAATAGGAGTGGCTATACTTATACTGGAAAAAATAGACTTTAAGTCAAAAATTGTCAGAAGAGACCAAAAAAGGCCATTATAAAATGAAAAAGGGATCAATTCATGAAGAGGATATAACAATTTTAAATATGGATGTACCCAGTATTGGAGCACCTAGATACATAAACATTAACAAAACAAAAAGGAGAAATAGACAGCAATGCCGTAATAGTAAGGGACTCAAATACCTCATTTACAATAATGTATAGCTTACTCAGACAGAAAAATCAATAAGGAAACAATGGATTTGAGCAGCATAATAGATTAAAGGGATCCTAACCTAAAAAACATAAAGAACATTCCATCCAACAGCAGCAAAATACATACTATTTTCAAGTGCACATATAACATTCTCCAGGATTGATCATATACTAGGCCTTCAATCAAGTCTTAAACAACTTAAGATTTAAATTTTATCAAGTTCTTTTATAACCATAATGGTATGAAACTAGCAATCAATAACAGGAGGAAAATGGGAAAATTTACAAATATGTAGAAATTAAACAACCCATTTCTGAACAATTAATGTGTCAAGGAAGAAATAAAAGGGAAAATTTTTTAAAATCTTAAAACAAACAAACATGAAAACATAACATACCAAAACACATAGCATGCAGCAAGAGTAATCTTTTTTATATTACTTTATTTTTAACTGACATAATAATTATATACATTTATGAGGTACAATGTGATGTTGTGATATATGTACACATTGTGAGATGATTGAATCAAGCTAATTAACATATTTTAACCTCACTACTTATCATTTCTTTGTGATGATAACTTTTAAATTTTACTTTTTAATAACTTCAAAATATACATTATTATTAACTATAGTCACCATGCTATGTAATAGATCACTAAAACATAATTCTTCTGTGTAAATGAAATATTCTTCCTGTTGAACTAAAACTTTGAATACTTTGGCCAGCATCTCCCCTTACCCCATCACCCCACCCCTGAGTCCCTCAAAACTACTATTCTACTCTTTACAAGTTCAACTTTTTAAGATTCCACATGCAGTAAGATCATGCAGTATTTGTCTTTCTTTGCCTGGCTTATTTAACTTAGCATAATGTCCTTCAGGTTCATTCATATTGTTACGAATGAAGAATTTCCCCTTTTTAAAGGCTGAATAGTATTTCATTGTGTGCATATGTCACATTTTCTTTATTCATTCATCCATTGATGGACACTTAGTTGCTTCTGTATCTTGATTACTATGAATAATTCTGCAAAGAACATGAGATTGCAGGTATCTCTTCAATATACCAATGTCAATTCCTGTGGATATATTCCCAGAAGTGGAATTGGTGGATCATATTGTAATTTTATTTTTAGTTTTGAAAGGGACCTCAATATTGTTTTTTATAATGGTTATACTAATTAACATTCCCACTGACAGTGTTCAAGTGTTCTCTTTTCTACACATTCTTTCCAGCACTGTTTATCTTTTATTTTTTAATAAGTCATTCTAACAGGTCTGAGCATTTGCTTTTGACAAAATTCAATATCTCTTCATTAGAAAAACCTCTCAATAAATTAGGTACAGAAAGAATGTACTTCAACATAATAAAGGTGACAAGTCCATAGCTAACATCATACTCAATGGTGAAAAGCTGAAAACTTTTCCTCTAAGGTCGTGAATAAGACAGGATGCCCACTGCCACCACTTCTACTCAATGTAGGACTGAAAGTTTTAGACAGAGCAATTAGGCAAGAAAAATAAATAAAAAGCATCCAAATTGAAAAAGAAGTAAAATTGCCTCTCTTTGTATTGAAGGGATCTTACACAGAGGAAACTCTAAAGACTGACTCTACCAAAAAAGCTGGTAAGACTAATATTTGAATTCACTGAAGTTACAGGCCACAAAATCAACATACAAAAATTAGTGAGAACTAACAGTAAGCTATCTGAAAAATAAATGAATTAAGAAAACAATCAATGTGGGTAAATATTTTAAGCAATATAACAAACCGTTAATACCCTTATATATAAAGAACTTCCTAATAAGAAAAAACATGAATTCTTCAATAGTAAAATAAACTGAAAATATGAAGAGCTAGTTAAAATACATGAATGTTCAAGAAACATAACAAACTTCTAATCACTTTTTATCAAATAATTTAAATTAATATAAAATTTAGATGGGCCTCTGTTTGTCTCATGAATTGGTCAAGGTTAGAAAAATATTGACTTCATTTTGGCAGTAAGTATTCCTAAACATTAACATTAGAGATGTAAGACAAAAAGCAATTTGGCTGCATGAAACAAATATATGAAAATACACCTGTGTTCCCATTAATAGGATTATTTCCTAGGGTGATTAAAAAATAACTGAGAAAAATATTTTTGTAAAAGACTTTATTGTAGTGTTTTAGGAAATAGAAAAATAGTGGAAGCAACCTAAATACCCAAGGGAATGATTACACACAGTCAATATAATACAAATCATGAAATAACAGAAATTTATACATTTCATTTATTCATGAAAAATATATTGAGGGCCTTCTATATGTTTTTATGGGCATAAATCCTGAAATACCAATGAACCAAACAACAAAAGCCTTTGCTCTTCAGAAACTTACATTTTTGCTGGGAGAAAATGGGTAAGAAGCATAACGTAAACCCCCAATTTTAGCAAATGTTGAAAGATGATAAATGCTAAGAAGAAAACTATGTCTGGGTAGGTGATGGGGCAGATCAGGGAATGAGGAGGTGGGGTTGCAATTTTAAAGTGAATTGTAACGGTCCTCACTTGGAAGGTGTCCTTTGAACAAATGCGTGAAAGCCACAATGGAGCAAGTTCTGTGGGGAGAGAAGAAAACATTCTATACAGGGAAAAAAAGGTGCAAAGTTCTCTTTGCAGATATGAGCATTGCTGGTGTGTTCAAGAACAGGAAGGAGGTCAATGTGGCTGGTACAGAGTGAGCGGCAGGGAAGGACAGGATAATAAGAGTAAGGTGGGGAGGAGGGGAAGAGAGGTAACTACCTAAGTGTGGGGTTGTGGGGGCCATTCTAGAAACTTCTGCTTTTACTCTAGGTAAAAGGAAATCTATTGGCAGCTTCTGAGCAGAAGAATGACACGAAATAACTCATGTTTTAAACAGATCCCTGTGGTTGCACTGGTGTTTTTAGGCTCCAGGGGGCAAGAGTGGAAGCAGGCAGACTTGTTGGGAGGCTATTTTGCAATAATGCAAGAAATAAATGACAGTGGAAGCAGTAGAGGTGACAAGACAGGATTAGTTTGAATGCAAAGGCAACAAGATTTCCTGATGGATTGGTTGTCAGATGTAAAAATAAGGTAGGAGTCAAGATTAACCTAAAAGTTTTTGGCCTTGGCACTTGAAAGGATGGAGTTGGATAACAGAGATGAGGATAACCTTGGTTAGGGAAGACCAGCAGTCATTTCTGGACATGTTAACTTCAAGATGTCTGCTAGCCTTGTTGACTAGACAGTTGCAGCTTAGGGCAGGTGTCTTGCACAGGATTGACCCACTTGAGAGTTATCAGTATATAAACAGTGTTTAAAGCCATAAACCTTGAATAAGATCCTAAAATGGAGCGAATATAGATACAAAAGAGAGTTCGCCCAAGGTGTGAGCCTTAGGCACTCCAGCACTGACAGGAAGGAGGGAAGAAGAGGAATCTGCAAAGAGGTCAAGAGGAAAGAGTCCTCGTGATGGAAGGAAAAAATAAGACAAAACAGGAGAGTGTGCTATCCTGGAAGCTGAAGGAAGAGAGTGTACTGTAAAGAGGAAATGCTTAGCAGTGCAGAATGCTGCTACTAAGTCCGTGTGTTGACTGAGAACACACACTGGATTAGCAATGCAGAGGTCATTTTGACCTTGACAAGAACAATGTGAGTGCACTGGTGGGGTCAAAGAGGGGGTGGAGCAGAAAGCCATGAGAGACAGAAAGGCTGAACAAACCCATTCACTGGTGCCAGATACCAGATTCTTTCACCAACTCAGGACAACTCTCAACTCTTTCTATGGCCTCTATCTTCTGCTTTCCCTAGATCACTCTTGTCAGCGTACAAATATTCTACAATTTCTCTTATCTATTTTTCAAAACTACTTAATGACATGGAAAAATACCCATGATATCTTGTTGTATGCAGTGCATAACACCAAGAATATTTAAGGTGATGCCTCCGTCCCCACCAACAAAAGCCTCACCAAGCGGGTCCATGTTCCCCATGGCTGAAGAGAGTAGGGGCAGGGAGGAAAGAGTTGCTCTCCCAGAGTCTTCTCTGGCTCTAGTGTTTCTCCAGCTCTGTACTGAAATCTTATTATTGGTTTCGATTCAGGTAGTTATTTTATTTCTGTCATGATATCTACTCAAACATGAGAGTCAGTCCCTTGCCTTTAATTCACTAATGGAGTGGTTTTCAAAGTGTAATACCCAAACCAGCACCATTAACAGCAACTGAGAAGTTGTAAAAAAAATGCAGACTCTCTGGTTCCACCCAAGACTCAGTGAATCAGAAACTCTTGGGTTGGGACACAGAGTCTGCGGTTTGCAAGCCTTTGGAGTCATTCTGATTCACTACTCCAAACCCTCCACAAATCCAAAGCTGTGCTAGGTAGGAAATGTTTTCATAGAGGCATTTGTGGGTTACCTAGAAGGATCACACCTCATGCCACCCTGCAAACAAATAAAACATAATGGATGGACATTCCTCCTTGTAGAAATGCCTTTTCCCTGCCCCTGTCCCCACCAAGGAGTATTTCTGGCTACTGCACTGGTTTGCTTCTCTCCAAGGCCTCCTTTTTACCCCCTTCTTCTCTCTCCTTATTCTCTCAAAAAACCCTAGAAGAAAACCTAGGCATTACCATTCAGGACATAGGCATGGGCAAGGACTTCATGTCTAAAACACCAAAAGCAATGGCAATAAAAGACAAAATTGACAAATGGGATCTAATTAAACTAAAGCGCTTCTGCACCGCAAAAGAAACTACCATCAGAGTGAACAGGCAACCTACAAAATCGGAGAAAATTTTTGCAACCTACTCATCTGACAAAGGGCTAATATCCAGAATCTACAATGAACCCAAACAAATTTACAAGAAAAAAACAAACAACCCCATCAAAAAGTGGGCGAAGTACATGAACAGACACTTCTCAAAAGAAGACATTTATGCAGCCAAAAAACACATGAAAAAATGCTCACCATCACTGGCTATCAGAGAAATGCAAATCAAAACCACAATGAGATACAATCTCACACCAGTTAGAATGGCAATCATTAAAAAGTCAGGAAACAACAGGTGCTGGAGAGGATGTGGAGAAATAGGAACACTTTTACACTGTTGGTGGGATCGTAAACTAATTCAACCATTGTGGAAGTCAGTGTGGCGATTCCTCAGGGATCTAGAACTAGAAATACCATTTGACCCAGCCATCCCATTACTGGGTATATACCCAAAGGACTATAAATCATGCTGCTATAAAGACACATGCACACATATGTTTATTGCGGCACTATTCACAATAGCAAAGACTTGGAACCAACCCAAATGTCCAACAATGATAGACTGGATTAAGAAAATGTGGCACATATCCACCATGGAATACTATGCAGCCATAAAAAATGACGAGTTCATGTCCTTTGTAGGGACATGGATGAAATTGGAAATCATCATTCTCAGTAAACTATCGCAAGGACAAAAAAACCAAACACCGCATGTTCTCACTCATAGGTGGGAATTGAACAATGAGAACACATGGACACAGGAAGGGGAACATCACACTCTGGGGACTGTGGTGGGGTGGGGGGAGGGGGGAGGGATAGCATTAGGAGGTATACCTAATGCTAAATGACGAGTTAACGGGTGCAGCACACCAGCATGGCACATGTATACATATGTAACTAACCTGCACATTGTGCACATGTACCCTAAAACTTAAAGTATAATAATAATAAAATAAAAAATAAAAAAATAAAAATTAAAAAATTAAAAAAAAAAACAAAAAAAAACCCCAAAACAAACAAAAAGAAGAAGGAATGTTTCCAATTGTCTTTGGAAGAGCAATTTAGTTGCACATAACCTTTGTTGTCTTTTCTCTTTACAATGCTTGTACCCTCAAGAACAGCCTCCAAATACGGAAAAACAGTTGTTAAGAGGAGGAGTGCTGCTGTTAGCTGTAAGAACTACCTTCTCGGAAACTTCTGTGTATATATTTATAGATCTAAATATCTGTATGTGTATACATACACTAGAGATAAATAGTAATCATCATATGTATACACATATGTATTAATAAAATGAAATGTGAGCAGTTACCCATAACTAGTGGGATAATAGATGGCTTAGGTTTTCTTCCCCTTCTCTTCCTACTTCTTTGCATTTTCAAAATTTCCTGCAGTAGATACATTTTACTCATAGAGACAAGTGATTTTTTTTTTTTTAAGACAGGATCTCACTCTGTCACTCAGGCTGGAGTGCCTTGGCACGATCTCAGCTCAAGTGATCCTCCCACCTCAGCCTCCCAAGTAGCTGGGACTACAGATGCATGCCACCACACCAGCCTAATTTTTGTATTTTTTGTAGAGACGGGGTTTTTCCATGTTGCCCAGTACGTCTCAAACTCCTGAGTTCAAACAATCCACCCACCTCAGGCTCCCAAATTCCTGGGAGCCATGGTGCCCGGCCAAGACAAGTGAAAACCAAGGAAGAAAGAAAGGAAGAAAGCAGGAAGGGAAGAAAAGAATGAAAAAGAAGGAAGGAAGAAGTAGAGAAAAGAAAAGAGCAGCAAGCTAGTAGCAGAGAGGGAGCCCCGGTTGGTCAGGGGTGGAGGTTGCAGGCCTGCTCATGGTGGTGTGTATGTCTCCAGTATTGTGTCTCACCCTCTGCTGCTGCCAGGTGTCTCCATAGAACAACATAAGGCTAGGAATTTAGTCTCTCATTGTAGGAAAAACAAGGATGTCATGCTATACACCGGGTGTGTAATGATAAAGAAATGCAAATGTTTAGAGCAACAAAACGGAAACATGGTTAAGTACATGTTCTAAATATAAACGACACAATGCCGTAATACAAGTAAAAGAAAGGGAAGGAAAACATAACAATCTGGTGAGGTACAAAAGGGTCTTGTTGTCCCTTAGCTGTGATAAAGTTCTCTCTCCAACCATTTCCTTTTTGTCTTCTTCCTAGCTACATGGTCCAGCCTAGTCTGTCTCAATTTATCCTCAGCTATTAAATGATGTTAAGTGTCTCATTAACACTTCTTGCCACCAGGAGCAATTGTGTCCTAAGCGATTTTCTTAACTTCTCTGGGCCCAATTCATTCTTTTCTATTTCTTTGGAGAACTAGTATCTGAAAAACCTTTCCTCTCTTCCTTTCAGTATGTTTTCCTTTCCTGTTTATCTCCACAAAGTATATGTTTATACTACAAGTAGGCAATCATATCATTTTTCCTCTGTATTTCTAAGTCTTACTCAGGCCAGCTTCTCTTATTTCAGAGTCAAGTTCAGTATGCTGTGTTGTTAGCGTGGCAAATCTGGACAGGTCTGCAGCAACCTCAATTTTTGCCTCCTCAGAAGAAAGACTTAGACTGAGGGGCATAAGGCAGGAGAGACCGATGCAAGTTTTACAGCAGGAGTGAAAGTTTATTAAAAAGTTTTAGAGCAGGAATGAAAGGAAGTAAAGTACATTTGGAAGAGGGCCAAGCGGGTGACTTGAGAGATTTTAGTGCACAGCTTGACCTTTGACTTGGACTTTGTTACGTTGGCATTCCGCACGGGCAGTGGCCTGCCAGCTCCTGGGAGGGGCTGCGTGTGCAGTCTTTACTGAAGTTTTGCACATGCTCACTTGAGGCTTTCTTCCCTTACTGGTCGAGTATTTCTAGAGGAAGATCATGTACCAGTTAAACTCTGCCATTTTGCCTCATAGGGCACATGCTTAAGCCCACTCACCCAACTCCTGATATCGTACCTGGAAGCTGCTGATCACCAGCTTCAGATTTTTATTTATTTATTTATTTATTTTAAGACAGAGTCTCACTCTGTCACTCAGGCTAGAGTACAGTGGCGTGATCTTGGCTCACTGCAACCTCCACCTCCAGGGTTCAAGCGATTCTCTGACTTTAGCCTCCCAAGTAGCTGGGACTTCAGGCATGCACTACCATGCCTGGCTAATTTTTTTGTATTTTTAGTAGAGAAGGAGTTTCACCATGTTGGCCAGGCTCGTCTTGAACTCCTGACTTCAGGTGATACACCCACCTTGGCCTCCCAAATTGTTGGGATTACAGATGTGAGCCACCACAACCAGCCAAGATTTTTTCTATCTATTGGGAGACTCCCATTCCCTGGCGCTGGCTGAAACCAATGATCATTTTAGAGAAACAGTGTAACAACTACTTGGCCATCTCCTGATGGTCACCTGACATTCCTGCCGTAGGGAGTCCTTTTCTACCTTGCTCATGTCTGACTAACTACTTACTGTAACAGTGTCATAGGCTAAACACATGCCACTATTTGGAGTAGCACAGTGTAAGTCATGTGTCCCATCTCTTCATGTACAGTTGTCCTCTATTCCACTCTCGCCAGCCTTTACCGAGTGTCATCCATGCGGCATTTGACACCACCTTCCTCCCATTCTACAGAGGCATGCCCAGTGTCCACAGCCTTTGCAGTTTCCCGTGGCTAAGAAACAAGGCATTATATGGTTTGAGTGGTGCTATTTTACCTGGCAAATGCTCACTGACATTTATTGAAATTGATGCCTTAGTTTTACAAGCCAAAGTGGTCATACAGTCACACTTGCTTAATTAATGCTTCCTAATAAAGAAGCAAAATCTGTTTGTGCCTGAAATTGTGCTTGGTGCTCCAGGAATAGTCACCATAACAAACACTAGGACCTTGTGATACAAAACCAGAAAAGGGTGAGTATTAGATGTGGTTATTAGATGGGGGCCAGGCCACCTCAGATATGGTGGCTTAAACAAGATGGAATTCTGTTCCCTTCTCACCTGACAGTTCAGATTATACAAGAGAAAGAGGCAGTGCATAAATAGAAGGAGCTACAGAATTACTATTCCTATTTATAGCAAGATTGAACCAGATAAATCATAAGTTTCTTGTGTAATGAGTCCAGCAATACTTCCCAAAGGCAAGTCAATTTGCAGAGGTTGGTGAAACCTGGATCAGAGGTGAGAACGGGACAAATAAGAGGAAGAATTTTGTTTAGCATTTTAGACTATTTCATCTGCCAATCACTGTTTGCCATTTTTATGTATATGTTTAACAGCTTTATTGAGGTATAACTGATATATAATAAAGAACAAATATTTAAAGTGTGCAATTTGATAAGTTTTGACATTTCGTGCACATTTGTGCAATCATCACAATGATCATAGTGAACGTATCCATCAATCCAAAAGTTTCCTCATTTCTTTTTGTAATCTGTTCCTCCTGTCAGCCTCCTTTCCTCCTCCTTCTATCCCCTCCCCCAGCTTCAGGAAATCACTGATCTCCCTTCTGTCACCATAGATTCATTTGCATTTTCTAGAATTTCATATATTTGGAATCACACAATATGTACTCACTTTTGTCTGGCTTCCTTCACTCAGTATAATTATTTAGAGATTGATCCATGTTGTTGCATGTATTAGTAGTTCATTTTTATTGCTGAAAAGTATTCCACAGTATGCATATATCATGTGTTTATGCATTCAATGATTGGTGTACATTTAGGTTGTTTCCAGTTTTTCATTAGTTAAAATAAAGCTCCTATGAGCATTCATAAACCAGTCTTTGCATGGTGTCTTAGTCCTTTCAAGCTGCTGTAACAAAACATTATTAACAGAGCAGCTTGTAAACAACAGAAGTTGTTCTCACAGTTCCAAAGTTCAAGAAGTCCAAGATCAAGACACCAGCCAATTCACTTACGGTGAGGACCCACTTTCTGGTTTATGGATGGCACTTTCTAGCTATGTCTTTACATGGTGGAAGGGGACGAACAAGTTCGCCTGGGCCTTTTTTATAAGAGCACTAATCCCATTCATGAGAGCTCTGCCCTCATGACCTACCTAATTACCTCCCAAAAGACCCTACCTTCTAATACCATCACCTTGAGAGTTAGAATTCCTTTCAACATGAATTTTGGAGGGACACAAATATTCAGACCATAGCCTAAGGTCATATGGTTTTACTTCTTTTGAGTTACTACCTAGGAGTGGAATAGCTGAATCATATCGTAGGTGTATATTTAGCTTTTAAGAAATTCCCTGTTTTCCAAAATGGTTGTACCATTTTTCATTCCCACCAGCAGTATATGACAGTTTAATTTCTTCCGTATCATTTCCAACTTTGGAATTTTCATCACAGCAATTCTAATTCTGATAGTGTTATCTCACTGTGGTTTTAATTTGCATTTCCCTGATGACTGATAATATTCAGCACCTCTTTGTCTGCTTACTTTCCAACCATGTGTCTTTTTTGGTGAAGTGCCTGTTCAAATATTTTCATTGCTTTTCTTTTCTCCATTGACTTGCTGTATCATCTTTATCAAAAATCAGTTATCTTTGTCAGTATGGATGCATTTCTGAACTCTGTTTTATTTCACTGGCCTATTTTTCAGTATTTATGCTAATACGATACTGTTGATTACTAAAGCTTTTTGTTGTTGTTGTTGTTGTTTGAAATGGAGTCTCATTATGTCACCTAGTCTGCAGTGCAGTGGCACAATCATAGCTCTCTGCAGCCTTTACCTCTTGGGCTTAAGCAATCCTCCTGCCTCAGCCTCCTAAGTAGTTGGGACTACAGGCACATACCACTACACCCAGCTAATTTAAAATTGTTTTCTAGAGATGAGGTTTTCTTATGTTTCCCAGGAGTTTCTTGAACTCCTGGGTTCAAGCAATCCTCCTGTCTCACCCTCCCAAAGTGCTGGGACTACAAGCGTGAGCCACCTCAATCAGCCTTTAAACCAAGTCTTCAAATCAGATAGTGGTAGGCCTCCAACATTTTCTTTTTCAAAATTGTTTTGACTATTCTGTATCTTTTGCACTTCCATATAGATTTTTAAATTAGCTTGCCAATTTCTACTAAAAAATTTCCTGGTTTTGGATTGAAATTGTATTGAATTTATACATTAATATGGAGAAAATGACATTTTAACAATATTGAGTCTCATGACTGATTAGTTTAGTATATGTCTCTATTTATATAGGTCTTTAATTTCTTTCACTGCAATTTTGTAGCCTTCAACGTACAGATCTTGGATATCCCTTGTCAAATTTACCTCTAAGTATTTAAATTTTTAATGACCCTTTTGAATGACATTTTAAACATTTCAATTTCACGTTGCTCATTACTAGTGTATAGAAATACAACTGATTTTTGCATAGAATTTCTTGTCTTGTAACAATGCTACTCTTGTTTGTTCTAGTAGTTTTTATTGATTTCATCAGATATTCTATATGGCAATCAAGTAATCTGCAAATGACAGTTTTACTTCTTCCTTTCCAGCATGAATGCCTTTTATTTCTTCTTCTTGCGTTATTGTATTAGCTAGATTCTCCAGTACAATGTTGAATAGAACTCATGTGAATGGAGATTCTTGTCTTGTTCCTGATTTCACAGGGAAAGCTTTCAGTCTTTTATCTTTAGATATGCTGATAGCTGTAGGTTTTCTATACATGCTCTTTATCAGTTTGAGAAAGTTCTCTTAATTTGCTGAGAGGTTTATAAAAATTAGGAACAGATGTTACAGTTTGTCAAATGCTTTCGTCTTTATTAAGATAATCATATGTTTTTCTTATTTTAGTTTGTTAATATGATGAAGTACATTGGTTGATTATTTTTAATGTTAAACTAGCCTTGTATTCCTGGGATAGATTACATGGCCCTGATGTATACTTTTTATAGATTTTTGAATTCAATTTACTAACAGTATGTTTTTTAGAATTTTTGCATATCTATTTATGGAAAATAATGGTCTGTAGTTTTAGTTTTTCATAATGTCTTTTTCCAGTTTTGTTTTTAAGGTAATGCTGACCTTATAGAATGAATTGGGAATTATTCCTTCCTCTTCAATTTTCTTGAAAGAGTTTATATATAGCTGATATGATTTCTTCCTTCACTGTTTGGTAGCATTTACCAGTGAAGCCAGCTGAGCTTACAAGTGCCTTTGTGGAAGGACTTTTTTCTACAAATTCAATGTGTTTTGGCTCTTGCTCTTAATATCTATTTGGTGAGATCAGAACAATGTTTACTGTCTGGCCCCATCACTGACACAAGATACTCATGCGTACCCAATTCAATGCCTCATGAATTATTGGGTTAATCAAGTTTTCCATTCTGTCTGGTAGGAACAGGCAAGCATCCCTGGCCCCGTGTGAGTGCTGGGCACTGTTCCTTCCAATCTTCTGGGAAGGTTCTTTGCCCGGCCTTTGGGAAGTTTTATTGCACACATGCCCTGATCAGTCCTCTGCTGGATGCTCAAGGGAACCCTCTGCAGATCTCAGGAGTTCTCTGTGCAGATTTCTCCTCCCCTGGTATTCTATTCTGAGCACTCTAATGTTCTTGATCTTCCAGGGCTTTCAGTTGCTCAACTCTGGGAGTCCTCTAGCCTCCACCTGATTACCTCTCCCTGCACCACTCCTGGAAATGCTCTCCAGGAAGTCAGCTGGGATGAATGCTGTGCTCCTCTCGTTTTCCATCTCTCAGGAGTAATTATATTTCATTGCCTGGTATCAGTGTCTTGAAAACCACTGCTTCTAGTGTTTTTGTTTTCAGATTGGGTATCCCTTTGTCCACTGCTTATAGCAGCCTCAGCCTCCCAGGTTCAGGTCATCTTCCCAGCTCAGCCTCCTGAGTAGCTGGAACTACAGGCACGTGCCACCACACCCGGCTAATTTTTGTATTTTTAGTAGAGATGAGGTTTTGCCATGTCACTCAGGCTGGTTTCAAGCTCCTGGACTCCAGCTATCTGCCCGTCCCACCCTCCTGAAGTGCTGGGATTACAGACGTAAGCCCGCGCCCAGTGCTTCCAGTGTTTTGTCTCTCTTGTTGTTCCTAATCTTGTTGTTGTTTCCAGTGGGAAGGTAATCAGGTCCCTTTTACTCCCTCTTGGTCAGAAACAGAAGTCCACCCTTTGTTCTTGAATATATAAGAAATTGTGCATAAATCCTCCTTGAGAGACAACTGTTTCTCTTGGTCACCTCCATAATGTCAGAGAGAACATTCAAAGAGAGGGGTGAAGATAGCGCTTCTAAAAAATGCATAGCTGTGAGAGCTGGAATAAAATGTGCAAGGGTCATGAGGAGGTGCTTGTAACAAAAGCAGGAGACCCCATAGCCTTGCAGGCTTACTGTGGTAGAGGGAGCAATGCCTCAGGAAGGCCAAGTCAGAGAAATATTGACTTTCTGGATGGTCCTCTGGGTGTTGTAGGAACTTGACAACAAGCTGTTTCATGCCTGTGATTCCAAGCTAAATGTGCTACATATTTGCTAAGTGTGGAGGCATTTATGAAGGCCAAGGGGACCCCACTTATTTTAAGCGTCCTGTTGTGCTCCATCAGTGGTAATGGGGGTTGAGCAGCCAAATCATCATGCATTACCTCCGCTGGGAAATTCACTCTCCAGGATCTAAGTGGAAAAGTAACAACAGTTTCAACTTTAGGCGAAACTCACAAGGGTGCAAGTTGGAGATAATTGGAAATTACTTTGGTCTGACTGTGCCCAGATGGTGGACTTCCTTTGTTGCAAGGTGTCATTCTCACACTGATGTTTATGCTCACTACGTGTGTATTTTTGCTGTAAGCTGCCTTAAGATCCTTTGTGGGAGGGAATATAGGCCCACCACCCTACAGGTTCCGGGGTTGCTTCCTCAGAGCAAAGAAACCATGATCCAAAAAAGGAGATGGTCAAAACAGGCTACAGATACTACTGTTTTGCTTGATACCTCTTTTACAAAGCAATTGAAAAGTTAATAATTGTACACATACATTGTGCCAGGTAGTGTGCTAGGTGCTTGACATAAGGTACTGCATTTAACTCTCATAACAAGCATATATGATAAAATGGTCTCAAATTTATGAGAAGCAAATGAAGACTCAGAAAAGCCATATGCCTTGATAGATACAGTGTGTTTACGTTCGAATCCCAGGATTTGTGATTATGCTGCCTAGAGAATCTTTACCTTTGGACAGGGCTATAATTAGTGTATTCTGTGAGGTTGCCCTGGAAAACAGAAAGCTCTTGGGCTTTGGAATGCAACACACATAGTTTAGAAGACTGGTTCAACCTGGAAAAGTCATCCATTTTTCCATTCAACAGATACATATTGTAGGTGATGAAAGAGGCAGGAGAATAGATCAGATGAGATTCTTACTCCAATAAAACTGCAGCCTAGTAATGGTGGCAATGTTGAGATTCAAAACCAACTTTGCCCAGCACCTAGACTTGAACTCTTTCTATGACATCATTCTGCCTTCCTGATAAAATTTAGCATTATACTGACTTCCATTAGGCTAATGGACTATTTTGGCTCCAGAGGCAGCGTGTTATAGTGGTTACAACTTCCAACTGTGAAACAGGCTGCATAAGTTCTCATTCCGTCTCTACCACTTACTATCTGTAAGATCTTGGGTAAATTACCTAGCCTCTCTCTGCCTCAAGTGTTTCATTGATCAAATAAAGGTAATGATAAGGACTTACCAGGTAGGGGTTTTCTGAGGGCTAAATGACTAGAGAACTTAGATGAATGTTTGATCCATCATAAATACTAAATTATTATTATTATCATCCTTGCCTTCCTTGCTTATACCTAGAAATACCTTCTTATCTAGAGTTAATGGGGATTGTTTTACTTTCCTATGAAAAACTATTGCACATTAAATCAATGATTTTAGAACTAGAAAGAGCAATAGAAAAACATATTTTTAAATACTTAATATTATCTCTACAAAAAAAAAAAATCTCCTGACAAATTAGGATAAGTGACCCCGGGAAACCAGAGTAACTCAGCTAATTAGTAGCAGTGTTATTACTGGAACCCAGGAGACTGCAAGATTTCTCTTTCCTTTATGTTACAATGCTACCCTTATTCCGCTCAGATTTTATCTTAGCACAATTGCTTTGGTGTCAAGAAGATATGGGATAAATTCCTGGTTCCTCTAGCTTCTGGCTGGAAGGCCTGTGCAAGTTACCAAACCATTCAGAGTCTCAGTTTTTTCATCTGTAGCATGGGGATAAGAGTGCCTCCTTCATTAGGTTTTTGTGATCATAAAATGAGATAATGCTTATACTAGATTAAGCACAGTGGCTGACATCCTAAGAGCTTTGTAAATATTAAATATGCATGGTGACTGACAGCACTGGCTTTGGAGTCAAATATGAGTAGATTTGAGCTCCACGTCCATCTACCAGACTTGTGTGAATTTGGTCAAGTTACTTAACTTCCCTAATCCTCACCTTCATCTCATGATCTGTACATTAAGGATTGTATTGCCAATATCTTAGGGTTTCTGTGAGGATTAGATGAAATAATGCGGGCCAGGAGCAGTGGCTCACACCTGTAATCCCAGCACTTTCGGAGGTCAAGGTGGGAGGATCGTCTGAGGTCGGGAGTTTGAGACCAGCCTGACCAACATGGAGAAACCCCATCTCTACTAAAAATGCAAAAAAATTAGCTAGGCGTGGTCGTGGGCGCCTGTAATTTCAGCTACTTGAGAGACTGAGGCAGGAGAATTACTTGAACCCAGGAGGTGGAGATTGCAGTGAGCCGAGATCGTGCCATTGCACTCCAGCCAGGACAAGAGTGAAACTCTGTCTCAAAAAAAAAAAAAAAAAAAAAAAAAAGAGAGAAAGAAAGAAAATAATGCTTGTAAAGCAACAAACACAATGCTTGGCATAAAGAAAATAATGCTTGTAAAGCAACAAACACAATGCTTGGCATACAGTCAGTATCCAACAAATAATAACACATGCAAATATCATTATAATTACTGTCATTATTATTCTTTTATTCATCTGGTCTCTATCAAAACCACTGTGTGATTAAATAATGTTCTCAAAGGTTCCGGACCTGTAAACCATCTCACTACACTTAGATAGGGGACTATTCTGCATCTCTAGTCAGCCATTTTCCCCCAGACCATAATCAGTAAGAGTGAACTATTTGGCTTGCAAAATGGCAGCCTTCCTGTTGCCTGACGGCCAAAAGGCAACTTTTGGTGAGACTGCTTTCATATGAACTCGTAACCATAGAACCAGTTTGTCAGGGAATTCTTCAAGCACATAAATGATTGAACACTTACTTTAATTCAGAAACATGCAGAACTCAAGATCTTTGCTAATCTCTACGGAGGGTGAAGGAGGAAGATGAAGTTTAATCCACTGATGAGAGTAAGTACGCTGTTAGGGCTTCATTTTCTGCTTTCTGATAGATCCTGTTGATGGAGAGGACCACAGTGACAATCACAGTGGAACACTTGGCTCATCCGGAGTAGCTTTAACACACTTGGTGTGAGCTGCAGGGCCACTAGAGAAGTGACAGCCACAGACACTGTCTCCCATGATGATTAGCTGGCCTGGAACACCAGCTCTTCCTTATCTATTGTTGGTATGGCACAAGTACAAAATATATAATATGTATCTTTGATCTCTAACTTTCCCAATGAGAACAGAGTGACCCAGAAACATTGTGTGAAATATCTAAAGTCTCATACTTGGTTCATGGAGAGGAGGGACCAGATTCCAACTTCTGGGCTGCAATTGATATTATTACTTTCTTATGATTTCCACAGTTACTGCTTTTGTTATTATTTCTTGCTTTTTCAGATGAGTTAGTACTCTGCACAGACGGGTTAAATGGTGTGCCATCCAGGGCCACATAGCCAGTTGATGGCTGATCTGAGACAGATCCAGTTCTTCTGATCCTCATTTTGCCGTTCTTTCCACTACACAATGGCAATACAAAAATCCTCCTTCTGGAGTCTAGCCGTTGAAAGTTATGAAGCATTATCTCTGCCGTTCACATCATCCAGTGGTGTTTTAAGCTTGTTTGCCATGGCAACCATCAACATATTAAGCCCTTCAAAGCAGGGTTGGAAAGGCAACTGCAGCCCGCTATTGTTCCTGATGATGGATGGGAGAGTGTAGAGCCAAGGATCAGTTACTACAGATCCTCTTCCGCTCAAGCGATGTAGATTACGCAGCAGCTGGACCAGAATTCAGTCTTCTCCATGGAGGTTTCCTATATGGTATGTGCAGCATGGAGGGTTTATGTTAAACACGTAGCAAATAAAAACAGAAATAAAGATGGTAAAAGGTCACTCCTTTGTCCTTCCCTCCCTCCCTTCCTTATTTCCTTCCTTCCTTTTTCTTTCCTTCCATCCATCTTTCTTTCCTTCATTTATTTCTATGCAAAGGATAGCAGAGTCCTAAATTCCATGTTAAGAATATGTCAGTGAAGCAGATAAACTTGGGCCATCATCTCCCAAGCATCTAAGAAAACAGACACTAAACTTGATGGGAAATATAACTAGATAGTTTGCTTCTTGTGTCTTTCCTTTTTCATCTTGTTTGCCCTCCCCTAATATATTCAACAAAGAAGTGTGCATGTGCGTGTGCATTTCTGTGTGTATCTGTTTGTGTGTGTGTGCATGTGTGTGTGTGTGCATGAGAAAGAGAGACAGACAAGAGGAGAGAGAAAAAGAAAGGGAAAGAGAGATTTGTAAAGATATTGCGTCTATCTGCTAAGAAGGCCTAGAGGCCAATGTAATTTCTTTGAACCGAATAAAGAATTCATGGTCATGTGAAGTTTCAAAATAATTTCCCAGTTTACCGTTCCTTTTCAGGCAGTGCATCTTTTTAAAAAGAGGTTATTCAGAACAAGTCAGAGGAGGGAGGGACAACACTTTTCAAAAACCAGGGCTGTAATTAGTGCTAAGCAGACACACGTGCTAGAAGGGAGTGCTCAGGTACCTGGGCCACGGCTTTGTTCTCCTGTCCAGATGCTGAGCCAGCTGCAGGGTGGCCAGGGCGCCTGCACCCCTCACCTTCTCTGCTTGTCTGATACGTAGCTGGAGGCTTCTCTCTTTGTCTGCCCATCTGGCTCCTGGCACCAGGAAGTAAAATTATTATTATTTTTTCCAAATGAAAGGCTTTGAATCACAGCTGTTAATTACCAGATGATTATTAAAAACACATATTGCCTACTGAGGTTTGAGAAGACAACTCAAGCGTGCTGTCTGGCCCTACTCTCAGGGGCTCTCAGCCTCAAGTCATGTACACATTTCTTTAAAGAACACAATGTGGTTTTATTATACCCGCAGACAAATGCAAATAAGAACGGAAGTGAGGAGAGCCCAGAACCCTGTTGAAAGTTAATAAAGACTTTTCCCGCTGCACCTCACACCCCAGAATCTCAAGTAGTTTATCGTAGCCCACTACAGGTCTTGGATTACCTCCATTTCAAAACCCGCAGCCCCTCCGATGGTGCTAAGGCCTGTGCCCCAGTGATGCCTGAGAAAAGAAAGGAACGACAAGGCCCGGCAGAAGGGCACTCATAAATTATAGACCTCAGCTGTCATGCTGGGGTGCTGGATCTCGGGTGAAGGACAGATGGAGGCTGCCTGAGCAGGCACAGCCTGGGGTGGGGAGAGCAGCCAGTGAGAGGTGGATTCTTTGCATGTCAGGGGAAATGACTGGAAATTATGGCTGGGCAAGGAAAAGGCAGCAGGCTTGGAGCTTGGACTGTGTGTTGGAGTCAGGGGAGTGAGGGGCTCCGGATGTTCAGGAGCCATGGGGTAGGTTTACTGTCTGGGAACTCAGGTCCAGGGACAACAAGTTCAGGCCTATGATCAAGGAGTATCTTGTTCTTCCTGAATTCTCATCGTGATGCAAGGCACTGTGGGGAAAAAAGACGTCAAAGATGGGGGATGCCTGTTCATGGGGTTTACAATCTGTTGGCAATGAAGGCCATGATGGATGCAGTACTTCACCAACAAGGGAGGACAGAAACCTTAGTGCTAAACTTACACATTCAACAAATATTTATTGGATACTCATCACGGCATGTGTGAAGTACTATATTAATGAACAAAATAGAAAAATATAAAATAAAATCTTTGCTCTTTTTGGGCTTATATTCTAGCACAGTGAGACAGGCAATATACAATTTGAGGAAGTAAAATAGGCCTGATATAGACAAATAAATTCTATGGAGAGAAGTCAGAGAACAGGAAGGGTAGCCTTGGTGAGGGTGAGCCTGATTAGAAGTAATATGATCAGAGCAGGCTCCAGAGAAGAAATGACTTGAAGGAGGCGAGGGAATGAGCCATGTCGACATCTCAGATAGAGGAAGCATCCCAGGCAGAGGAGGCAGCCCCAAAAAGGTGTTGAGTTAGAAGGAAAACTTGCAGGTTCCAGAAACATCAAGGACGTCACAGTAGCTGGAGGGGAGTAAGAGGAAGGGACAGTGAGGGCCACTGGGTCAGAGAGGAAAACGGGGAAGCAATGCACCTATAGGGCCTTGAAGGCTGTTACAAATATTTAGCTCTTCGTTAGGAGTGAGATGGGAACACACTGGATGGTGTTGAGCTGAAGAAGGACAGAATCTGACTCTCATTCTAACAAGATGCCTCTGGTTTGCGTGATGGCTCTCAAACTTCAGCGTGAATCAGAACCACCTGGAGAGCTTGTGGAGCGACAGACCACTGAGTGTTGAGGCCTCTCGCTAGATTCAGTGGGTCTAGGGTAAGGCCTGGGAATGTGCGTTACTAACCAGTCTCTGGGGATGATTCTGCTACCAGTCTTGAGGACCACACTTTAAGATTTGCTCTAAGAGAAACAATAGGAAGCAAAGAGGGATAAAGCATCCTGGACTCCCTCCCAGAGGAGGTAGATTGGTTTGAGGCCCCAAAGAAAAGGTAGGATTTTGAACAGGAAAAAATTACATGAGAAAAGCAGACTGGTTGTGTTTCTTCTCTCCCACTCTACCTGCTGCTGGAAAGAATATAAAGAGGTCTATACAACATCTATTTACACAGTTATCTGCCTAGAGCTCTCTCTAGCGACCCTATCTTTTTTGTGGCAAGTTCTAGCCTCCCTATGCACCTTTTCAAGGTTTACCTCTTCCTATTAAGCTTAAAAAAATGGTGGTTGCACAAGTCAGTGTCTGTCCTTGGTTCTCCCTGTGGTCCACTTGCTTCCTCTGTCTCCTGGCCCCTCTCACACTTGGATTGCTGCCATCCTCTAATGGCATCTAGAGACACCAGCCCTTTACTCTACTGGCAAAATAAGCCCTAACCCATGGCTACTGGAAGTGACAGGCTTTTACTGAAGGCTTGTTGGTTCTGGAGAGTGATCGCACAGCACAGAACAGAAAATGGCTTAAAATTGGCTACCAACCATCACAGCCCTAAAATCTCCTCAGCCATCCATGACTCTAGGAATTTCCTTGTTGGCTCCTCTTCCCAAGCCTCAGTTTCCTGCCTTGTAAATAGGCTCATTACGTTTCCAAGAACCCAGTCACCCCATTGCTCTTTTTTGTTTGTTTTGTTTTTGAGACAGAGTCTTGCTTGGTCATCAAGGCTGGAGTGCAGTGGTGCAATCACAGCTCATTGCAGCCTAAACCTAATGGGCTCAAGTGATCCTTCTGCCTCAGCCTCATTAGTAGCTGGGAATACAGGTGTGCACCACCATGCATGGCTATTTTTTTCCACAGAGACGGGGCTGGTCGTCAACTTCTGGGCTCAAGCACTTCTCCCTCCTTGGCCTCCCAAAGCACTGGGATTACAGGCGCAAGCCACAGCACCCAGCCCATGCCATTGCTCTTGAAGCTGATTCCCCTGTCAACCAGTCAGGCTGCAGCCCCTAACCCCTCTTACACAGCCAAGTGGAGCAGCTCCTCTCTGTTGCCTCCTAACACTTCTTCCTCCAGTCCATGCCTTTATGGGATTTGCATTTTCCAACCCCAAACAGCTAACAACCTTTGTGTAAGGAAAAGCAGAGTTCTGTTAGGAAGACAAATTGTGTGGTCCTCTTGGAGCATCTGGCTTCAAAAGCAACAAGTTTATATAGAAATGCTTTCTTCATCCTTCTAATTACACATATGATGTAGCATAATCAAAAGTATTTTAAATATATCTTAAAAGTGGGGGACAAAAGGAAATGAAAGGAGAAAAATAAGGTGAAGCCAATACACAAAGCAAATACCTTTTCATCCCAACAGCTGCTGGGACAGCTACAAATTTGGCTTTCCCTGGGTTTTCAATTAAAAGGGAGCCTGCTTGTGAACTTGTGAGAGCCGCTTCCTGCAGCAGGAGGAGTAATGCTGATTAGGTGAGTTAGAGGGGCCAGCCTACCAATATGCCAGGAAAGGAGTTTAGACTAAGTAAGAAAAAACCCATTTAAGGTTTTTGTTCAAAGGCAGACAGTCTATGACAACATCTAAGGACAATCACTCTGGCAACAGTCTTCAAGACAGACTGTGGAATGGAGAATATGGAACCAGGAAAGTCAGTCCCAGGCTGACACTGATGAGAGAATCCAGAAGAGGTCTGCATTGCTCTCCTTTACCCATTTTTTAGGCTAATCTGCTGTCATACAGCTCATTATGCAAAGCCCAGTTTCCATGCAACCACCTCCATTGTCTTTCTGACTACCCAAAATGCAAGAAATCCCTCTGTCTTCTGCATGTTTTAGAACATGATATATAGCATGCGTTAAATCCTTATTGTATAATTTTTGTAGGTGTTTATTAGAAAATAAGCTGCATGAGAGCAGGGCCAGCTTGTATACCATGTTGCCTAATGTAGAGTCGAGGTCAGAGTAATAACAACAATAATGATAGCAGCAAACACTTACTAAGAACTTACCTGCTCAGCCAGGATCCCTCTTTAGGTGTTCATTAGTATAGTGGAATGTAAAGACGTGAGTGGAAAAAACCAACAAGCAAGCAACCAATTGCACAGCAGACACCAGCTGGGTGGCATCCAATCCAATTTCATTCTGACCACCATCTACCTGGAGATAGAGTCAGATCCTACCTGTTGAGGGCTCTCAGTCCCACAAGACTGTTTCCCCACTTCTAATGCCCGTGGCAAGCCTATGCATCTGACCAACCTGCTACAAATCAGGAATTCCATGACCTTGTCCTTGGGTTTGATTGTTTTGCTACTATGGCTCACAGAACTCAATGAAACATTTACTTGCATTTACCAGTTTATTATAAAGGGTATTGCAAAGGATACAGGTGAAGCAATGCATAGGATGAGGTACAGGGGAAGAGGCATGGAGATACCATTCCCTCCCTGGGTGATCCACCCTCCAGGAACATATCCAGAAGCTCTTTGAACCTATCTTTTTGGATTTTTGTGGAGGCTTCATTACATAGGCATGGCTGATTAAAACCCATTTATGCCAGTGTTCCATTATTGGAACACTAAGCATGTGGGGGTTATTTATGTCCTGCTGCTCAAGGTCATCGCCAAGGCCTGATTTTTCAAATTCGAAAAATTGCAACCTCAGGCATAAATGGGTTAAGCCATTGGCCAATTCGTGATCAACTTAACCTTGAGCCCCTCTGTCCTTCCCAGAGAAAGAGGGGTAGGGCTGAACGTCCCAACTCTTTCATCCTGCCTTGGTCTTACAGGTGACAAGTCCCTATACTGAAGCTACTTAGGGACTTCCAACCACCAGTCAACTCATTAGTGTACAAAAAGACACCATTTTGGAGATTCTAAAGACTTTAGGAGTTGTATGTCAGGAAACAGGGTTGAAGACCAAATATCTATTTTACAATATCACAAATGATATATGGTATAAGATAATGCATCATAGGGTTGAGATACAGTGTGTAATGATAAGAAAGAACTATTGATTTAGGAGTCAGGCTATATGGATTTGAAATCTAAAATGTCCAGGCATGTACTAAAAATGTGACCTTGGGCAACTTATATAACTTCTCTGTCCTGAGTTTTTTTTATCTGCTCAAAGGGATTGCCAATGAAGATTAAATGAGTTAATACACGTAAAAGATGCCAAAGAGCTTCTGGAATGACCTGAGTGTTCGATAAGGGTTAGCCTTAGCCCTCAGGGCCATTAGACACAACGGGTATTTGAGAAATATTGGTACAGTGCACTCTGAGTTCACACCTGTGTACCTGGGTTATTGTGGACTGCTAATGAAGATGGGATGTCGAAAACAAGAGTTGTTCTGTGAAAACAAGTTAATTTTCACAGTATATAAGTTTGTTTGTAATTGAGATATAATTCATGCTGCAAAAAACACCCTTTTAAAGTGCATAATATGATGTTTTTTAGTAGTTGCAAAGTCAAGCAACCACTACCACTATCTAATTCCAGAACGATTTTTATCACCCCCAAAAGAAACCCTGTACCCATTAGCAATCACTTCCCATTCCCCGTCCTCCCAGCCCCTGGAAACTGCCAATCTACTTTCTGTCTCTATGGATTTGTCTATTCTGTATATTTCACAAATATGAAATTAATCAATATGTGGCCTTTTGTTTCTGGCTTCTTCATTTAGCATTTTGTTCATGTTGTAGCATAAAAAGCACTTTTTTTCCTTTTATGGCTGAATAATATTTCCTTGTGTGGATATGCCATATTTTCTTTATCCATTTATCATCTATCAATTGAAATTGTTATCAGTTGATAGAAATTTGGAATAGTTCTACTTTTTAGCTATCATTAAGAAAGCATCTATGAACATTTACATACAGAGTTTTTTTTTGGATAATGTTTTAATTTCTCTCGGGCATATATGTAGGAGTAAAATTGCTAGGTCAGATGGTAATTCTATATTTAACATTTCAAAGAACTGCCAATCTGTTTTTCAAAGTGGCTTCACCATTTTGCCTTCCCACCAGCAATGTAGGAGGGTCTCCACATCCTTGCCAGCACTTGTTAGTGTCTGTCATCTTGATGATCACCATCCTAGTGGGTGTAAAGTGGTATCTCACTGTGAGTTTGACTTCCATTTCCCTAATGACTAATGATGTTGTGCATCTTTTCATATGCTTACCAGCCATTTGCATATCTTTAGCAATTAATTTTAATATGATGTATTTGAGATTGAGATAGCAGACTTAAGTAAAATTGACTAAGAAGTAATATATGCCACATAAAGACATGGACACATATGTGGAGCAGATAAGGCTGGGGTTAGAGATTTTGTAGTAGTGAACATGCAGATGGGCACTGAAGTCATAAAGGGGAGAAATGTCTAGTAGGAAGACAAGGCCAGGTTCGGTGGCTCACATCTATAGCTCCAGCACTTCGGGAGAAAAAGACAGGAGGATAGGTTGAACCCGGGAGTTTGGGACCAGCCTGAGTAATATAGTGAGTGAGGCCTGGTCTTTAGAAAAAAAATTTAAATCAGCTGGGCACAGCGATGCTTGCCTGTAGTCCCAGCTACTCAAGAGGCTGAGGCTGGGGGATTGTTCGAGCCTAGGAGCTTAAGGCTGTAATGAGCTGTGATCACACCACTGCACTCCAACCTGGGTGCCACAGTAGACCCTATCTGTTAAAAGAAGAAGAAGAGAAGAAGACGAAGAAAAGAGCAGGGAATCTACAAAAGTCAGGAATGGATCTGGGGTGCCTCTTTGAGAGCAAAATTCGGATTTCAAGGAGTTCTGTTAGAATCAACAACCTGCCCAGGGTCAGTAGTTTCTCTCTGATATAAAACAGTCCATAGAAAGGTCATTGCCAGCTCCAGGAGCCAGACAGTAAGATCTCACCAAGTTTCACTATAAAAAAAGAATTCTAGTTAGAGGGCTGTTGCCCAATGCTTCAGTGCATAGAACTACGAGGCTGCTTTTTTTTCTTACTCTGATGAAATACTTTTAAGTTTAAGAATATCGAATTGTTTTCTCTTATGATTTTTTATGCTATAAAAACCCTACAATTTGATGGAACTGATCTGACTGTTGGTTCTAACATTTTGTGTGGCGCACCTCCTCCTCCTCCTCCCGTGTGGGGTCTTCCCTTATCTCTCCACATCCAATCTCTTGACTCTAATTTTGCTCTACTTAGAGGACTCAAAAGGAAAATCACAAGCATTGTGTACCTTCTCTTCATTATGTTCACCTGTTTTCTTTAGATCTAACATATGTAGGTCAGCTCCCATTTTCATATTGCTTAAAATAACTCGTTTAGTCTCCTTGGGCAGGTCAACACTTAGTCTTGATGCTGATCTTCCACTTGTGAGTGAGATCAAAGCATTTCCTTGTATATGATGTTATTTAATCAGCTCCAAATTCCTCTAGAAAAGGCCTTAAATGCTCCTGTTTATTCCTCTTATTTCAGTTCATTTTATGCAGCTTCAAACACAACTGACACTCATCCAGGTCCATCAGTGGACAATAAAGGTCATGGCCGGGGCACCAATCATCACCTTTCCAGTCCTCCACGTGGACCTGGGCCTGCATACGTTAATCTTTTCAATTTTCTTCTTGATTTAGTGGAAGCAGTCAGAGCAAAACTGGCCTGAACATTGGCTGCAAAGCTTCCTCACAGAAGTTCAACTATAGTGGGCAAGTGGCTGCCTGGACTCCACGGCTCAGTTCACCAAAATCCGTTTACAGGAGAAAGGGCCTCCTCAGCGCAGTCTCAGAGATGGAGAATCTCCCTTATGCAGAAAAGACTTCCTGAGCTGGGTATGCTGGTTATTGTTGGCATCTGTTCCATGCATTGGTGCTGCTGGGCGGACCTCTCCCCCAAGCCTCTATCTGTACACGCTATTGTGTATCTGAAGCCCTACTAGTCTTGGTAGAGCAGAGTGGTTATGAAGAGGCAGGAGCTTTCAAATTCAACTATCTCTGGCACTTTTTAACTGGGTGATTGATCTTGGGCGCATTTAACTCAAACTCTCTGGACCCCCACGTATTCATCTATAAACTGAAGATAATTAAAGAACCTGTTTTATAGGGCTGTCATGAGAATTAATGAGATAAGCTACAGCAAGTTCTTGTTACAATAGAAAGTACAAAATCCAGCTTGCATTTTGTTACTTACTAACCCAATTTGTTATTTATTCACCCAATTGTCTGAGCTAACTTCTGAACCTCTGTAAATATTCGCTTCTCTCTTCATTCCTGCTCTATTTATCTAATTGTCCCTATTTTCTGTTCATCTTTATCATAGAAAATCTCTGTAATCCATCACCTTTTTACCACTGGGTGGGAATCAGGCCTCACCATGTCTGTGGGTCCTGCCTTCCACCCTCTACCCCTTCTCTGTCCTGTCTTTCTCAGCCTCATTGGAGTTGTTTTCTAAAACACAGAATTGGTCATGCCGAATTGGACAACAAACTTTCTCACTGTGAGATTTCAGAAGGGGAAATTGGAAGGCAATTTACCAATTGTTATTTTGATGAAACGCCCCCAAACTTTTGATTTCCACGGGTGTTTCATTCACAGAAAGTCTCATTATCTCAAGCCTAGTGTACTACTGTTGGATGCATGTTACCTTTATGTATTATGTTATCCAACAACAATGCACCGGGCTTGAGATAATGGGTTTTATGTATTCCTAGAGGGTACTGGAGTAATTCTTAGCGGAGTCTATTTGTGTTGACACTTGTCTTTTGCTAGGATACAGAATCTACAGATGAGACATACATTTTCTGGAGTCATATATACTTTCTCACGTGCTTTTGTCATTTGTTCCCAATGATATCTTTCAGTATTTTTATTGATTTTGTTGGTATAATAGAATGTTTTACATTAATATTATGTCAGTGATTATTATTTATTAATTTATATAATTAGTATGATGTACACATATAATTAGTATGATGCATAATAATCTATCATATGGATGTGCCATAATTTTTTTAACATTACCATATTGTTGATCATTAAGATAATTTCAGATTACCTGATATTATGATAATGTTGTAAATAGTAGTGTTGTTCATAATTTTTTGTCTATGTTAATGATTATTTTCGGAATAACTTATTGACAAATATTAACCAAATATTTAAACCTTGGTTTAATGAAAAAATTATTTCATGTCAGCTAACAGTCATGTTACTCTCCTAGGTAGAATGTTGATATCCTTTTCATCACCATGAACTAAATCCAGGGCCCATTAACATGGCGTCCAAGGTGTGTTATGATGGATAGTCCAGTCCTCTCTTTCATCATTTCACTAACGAGGACTTTTCTTTCTTGTTCATTTCCTGGATTTTCCCCCATTTAACATCATGACATTTTCCTATGCCATTAAAATTTATTGTAAAATGTCTTTTCCTTCCTTCCTTCCTTCTTTCCTTCCTTCCTTCCTTCCTTCCTTCCTTCCTTCCTTCCTTCCTTCCTTCCTTCCTTTCTTTCTTTCTTTCGTTGTTTTTTGATGGAGAGTCTCACTCGGTCACCCAGGCTAGAGTGCAGTGGTGCGATCTCAGCTCACTGGCTCACTGCAACCTCTGCCTACCAGGTTCAAGTGATTCTCCTGCCTAAGCCTCCCAAGTGGCTGGGATTACAGGCACACGCCACTATGCCTGGCTAATTTTTGTATCTTTAGTAGAGATGGGGGGGTTTGCCATGATGGCCAGGCTGCTCTCGAACCCCTGACCTCAAGTGATCCACCTGCCTCGGCCTTCCAAAGTGCAGGAATTACAGGCATGAGCCATTGTGCCCGACCTGAAATGTTATTTTCATAGCTGCATAATAATCTATCATATGGATATGTCATAATTTTTTAACATTACCATATTGTTGATCATTAAGATAATTTCAGATTACCTGATATTATGATAATGTTGTAAAGAGTAGTGTTGTTCATAATTTTTTGTCTACGTTAATAATTATTTTTGGAATAACTTATTGACAAACAAATAATTCTTACAATAGCAACTGATGGCAGACTGCAGTGGGGCACAGATGTATCTGACAACAAAGAGACCCTCCAGTGGGGCCATGCAGGAGGAGAGACAAGAGAAGACAGGGGACAAGTCTGTGTCAATAGCTTCCCACCCATAATTCTACCCCCTCATCCCCCATCCCTGAAGCTGAGTTCCTAGGTGAACTGAGGCTGTCCTTTCAGTGGTCACTCCAGAAACGAACCTGGTTTTGGAGTGGCTGAATGGCCGCTGCCATGGTCTCATACTGAAGGATTTGATGGGGCCACTGTGAGATCCAGTACATTGCCCTTGACCCTTTCTGACTCTGATTTACATTTTTCTACTTAGTGAGTCTTTTCTTCCTTCCCTTCTTCCTTTCCTCCTTTTCTGCCTCCTGGTCTCCCTACCCCCATCCTTTTAACAAACATGGACCTAATAAGTGCTTAGCAGTGTGCTAGGTAGAGGAACCCAGATATAAATAAGACACAGCCCCTGCCGAGAGGGGTGAGCCTCATCACTGGCAGGACGCAGTCAAGAATGCCTGCTTCCACCCCTGACTCCCAGCTATCCCTGTGCTCGTATCGCCCTATGTCCTCTTCCTTTGGGGTAGCTACACTATCAATACCCCAGCTCTTCCCCTTTGCTTTACTCCAAGATGAGTGAGTATCCAAGTTATTGTTGCCACTATGAACATCATTATTAATAAACTAAATAACTATATCAGCATTACCAACAGTGCAATATCCCCCTCTGCCACATCTCACAGTCATTATTATACCTCCTTTTATTATTTCTCCACCCAGGAGCTGTTCAGACAATTAAAATCCAGTAATAAGAACAAAGAATAATTAAAATAACACCAAGAACAACAGAAATGTGATGACAAATACTGAAAAATCTGAGGAAACATAACCAAGGGGCTAACTTCACAGTGACAGGTGCTAACAAGATCAACGAGGAATATGTGACAAAATCCTTCCTGAGAACTTGAAAATTCTTTCCATCTGACTCAATGGCCTTTTTGCCACTGAGGTCTCCAGAGGTGCTAGATTGTATAACAACTTATTTAGCTGATCCTGCCAAAAACGTGTTGCAAGGCGGAGGGGGGAAAGATGAGGAAAAGCAAACGTTTTCATAATGAAAGCCAAACTGAAAACTATTTCTCCTCTGGCTAGATGTTGGCAAAGCTCCAAGGCACTCTTCACAGCTGCCCAGGTCCTGGAGAAAGCTTTGTGGTATTTAAATGGGGTTCCCACTTCATTTCCCCCATCTTCTATGCTCGCTTATAGGTTTTGACCCTCAGTGCCTCCATCGGAAACATAGATGTAATGTTCAGTATACAGTTCACGAGAAAAGCCAAGTACAATGTGTTTTTATATCCAAAATATGCAATAGAGAAGTGACAGTCATTGTGGTGTAGTTAAAGTCATTGTGATGAAACACACAGGTGTGAAAAACCAGGGGGATGTGTGGGGTTGTATTGTCTGAAACAAAATCAGGTGGAACAAATAAGAAAGAGCTAGAATAGGCTAGTCTTGTTCCACATATGCCCCGACAAAGTGTTTTTGAGTTTGAGCAAGAATACATCACTGAGTTCTACCTTTGATAGATGCTAAACCGCCACCTGTGTTTCCATGGTGTTCTGTGGTTTTGTTGGGTGCTTCCATGCCCCTTAGCTCAGTCGCTCTTTCCATGGTTCCTTCAGCAAAGATCGATGTGTCCAGGCCCACACTGTGGTGGAAAGAACACAGGAGTGGGAGTCAGAAGCCTGTGCCGTTCCTTAGATTTCCATTCATAAGGTGTGTGTGTGTGTGTGTGTGTGTGTGTGTGTGTGTGTGTATAAAAAAATATATGGAGTCTTGCTTTGTCTCACTGCAACCTCCACCTCCCTGTTAAAGAGATTCACGTGCCTCAGCCTCCCGAGTAGCTGGGATTAGAGGTGCACACCAACACACCTGGCTACTTTTTGTATTTTTAGTAGAGACAGGGTTTTGCCATGTTGGCCAGGCTGGTCTCAAACTCCTGGCCTCAAGTGATCCTCCCGTCTCAGTTTCCCAAAGTGCTGAGATTACAGGTGTGAGCCACCACACCCAGCCTCATGAGATAAATATTAAGAAACAAAGGCCTAAGAAGGTGACTTGTCCAAAGTCACCTGCCTCAGTGGCCCTGGACTCCCCGAACCTTCTACAGCTAGTACTAGAATCCAGTGTTAGTTCTACGCCATCAAGCTACTTGGTATCCAAAATGTCATGGAAGTAGTCACAGCTCTCCTTCACACAGTCATGGGCACCTCTCCCTGCCTTCCAGTAACCCTCCAGGCTTCTTCTACTGCTGGGGAAAATGTTCACACATTCAAAAGTCCTTAGCAAACACAGTATAGTAGGTGCCTCTAAAAACCACATTATCTGTCTGAGGTCCAAACTCTTCTCCACTTACAAAGCTCTGTGGTGCCCGGTGGGAGGCGTAGCCCTTTCTGCCCTTTCTGCCAATCAGCCCAAATTCAGCTGCTTCTCAAATGGATCTCACTTTCTGTTCCATCTTATTTGACACTTCATCAGCTGGAGATGGCTCAGAGATGGTTTAATGTTAGCTCCATATCTGCCAAAAACCTCTCACTCCTTGGCAAGGCAGCCAAGGACACAATAAGAGAGAAAAAGAGGTAGATGATGAGCGTAACTCAACTTTGGTAAAAATAGTGCAGACATTTCCGCAGCTTCTCTTAGGGTGGCATAAGGGGAGACGAGGGAGACAGAAAGGGAAGGATGAATGAGGAGAGAGGTGTCATCCCTGCTTCCAGCCTGGAAGGAGCTTCATTTATCTGCGTTGAGAATTCAGTGTTGATCCATCACATTTGCACATGTTATTGTCACATACGTTTACTTTAAAACATGCCATCCTTAATGGAGGATGACTATGCAGGGAGCAATGCCATTGCAAGAGTCTCATACAGTGACTCTCCTCAGGGGGCTTAGAATCATGCCTGCTCCTTCATAGGCATGGCGGTGCTGTACATTTATTTAGCACGCTGCTACTTCTGGATGTCAAGCTGTCAGGCTAATGGTGTCAAGGGCAGGGAGGGAATGGACAGTTACTGGGTTCTGATGGATCTGGCATCTTGTGAGGCATCCCACATAGAAGAGCTCATTTAACGGAAGAGAATTGGTCTTGTGAGGTGAGCTCCAACCACTCTGTGCAATAAAGGCTGAGGAAGGAAACAAAGTGGCTGGAATGATTCCAAGTGAATTGGAAGGGTCGAAGCAGAGCCACAGATGCAGGGATGGTGGATCTCACCTCTCTGTCTTAAAAGAACCACCTTCAGCCTGGACCACAAGCAGCAGAGATCAAGAAGAACCTTTGTTCTGAAGTTCAGTTAGCACATTTGTTCCACTTCCCTTCTCAGTAGAAGAGAAACCATTCATGTTATTTGTTTTACTGTATGTCTATTTTTATCTGGTATAAACTGTGTTGATTTTTCGGCATTTTCTTATTTGTTATTTCATTTGCCCTCCAGAACTCAGCAGAGGGCACCAAACATCATTTTACTTCCTCCTCCCTGTTTCTGGGGGAAGATGAATAGATCTGGGTTTTGCAATGTCCGTGCTCTCTGCTCCGTCTCCCTTCTCTCTTTCGCCTTCTTTATGTGCCTCTGCCTTCTCGCCTAACCTTGCCTCTGCAAATATCTTCCGCTTGGAATCCGACTCTTGATTTCTGCCCTGGAGTGAGCAGGAGGCAGGATGGGGGTGGGTAGAAAATATTCCCACTCTCCTCAAACTCTGTCAAAAATATAAATGCCCAGTACAAGGTTGACACCGCGGGCCCCAGGTTGCCATTCTCTATATTTTCCTTCCTTTGTCCTATTTGGTTTCTGAAGTTAAATGGTCTCTTTTTTGATATGAAAATTAATTTCTGGACAAAAAGAAATATGCCTGCACAGGGGCCAAATTTGTGTTGTCTCCCAGCACGGCTGTAATTACACTGTAGATCAAACTGACGCCTTAGTTTTCAGTGGCTTTTTTCCCTCTCCGATGTCCCTGAAGTTGCCAGGCTCACCAAGAGCAGCAGTTTTCATTAGCAGCAAAGCCAGGGGATGGGGATGGATGGCCGGGGCCAGCCCTCACTCCTGGGTTTCTCTCCTCAAATTCTTCTTTTGGATGGACATGTGCAATCCAGGCCAATGCAGAGAACTGCAGGACTCAGGGTCCTGAGTTGCTTGCCACAGTGTGGGGGTGAATGGCGGTGGCTCTGGGGTACCCCTCATCCTATGGGTTTCACCCTGTGGAACAGGCACTACCAGGCTTCTCTTTTAAGTGTCAGACACAAGAAGGGTCTCACACATTTCCCATGGTCTCTACACATTTCCCATTACCTTTGTGCCCAGCAGAAATCTGTGTTCACCTGCTAAAAATGGTCACTGTGAATTAGTATCAAGCTAAGAACTTGTGAAATAGGGCAGAACCAATGCAAAATTTTCCGGAGTCATGAAAGTGAAGTGGCTTTTACACTGCATTCAATATTGTGAGTTCTAGAGGAATTTTCAGGGAAACTGTGGCTCCCTTCTTATCCTAACTTTCATAGTCAATTCTCGATTGCCCATACATAGCTCCACTATTGTTTGTTGGGTATAATTAGACACTATGTTCTGTGGCCCTCAGGTGGACATCTATGCTTTGCCAATAAGCCATGAATTACTCCCCAGAGAAGCTTATGTGATTTTGACATCTACAAGGTGAATGCAAACTATTTATTCACAATGTGATGGGCATTCCTTCAATTTCCCTATAATATGTTGAATGTAAATGATTTGTACGTGGAGAGAGGAGTGCTTGGTCAGACTTCATATGTCAGAAAGTCAACCTGGGTGGTGTGAACAACTCCCGTCAAATGAGTCAAAGCCCCAGAATGAGATTCTATGGTCTCTTGGATTGAACTTGGGGCCAAGGGATGTGGGCTTTGATCCCTGCAGCTTTGTCACTGGCCCTGAGTGGCCATTCATCTAATTTTTCCATCTGCCAAGTGAAGCAACAATCCCTCCCACTGCCAAGCTTACAGTCACATTATAAAGATGATTGAGATTCCATGCCTCAGTGGACTTCAGGAGGAAAAGTGTTACCCTCTAAATCCTTCCTCACACTCCCACACCCACAAGTTTTCTTTTTTTTTTTTTAAAGAGTCCAGTGTTAATAGTGTTTTGACTGCTTTCAAGATATCAAAACAGCTTTTGTTGGAATGAAATAAACAAAAGAAGATGGGTTTTGGAACAGAGCATTTTAAGGTTCAAATTTCAACTTTATCACGTATGAGTATTATAAGTCAGTTACTCACACTCTTGGAACTTTATTTTCCTCATCTGAAAAGTGAGGATAATAATGGCTCCCTTGAAAGGCCGCAGGGATAATGAGCTGCCATTATTGCATCAGTGCAATTCCAGCATAGTGAGAAAGGTTTGTGTCTCTTAGCTGCTTTCTGACCGGATGGCAAGCCTCTCCTCACCCCACACTGGCCGCCGTTGGCATACCTATGTGCATGCTCTGTCCTCCGCGGTTCCTGTGGAGAACTCTAAAAGTCAGGGAAGCTCAGTGCCACGTTTTGGAACTTGTCAGCCATAGAGCAACCTACCTATTTACTTCCAGTGGATGAATGGGAAGGTATTGCTGTATCACATAAGGACTCTCCTAGGGAGGGCAGTGTTAGCAGCATGAAAAGAGGGACATTCCAGTGTCACACAAAGTCCCAGATGGGAAACGGCAGTTGCCAAAGGCAGCCTGAAGTGCTGCGTTCTCTTCGCTCTTCAAATGCAGACAGGTCTATAGCAGCAGCTTGAAGATGAAGACCCTGGAAAACCATGAGCAAGGGGGCCTCAAAATGACAGGGAAACACCAACAATGAGGAGGGAGCTAAACGCACAGTCTCTTACACCCAGGAGTGTGATTATCTGACATTTTGGTTTAATGAAAAAATCAATAGTTTTGGAGCCAAGCGTGGGTTTGAAGCTTCGCTCTGACACTTTACTGCGCAGATTGCTGAGTAAGTTACTTTGGTCACCGACTCTCAGTTTTCTTATTTACAATACTGGGATAATGCCTCACTCGCAGGGCTGATGAATGAGATCACAGTGGTGTGGTGGAAAGCATGGGCTACGTTGTAAGAGTGTATTCAATTCCCAGCCTCACTGGTTACACTTCTGGGTCTTTAGGAGAGCTGCCGGCATCCATGTGCCTCGATTTCCACATTGTAAAATAAGGGTAATAACTGTTGCCTGTCTCAAGGGGTGTTGTGAGGGTTATGTATGGAGCACATAAGGAGTCTAAGGTGCACAAAATGAATACTCACAATGAACGCTCAACAAATAGTTCCATTTTTAAATTAATAAATGGCTGTTAGTAATATTATTATTTTATTAGTTTTAGCTTATTATCCACAAAATAGTTCTTACCTACTAATTGGACAAGGGTAGGACACTAATTAAACGATGTGTGTCATTTTTGATGGCTCACACTAAAATCCATAGAAAAGTGTTTATTTTCTTCAATTTTTTTTCTTGACTCTGGGGTTTCTGTCCTTCTAATCCATGAGTCTCTCTCTGTCTCTGTCTGGGGTTTCTGTCCTTCTAATCCATGAGTCTCTCTCTGTCTCTGTCTGTCTCCTTCTTTCCTCTCCATGCAGTAAAACAGAGCTGCAGGCAGTCAATTTCGAGTCAGTGGGCTGTGAAAAGCAGTTAGAATAATAGTTTATTGACCCTGAATGTGGCAGCTGGAACTGAGGGTCGGCTGGGCTCAGGCACAGTGTAATGGTCACAATAGAAGTTTGATCATCTTTGATCATTTCCTTGGACTTTAAGAGAGAAGGTGTTGCCAGGCATGGTGGCTCACGCCTGTAATCCCAGCACTTTGGGAGGCCGAGGCGTACAGATCACAGGTCAGGAGTTTCAGACTAGCCCGACCAACATGGTAAAACCCCGTCTCTGCTAAAACTAGAAAAATTAACCGGGCATGGTGGCAAGTGCCTGTAATCCCAGCTACTTGGGAGGCTGAGGCAGGAGAATTGTTTGAACCCGGGAGGCGGAGGCTGCAGTGAGAAGAGATTGCACCACTGCACTCCAGCCTGGGCAACAGAGCAAGACCCCGTTGAGAGAGAGAGAGAGAGAGAGAGAGAGAGAGAGAGAGAGAGAGAGATGTTTTTTGGAGCCTGGGAGCACCTCCAAATAGCCCAAGTCCAGGGGCGGTAGCCTACCCAGAAGGGGCTGGGTTTGGTTGGAAGGAGATAAGTGGAGGAGGGCAGGATGAGGGCCTGAGTTCTGTACCACTTGTGGGAGTGGAGCCTTCATCACTGGGGGTCTGAGTGCCTGAGCACGAGGGATGCTGATCCCCATTTCAAATGTGTCCCAAGCATAGACATGCGCTCTGTTTTCTCAGATTACCTTTGGAAGCTGGACTTTTCTCCTAAGCACTGCAGTGATATGCCTTCTTATTCACTCTGGTGATCATGGATTTTCCGGTAGAAATGTAATTATAAATAAAAAGTACATCTTCAAACTACTTTAATACTTCCATATTAGAAGCAATTTGTTTGTAAGTGGAATTATTAATAAAAACATAGTTGAAAGCAGAGACTAAGGAAATTCAAAGAGAAAGAGGAGAACATGAATATATAAATAAAGGATGGCCTATATTTTTACATAATTTGTGAATTAAAAAATAGAAATGTATTGTCATAGACTGTATAAACTCATGCTTCCTTCGATAGCTCAGCTGGTAGAGCAGAGGACTGTCGAAGACACGGAATCAACCTAAACGTCCATCAGTGGTAGATTGGATAAAGAAAATGTGGTACATACGCACCATAGAATACTATGTAGCCATAATAAGGACTGAGATCATGTCCTTTGCCGGACCATCAATGGAGCTGGAGGCCATTATCCTTAGCAAGCTAACACAGGAACAGAAAACCAAATACCGCATGTTTTCACGTATGAGTAGGAGCTAAATGATGAGAACACAGAGACACAGAAGAGAACAACACACACTGGGGCCTATTGGAGGGTGGAGGCTGGGAGGTGGGTGAGGACCAGGAAAAATAACTAATGGATACCAGGCTTAATACCTGGGTGTTGAAGTAATCTGTACAACCAATCCCCATGACACAAGTTTACCTATGTAACAGAGCTGTGCATGCACCCCTGAACTTAAAAGTCAAAAGATAAAAAATAAAAGAATACATAAACTCAAAATGTGTAAATTCTGGGCAAATTTTGTCATGGCCTTTGGAAAACATTTCCAAACAATAACTTGTTACTTTATTTTACAAGTCACATGTTTATTTCATTGCTCGTGTTGGAATTTATTCATTTTATGATCCTTTGGTTCTATTTATATTGTGATAAAGACTATAAAAATGACTTTTTTTTTCTTTTTGAAAGAAATCACCAATACAGATAAAAAGCATACAAATATCATTTGGTATTTGTAATCTGAATTATGATACAGTTTTTCTATTGGACTGGAAAAATAACCTTTGTGAATTACATAGAATCTATGATTTTAGGCAAGCTGTTTCCAGTATTAAAGAGCACTTATGTCAATTGTAATATGTTGTGAGTTATTTGTTTTCATTTAATGTCTTTTTATTTAAAATAGGGAAAGTCTGGTAAACAAGCTGCTCAACTAAAATTAAAAAATTTTCTTATTAAATAACCAATGTAAATAGAATCAAATGCTATGGGAGAAACAGAAAGAAAGCATAATGCATTTAAGAAGAAAAGAATCTAGGTGAAGGGCAAGAATATAGAAATAAAATCATATTTTGTTTTTCAGAACAACAATGCAGCAAGTGTACACATTAAATCTGCATGAACTGAATGTGGAAACGCTTGTCTACTGAGGAGATAAGTGAAGGGGGGCCTCTTAAGGTTGACATGAGCGCCCAATAGATTCAACTTCACTTTTATCAGCTGTTCATGCATTTATGTCAACCACCTGAGGTCTTTAGCTTTGTTTGATTGTTCAGTTCAATTATTGCAAGAAAGGAGTTCAGAAAATAAGCTTTATTTATTTTTCTCTCTCATAATGTATGCCATTGTCTCAACAAAAGTTGGGACTTTAGACATATATTTAACAGACCTGAACACAAAGACTTAACAAGTTGTTTCTTTATTATTAACCCTTTCCTAATTGTGCATTTCACTGGTTATTGTTAATGGTTTTTTTTTTTTCAAATTTTAGAGATAATAATTCTTGATTAAGATATGTCCATTTCCAGTGTCTGGTAGTTATTTAAGAAATAATTTTGATAGAGATAATATAGAAGTGGAAATAAAATGTAGAAGCCTATTGTGAAGTTTATCTTTAGAAAGTTTTCATTAAAAAACTTATTTTCCAGAAATCAGATGTGGTGTGTTTCTGCAAGAATTATGAAACAAAATAAAACCAAATAAATTATACCACTAGAACCTTCATAGTACTCTTCCTAAAAGGAATAATTCACCATGCATATTTTAAAAGTGTTCAGGATCATAGATTCAATTAAATTTAATTGCCATATGTGGAGTTCCTACTAAGTGGTCGGCCAGAATGAAGGCATATCAGGCAGAGTTATGACTTACCAACTCTGCAAATACACCTGCAAGCTACTGCACCTGTGGCTTTCCTTCCATAGCTCAAGGAAAATAGGCAAAAAGCAATAAGAATAGGAGGTCGTGTGAAACAGTGAAAGCAGCCATTCTTATTCTTTTGAAATTGTGTACATCCTTCAGCATAATACAGACAAACTAGAGTTTTGATGTATCCAGTACTTGGGAGAAGAGCTATTGTATCCAGTACAATTCCCCAATGCATATTTTACCATTTAGTCTATTCATTCTGGAACCTGGACCAAATGTATACTTTGTGGTTATTTCCATTTTTCTTATGGCATATTGTGATACCAATAATCTATCATCAAATTAGTTCTTAAGATGAGACCCAAATGACCATTTATGCTAGAAACTCTTGATATTCCAAAATTAGCCCATACTTGAGAAGCAGGTCCTATTTTGCTTCCTGTCTTTGGGGACAGCAACTTTCTCTGTAACTTGAAGCATGTCTCTTAACCTTTCCTGATTTCCCCATCTGTGAATTAGAGGTAATTATTCCTAATTTTAAGGAGCCATTGAGAGGATTAATTTGTTAGTGTTTGTAAAGTACTTTAGATATGTAAAGTGCTAAGTATTACTAAATTCCATACAAATAATTTGCAATTTAACATCTAAAGGGACTGAATAATTGACTTTATTCTTGTAGACTATATTCTTATAATATTTTAGCAAATCTGCAAATACATGTTTTTCCCATCTAACATTTGTACAGAGATTATTATTGTTTGTAATACAGAACATGCAAATCAACCCCTCCTTCCTACTCAAGTTAATAAAAACATAAAAGGAATGACTGTCATTAGAAGCAAAGTATCCTGGGGGAAAGTATCTCCCAATTTTAAAAATTGCTGGCAATTCCCTTTTCAAGCAGTCTGCGGAAAAGCTGTCAGGAGAGGTAAAAGGAAGAAAGAAGAAGTCTATTAAGGAATTGGATATGGGTTAGAAAATTAATGTTTTTTTTAAAAAAAAGATGAATTTCCTAATTGTGTTGTTCCTGGACTCTGAAACAATTTTAGTAAACAAGCACAAGTGTCCTCTGCAGTTATTTAAGGACAGACTACATACTTACCCTCAAACCCAGTTTATTCAGGATGCAGGAATAGAATATGGAACTAACTGGACTCTCCTTAGCCCCAAAGATGCTCAAATCCCAGTTGTTGTGTATTCCTCTGACATAATCCCACCACACCGGTGTGTCAGTGCAGCGTTCGTATCACATCTGAATCGCTGGATACCGACTAAATATTAGACAGTTGTGGGCTGCTAGCTGCATCTGCATTTACCTCCTGGGCAAATGCAAGCACTTTGAGTGCTGACGCAGAAGGGTTAGACAGAGCTGCAAATGGTGATTCAACTGGAGCCGCTTGTGGTGTTTATAAAGGGATGTCAGTCCTAAAACAAACTCTGACACACAGAGGCCTGGACTTCCACTGGGGTTGTGCTGACTTGCTCTCTGATTGATGGTGCTACCAGAAACCACTTTATGGAGTTATAGCCTTGGGTGACAATGATTATGGCTTGTAATACTGGGGCTGTATTTCCTCGAGCTTTCCCTGTAGGACTTGGAGGGATTCCTAAAGAGAACAGAATGCCTGTCCCCTACACAGGGAATGAGGAGGTGCCATTCAGGGAGGCTGAGCCGGGACAGGTGAAGGGCACTGCTCTCAGTCTCCTCATCTTTTAACTGGGGAGGGTTATCAAAACCTGCCTTGCAAGATGAGGCCAAAGTGATGGAATAACTTGGAAGGTGTTGAAAAGTGTAAAAGCCCTGTGCAAACATTGTAGTATCAGAATCGCTATTTTTGCTTGATCGGAGCCTTTTCCCTGGCTTAGTACAGCTTTCGGCCCCATCATTCCGCCCTCATCTTCCTTGGTTTCCGAATTACTAGAACAAGGGGTCAGTGACACATATTGAAAGGATCAGAGGACTGGAGTTGAAGTCCTGACTCATCACTTCCTGAGTTGCTCTCGTGGCCTTAGCCAAGTCACTTCATCTTAGAAATTCCATTTTGTTACTTGTAAAATTGGGGCAAAATATCTAACCTATAGTAGGTGGTGAGAAAAAAAAATGAGACAAATGAGACATCTATTTTATTATAAAGCATTATACAAATATGTTAGGATGATTATAAATATTTCTTGGGAAATATTTCTAGCTCTTAGGGAAGCTAACTCCTTTACAGAGAATAAGAGAAGTTGTAGCACTAAAATAAATCCTTTTCAGTCTGCAAAAAACCCCTGTTTAATTCACCGAAAGAAGCATTTCAAGGAAATATGCTCATTCTCCAGCCTGTGTCCCTCTTTCTGCTGCCCCCTTTATCACGTGCGCTGGTGGGAGGCTGCCAACAAAAGAACAGGGCCCTGTGAGGGGAGGCAGGGGTGTTCCCAACCCTCAGCCTGGCCATCGTCCGTCTGTCCAGGAATGTTTCCTTTACCCTCTTTGTGGGAGTCGTCATCCTCTCCTACTGCCATGGATATAATCAGAAGGACCGTGAAGGTAGATGTGGTGGGGAAAACAACAACAAAAATCCTCCCGCCGAAGGTGACTTTCAGGGCTGGTGAGATTTAATTCATTTCCCTGTGGCAACCATCAGGGACGGACATCTTTCACGGGCTGGTTGGGTACATTTCTTACATGCTGGCGGGATTTGGACGCATGCTGTGCCGCTCTTTTTCAACGCCGGAAAAGTAAAACATTGCCCAATGGGGAGCTCTCCACTGACTTGTGTGTAGGAAAATGATGTAGCCAAATTGGTGTGGCGGAAGTTTTACAGAGAGGAAAGCAGGAAGCGGCAAAGAGAAGGAAGACAGATGCTCATGAATACGTTTTTCCATTATGTTCCCAGGCACTAAGTTTGCCTTTCTTGATCCTTACGGTATAATTTTCCAGATCAAGATAAGCATTAAGCATGTTGTCTGTCTCCTCCTGTACAATTTGCAGTTTCAGGTTATGCTCAGATTGATAGAACTGTGAGTATGCAGAGACATTAATAAGCCTATGCATTTAAATAACCTTTATCTTCCAAGGAGCTCAGTTTTATAAATGATGGGACATTGCTATTTTTTTTTCCTGCTTCATATGCTTGGCATTTTTATAAAACTTTGAATTTCAGTATCATCCTTCATGAGTCTAGTGTACCCTCCGAAAAAGGCAGCGATGTCAACAAATTATTATAACAATGAGTCAGTGATACCGAAAAGAATCAGAGGACTGGAGCTGAGGTCCTCACATGTCACTTATCAATTTGCTGTAGTAGTCATAGCCATGTTACTTAATCTTAGAAACTCAATTTTGATACCTGTAAAATTGGTGTAAAAATATCTAACATATACCTTTGTGGTGAAGAAGAAAAATGACATACATATTTTTTAATAAAGCATTCTGTTATACATATATGTTAAGATTATGATAAGCCTTTCTTAGAAGCCACTGCATACCTTAGGAGCAATTTATTTTTTATACTAATATGCTAGAGGGAAACTAAGGCACAGATGGAAAATGTGCTTCTCACTACTACAATCTATAAATCAACAACTCCCCAAACTCTATGTGCAGTCAAACTGTCCTATGAACTTACAACTCACTCTTTGAATTGCCAGCTGAATAACCCACGAGCACCCAAGCTTAGCATCTCTTCTGAATTTCCTCACAATCCTCCTCCTCCACCTGAGTCTTTCTGCAGAAGCTGTTCTCTCTTCCAGTTGCTAGCACACATATCTGTGCCTTTGGGTTGTGTCTCCTAAATCTTTCTCCCATCAGCCTTTTGCTTGCCATTCAAGCTACCAACATCTTAATGAAGTTCCTCCTGTGTCCCTATTAAATGCAATAGCTTTGTAGCTGGACTCTCGGCCTTCGTTGTTCTCCTTCCATACCCCTGAAATCATCTTCCACATCTGAGATGAGTGGTGTAAATAAAATGCAAAATAAACCATGTTGCTTCTAAATGTCAAACAGTTCTGTGGGGCCACATGGACCATAGGATGATCTCAAGCTTTTCTGGATCTTGGGATCCAGAGAGCCTTGTATCACATGACTTCTTAAATGTCTGCCACTGCCAGTCCTGCCTCTCACTGGAACTGCCAGCAACAGCAAGGGAATTTCCTGAAAGCTCCATGCAATTTTTTCATGTCTCTGCCATTGACATTGTATTGTCTTTGCATAGAATCCCCTCCCCGTGTTCCTTAGCTTGACAAGCTCCTCGTTATCCTGTGATCCCAGGAATGTCTCCACCAGGACACAACCAACACATCACCACCGTGTCACCATGACTGACAACAGGCCCTCCACTGTACTCGCCGGGCACCACATAGCACCTGCCATTGTGCATTGTGACTTCAGTATTACCTGATACATCTTTCTTAGCAGAATCCATTACTTGTGTACAAGAAGCGTTGATGGTACTGTTCATATGAGATAAAGGTGCCATAAGCTAAATGTGTTCAATTAGGTATTAGAATTGTACATGCTTGGTCATATAGTCACTCAACCAAGTCTGTTAAGGGTTTACTATGTGCCTTATATTCTAGTAGGTTCTGGGTATTGTAGTGGCAAAGTGGTTCTTGGTTAGGCGTCCAGGTCATGTATCATGTAGTACATGACGGTGGACACACACTTGCCACGCAGTCACCAGGACTGTGGACATTGTCTGAAAATAGTGGCAGAGCAGCAGATAATTCTGGATTCTCACCGGCAGGGGTCAGTGCAGCTAAGCAGACGCCGCACAGCCGGCTAACTTGGAAAGACATTAGGAGCTTGGTCTTGAATTAATACCATTCTAAACGTTTTCTATTTATATGTGAAAATTCACATTTCTTTGCCTTTTGGGACCAGGCTAGATCTATTCATTCTCCTTTAATGGCTTTGTAAACACTGTGCCTTCCATGACCTGCCCCCTCCTCCCTGTGCCCATCCACTGCCTCTTACTCCATGAAGTGATTTTATTTTGAATGTATTCGTTTCCTATAAGAAGAGAGCCTCTGAGTGAATCACACATCGGTTCAAATGACCTTCTGTTTTGAGAATGTTCCCAGGGGGGTGCAATTCTTTTAATTTATTTAATCCGATGTGCTTTTTCAGAATGGCTCTCCTCTGCAAAACAGATGGGAGGGGACTGCCTGGCACTACTTCTCTTTCTCTCCACTACCCTGGAGGCTTGGCCTCTGGGCAGAAAGCTTGCAGGAGTGTATGGGACTGGACGGTTCCCAGTGCCAGGCGGCCCTGCTTTCCTCACAGCATGGGGGCTTTTGACATCAGAGGGGCCCCGGCTCGGCCTTTCTCTTGGGTGTACCTCTGTGGCCTGCCTCCTCATTTTGTTCACACAGAAAAGAAAGGACATAGAGTAGCATATGTCCTCAGCACTTAGATCATGACCATTGCACTTAAATAATCAACACTCTTTGGGCACTGTGATAAATCAACAGTTGAAACAGGAGTGGGCACTGGAGAAGCTACAACAGATGCAGCCAACTTTACTTCCGGATGAAGTTGTTCTGAATCAACTCAGTACTGGAAATCATAAAGTGATCAGGAGTGTGGCAGTACAGATCACAGGGACCTGGGTTTCAACCCTGGCTTAGCCACTTCCTAAGAATGTGAGCTTGGACCGATGAAGATGTATAAGCCACACTTTCCTGGCATGTAATAAGGGAATGATACAGATATCCACTCCCAGGGCTGCTATGAAGAGGAAATGACATAGAGCTTACAAAGTGCTCAGAGCTGTGTCTGGCACAGAGTGAGCATCTAAAAATGGCAAGAAGAATGCATGTCATTATGACATTTACAGGCTATATGCTACAGGCAAATCATTATTTTTCTTTTAATAATTGAAGGAATTTGACTTGTTAGGTGGTCCCTACCTTGATCCCTTAGCCCCTGGGACACACCTCTGTTGTTGACGTATGTCCCTGCATTGTCACTGTTTTTTTGTTTGTTTTCTTTTGTTTTGTTTGACATGGAATTTTGCTCTTGTCACCCAGGCTGGAGTGCAATGGCATGGTCTCAGCTCACTGCAACCTCTGCCTTCCAGGTTCAAGAGATTCTCCTGCTTCAGCCTCCCAAGTAGCTGGGATGACAGGTGCCCACCACCATGCTCAGATAATTTTTTCTATTTTTAGTAGAGACAGGGTTTCACTATGCTGGTCAGGCTGGTCTCAAACTCCTAACCTCAGGTGATTTGCCCTCCTCAGCCTCCCAAAGTGCTGGGATTACAGGCATCATCGTTTTATGTAGAGGATACCAGGACATTTCCCTGTCAGCTGTGCAGGGCAGACACCGAATCTTAAACATTTCTGTGTTTCTCGCATTGGGCAGAGTTCCTGGATGCAGCAGTTGCTCCGAGAATGCCAGATGAAAGCAAGCTGGGCATGCTGTCTGGGAACCCTGTGAGCCTTGGGTTTCCCCTGACCTTAGGTGGAAAGCCATTAGGCACCTGCTTACACTCAACGGAGAGAAAGCACTCATCCCCTAACGTTATCATTTCTCTCTAAGTCTGTCTTTCCAAATACTTACCTTGCATTTATTTTAGAGAGAGAACTCTTTTTATTTTATTCCTGAGATTGGGTGTTGCCACCTTTGTCCAGGATCTACACATCTGTGTGTGGTGTCCCTGGATCCTCCTTGGTGTCTCCTTAGAGACTCTAAGTTATGGCCTTCAGTCACATGTACATTGCCACATACCCATGTGTTTTCATTGCCAGGCAAAGTGTCATTCTGGCAACAAGCTCCTCACCTCCTTCCCCAGAGCTTGCCACACTGGCCTGCCATAACAGTTACTGGAGCCACTGCAGGGTGCCTGGTTCCAACCACCATACAGGTCTTTTTTCTCTCCACTTGGTGCCTCCATCAGACCAATTGCTCAAGCCAGAGACCAAGTGGCCTCCTGACCACCCCCTTTGCTACAATCCTGGCATCTAAGTCATTATTAAATCCTGTTGATTTCATCTCCAAAATGCATCTTGAATTTTTTCATTTCCGCTTTCCACCACAGCCCACCACTTGGTCATTTCTGTGTAACCACAGCAATAGACTCTGACTAGCATCTCACTCTGCCATCATCTCAGTCACTCTCATTGCTGGAGCCTAGGTGAGATTTTGAAAGCCTGAATGAGCCTGTGCTTCTCCTGTTTACCTAGCGGTGACTTTCTATTCCACTTTGGATCCAATCCTAAGCGCTTCCCAGGCCTTGTGGAGCTCTGTGGTGTCCGGGGATGCCTGCTCTCTCTCCTCACCACAGGCCTCCTCCCCTGCCTCGGTGTTTCCAATCCCAGGGGCCTGCATCCAGGCTGAGAGGACAGCATTAGCCCACCTCCACCCTGAGACTCCCACATGGGGCTTTTTCTCCATCTGGAAGAAGCCTCCACTCACCCCACGGCCACTTTCTCCCACCCTCCTAATCACTCTTCAGGCCATTTGGGATGCCCTTCTTATTGCCTATCCCCTGATATCCTCTCTCAGTGTGATCTATTTATTTTTTAAATTATACTTATGGGCCAGGCAAGGTGGCTCACACTTGTAATCCCAGCACTTTGGCAGGCCAAGGCAGGCGGATCACAAGTTCAGGAGATTGAGACCATCCTGGCCAACATGGTGAAACCCCGTCTCTACTAAAATAAAAAATAAATAAATAAATAAATAAAAAGGCTGGGCACGGTGGCTCACGCCACCGTGTAATCCCAGCACTTCGGGAGGCTGAGGTGGGCGGATCACGAGGTCAGGGGATCGAGACCATCCTGGCTAACACGGTGAAACCCCGTCTCCATTAAAAATACAAAAAATTAGCCGGGCGCGGTGGCGGGCACCTGTAGTCCCAGCTACTCGGGAGGCTGAGGCAGGAGAATGGCGTGAACCTGGGAGGCGGAGCTTGCAGTGGGCCGAGATACTGCCACTGCACTCTGGCCTGGGCAAAAGAGCAAGACTCCGTCTCAAAAAAAAAAAAAAAAGAAAATTAGCTGGACATGGTGGCATGTGCCAGTAGTCCTAGCTACTCGAGAGGCTGAGGCAGGAAAATCGCTTGAACCCGGGAGGCAGAGGTTGCAGTGAGCCAAGATGGCACTGCTGCACTCCAGCCTGCTGACAGAGCAAGATTCCGTCCCCCCCTCACCCCCCCCCAAAATATATACTTATTACCATTTGTAGCTATATAATTATACTCATGTGTTTGTTTAACATCTGCCTCACACATTTGATTATAAGCTCCATAACGGGCCAAGATCATATCTGTGACTTATATCTGTGACTTGCCATTTTAGACTCAGTGGCTGTAGTGTGATACCTGACACGACACTGATGCTCAAAAAATTGCTTCATAAATGCAGAAGCCAACATTGACGTAATTTTCCAGAATATTTTAATACTCAATTGACCTCAGGGAAATGCAAACCAAAACCACTAAGATACCATTGCACACCTATGATAATGGCTAGAAGTTGAAAGATTGATGGTAACCAACTGTTGGGGAGGATATAGAGCCACTGTAACTGTCACACACTGATGGTAAGAATGGAAAATGCTAGAACCACTTTGAAAAGTTGTATGTTTTAACCCCATCAAAAAGTGGGCGAAGGATATGAACAGACACTTCTCTAAAGAAGACATTTATGCAGCCAAAAGACACATGAAAAAATGCTCATCATCACTGACCATCAGAGAAATGCAAATCAAAACCACAATGAGATACCATCTCACACCAGTTAGAATGACGATCATTAAAAAGTCAGGAAACAACAGGTGCTGGAGAGGATGTGGAGAAATAGGAACACTTTTACATCGCTGGTGGGACTGTAAACTAGTTCAACCATTGTGGAAGTCAGTGTGGCGATTCCTCAGGGATCTAGAGCTAGAAATACCATTTGATTCAGCAATCCCATTACTGGGTATATACCCAAAGGATTATAAATCACGTTGCTATAAAGACACATGCACATGTATGTTTATTGCAGCACTATTCACAATAGCAAAGACTTGGAACCAACCCAAATGTCCAACAATGATAGACTGGATTAAGAAAATGTGGCACATACATATGTAGAAAGCTGAAACTGGATCCCTTCCTTACACCTTATACAAAAATTAATTCAAGATTGATTAAAGACTTAAACGTTAGCCCTAAAACCACAAAAACCCTAGAAGAAAACCGCGCATTACCATTCAGGGCATAGGCATGAGCAAGGACTTCATGTCTAAAACACCAAAAGCAATGGCAACAAAAGACAAAATTGACAAATGGGATCTAATTAAACTAAAGAGCTTCTGCACAGCAAAAGAAACTACCATCAGAGTGAACAGGCAACCTACAAAATGGGAGAAAATTTTCTCAACCTACCCATCTGACAAAGGGCTAATATCCAGAATCTACAATGAGCACAAACAAATTTACAAGAAAAAAACAAACAACCCCATCAAAAAGTGGGCAAAGGACATGAACAGACACTTCTCAAAAGAAGACATTTATGCAGCCAAAAAACACATGAAAAAATGCTCACCATCACTGGCCATCAGAGAAATGCAAATCAAAACAACAATGAGATACCATCTCACACCAGTTAGAATGGCAATCATTAAAAAGTCAGGTAACAACAGGTGCTGGAGAGGATATGGAGAAATAGGAACACTTTTACACTGTTGGTGGGACTGTAAACTAGTTCAACCATTGTGGAAGTCAGTGTGGCGATTCCTCAGGGATCTAGAACTAGAAATACCATTTGACCCAGCCATCCCATTACTGGGTATATAACCAAAAGGACTATAAATCATGCTGCTATAAAGACACATGCACACCTATATTTATTGCAGCTCTATTCACAATAGCAAAGACTTGGAACCAACCCAAATGTCCAACAATGATAGACTGGATTAAGAAAATGTGGCACATATACACCATGGAATACTATGCAGCCATAAAAAGTGATGAGTTCATGTCCTTTGTAGGGACATGGATGAAATTGGAAATCATCATTCTCAGTAAACTATCCCAAGAACAAAAAACCAAACACTGCATATTCTCACTCATAGGTGGGAATTGAACAATGAGAACACATGGACACAGGAAGGGGAACATCACACTCTGGGGACTGTTGTGGGGTGGTTGGAGGGGTGAGGGATAGCATTAGGAGATATACCTAATGCTAAATGACGAATTAATGGGTGCAGCACACCAGCATGGCACATGTATACATATGTAACTAACCTGCACATTGTGCACATGTACCCTAAAACTTAAAGTATAATAATAATAAAATTAAAAAAAGAAAATGTGGCACATATACACCATGGAATACTATGCAGCCATAAAAAGTGATGAGTTCTTGTCCTTTGTAGTGACTTGGATGAAGCTGGAAACCATCATTCTCAGCAAACTACTGCAAGGACAAAAAACCAAACACCGCATGTTCTCACTCATAGGTGGGAATTGAACAATGAGAACACATGGACACAGGAAGGGGAATATCACACACCGGGGCCTGTTGTGGGGTGGGGGGAGGGGGAAGGGATAGCATTTGGAAATATACCTAATGTTAAATGACGAGTTACTGGGTGCAGCACACCAACATGACACATGTATACATATGTAACTAACCTGCACGTTGTGCACATGTACCCTAAAACTTAAAGTATAATTTAAAAAAAAAAGAAAAAAGAAAAGTTGTATGTTTTTTCCTTATAAAGTTAAATACATGGGGCTGGGCGTGGTGGTGTGTGCCTGTAATCCCAGCACTTTGGGAGGCCAAGGCAGGCAGATCACTTGAGGTCAGGAGTTCGAGACCAGCCTGGCCAACATGGCGAAACCCCGTCTCCACTAAACATACAAAAATTAGCTGGGCATAGTGGCGCATATCTGTAATCCCAGCTACTTGGGAGGCTGAGGCAAGAGAATTGCTTGAACCTGGAAGACAGAGGTTGCAGTGAGCCGAGATTGCACCACTGCACTCCAGCCTGGGCAACAGAGTGAGACCCCAACTCCAAAAAAAAAAAAATGCTAAACACACAACTACCATATAACCCAACCATTTCACATCTTGGTATTTGTCTAAGACAGATAAAATCATATGTCTACATAGAGACTTGTACACAAATGTTCATAGCAGCTTTATTTATATTAGCCAAATTTGAAAACAATCCATGTTCATCAACAGATGAGTGGATAAACAATTAACAGTAAATCCAAACAATGAAATATGACTCAGCAGTAAAAAGGAATGCGCTATTGATACAAGCAACAATGTAGATGAACTCACACCATCACGATGAGAGGAAAAGGCCAGATCCAGAAGAGTACAGATGGCAAAACTCTACGATTCCATTTTTATGAAATTCTAGGAAAGGCAAAACTAATCTAAAGTGACAGAAAGCAGAAATGTGAAGGTCTGGGGCTAAAGAGCCTTGGGTATTGATGGCAGGAAGCATGAGGTAACTTTCTGGGACAGTGAGAGTGTCATTCTGATGAGGGTAGTGGTTACACAGATGTAATATTCATCAAAACTTATTGAGCCACATCACTAAATGGATACATTTTATTGTATATAAGTTATACAATAAAAATTGGTTTAAAAACCTCAGTTGAACACAGCATGGCACACAAGTTTTGAGTGTGTATGTATACTGAATATTTATATATGAAAGGTACAATGTTTCACTCTTGGCCTAGCAGGAATCCCAATGACCCTGGGGGTGAAGACTGGCAAGGGAGTGGAAGGGAGAACAATGACCTTCCCCTTGACTGTATTTTCAGTTTACCAAAGCAAAGTGAAGCTTGGGCTCAAGACATTAAGATACAGATGGACCGCATGCAGGGCCAAAAAATACTGGATGACCAGCTAAATTCTAATTTCTGAATAAACAATAAGTAGTTTTAGTATAAGTATGTCCCATGCAATATTTGGGACATATATTTTTATTAAAATATTTAGCCATCTGAAATTCAAATTTAACTGGGCATCCTGTATTTTTATTTCCAAAACTTGGCAACTTTTCCAGCATGGTGTATTATCACCAGGATGTTCAAATTCATGTGTGGAAGGATTTTCTTTTGAACATGTTTTGCATTTTATAAAGCTATTCACATAGAAAATAGGGAGCAACACTCTATAGTGAAAGTAATGTGGATTTTAGAGTAAATCAGACCTTGATTCTAACTCCAACTTTGTCTCCTAATTCATTCTGAAGCTTTGGCCAAATTGCTTAACATGTCTGCAAAGTAAGCATAATAACCTCTAACTCAAAATTTTATTCGAGGAGAGGCAATAGAAGCATTAGCTTCCTTGAATCAGGAGGACTGTCTGTCTCCTTTCCCACTGCTTCTCTGCATTGGCCAGGAGATATCACTGTCCTAACTTCTGGAAACAATTTAAAATTGTGAGGCCTGGACAGGAGACAAGAGAAGCTCCTTGCCAGCATTGGCTCTAATTCTGAAAGGGCTCCTGGGTTGCATCTGAGCTATCACCATCAATACCCCACACTCTCATTGGTGTTAGTGAAGGGCAGGTGTTATGTCAGTGGTGGTAGGAAGGGGGAAGTCATGTCATTTTTACTGTCTGCTAATGCTTCTTAAGGAAAAGAAAGGAGGCACAGAAGTGAGGAAGAATAGCGGTGGAGGTACTCCAGACAAATTGGAAGGGATCTCCTCTTGTTAAAGAATTGCAGGCGGGGCGTGGTGACACACCTGTAATTCCAGCATTTTGGGAGGCCAAGGCAAGAGGACCACTTGAGCCCGGGAGTTCAAGACCAGCCTGGGCAACATAGAAAGACCTTGTCTGGGAGGCTGAGGCAGGTCAATTGCTTGAACTCTGGAGACGGAGGTTGCAGTGAGCCGAGATCACGCCACTGCACTCCAGCCTGGGCAACAGAGTGAGACTCCATCTCAAAAAAAAAAAAAAATTAGCTGAGTCTGGTGGTATGCACTTGTGGTCCCAGCTACTGGGGAGGCTGAGGTGGGAGGTTGGCTTGAGTCCTGGAGATCCAGGCGGTGGTGAGCTGTGATCACAGCACTGCACTCCAACTTGGGTGGTGACAGAGCAAGACCTCTGTCTCACACACAAAAAATTGCTATAATCAGGGATTATCTCATCTCAGGAAAAAGAGGAAATTATGTTCAAGATGAAGAGAGAAAACGGGCTAGTCATCTGATTTACTTTACCTGACCATAACACATAGTCCTAGGGTACTGGGTGAAATTTATGGCCAGTAAATTCCCAGCTATTAAAAGGAAACGCTTCTTTGTCTGCTATGCAGTTGACCTCCGAGGAAGATCAGTGAAGCAGAATCAGGGACTATGTTTAGAAACGGGATCCAGCAATTTTATGATTCATAAAAACTTGGCTGATGATGTGGCTTAGAGCAAGGGCCTCAAATGCCACCTCAGAGCCCTGAGCCACATCCCATGCCTTCAGCAGGGGCAGCCTGTCTTTGGGATGCTGCTCCTAATTCCATACATTATCTCCTTCAAGGAAAGGGGCGTCATCTCCGAAACAGCTACATCTCCTTTGTGATTCCAGTTTCCACCCAATAGGCCCAGTGCAGTGACTCCAGCTCCTTCCAGGTAGCTGCAGCTCTTGCCACCAGAAAGATCACTTCTTTCTTTGGTTCTTCAGTCTTAGGCCTGATGGAGATGTCCTGTCATTGCTAATCTCTGTGTAGTCTCATCATCTCTTTCACTTCTCTGGAGGCTTTGTAACCAATTCTCTTACCAAATTCCTTCTACTGGAGTCATGCATGGACTCCAACTGTCTAGCTCTTCAACGATATACCAGGTCACACCGTTTTCCCAAGGGGTTTTAACCTGTCACCCTAAATAGGACTGATATGTAGCTGCACAGTCTAGGCAAACATGAGTGAAAGAAGATTTGGGCACTGATTCTCTTCCTGCCCTTCTAGAACCCATTTCCAGGCGTGTTAGGTCCATATTCAATGCCAGGTGAGACGGGGCTGAGTAAACAGAGGTTTCCATTAGCTCAGGGGAAGTGGAAAGTATCAAGCCCTGACATCGTCCACTGGAGACACTGATGTGAGTTGAAGTTAAATCCTCAGATGGTTATTATTATTATGTTTGTTTTTTTCTTAACAGGATGCTATTCCCAAGGTATACATATAAAAGCAGGATTCAAAGTCATCTAATTATTATACAAAGAAACAACCAGAGTAAAAGTAGTGGGATGAAGATTAGTAAAATGTGCCAGAATTGAGGAAAGAAACCCACCCCAACATTAGAATGCAAAGAACGTTTTAAAAATGCCATTATGGAAAGTATATTCTAGGGATAAAATGGATAAGTAGATAAAAGATTTAATGTTTAGCTATTATTCTACTAACTTCAAATTTTCAACAGAACTCCATTGAATAGTCTATGTTTCTAAATGGAGCATATTTCGAAGAATCTCCAGATGGTCACCGGACACTACAGGGCTCCGCTGAGAGCAAGTAGCCTTACTTAAGCAACAACTAGGGAAGCCCAAGATTTAAGTTCAACAGAGACTATTTTAGTCAGTTTCACTCTATCCTCGTCGGTGGCCAGTAGTAAGCTTCATTTAAATATATAGCTACAAATCATACCATTCTTTTCATTTTCTTTTTTGATCCTTTAATACAACTTCTGTCTTCCCCCTCCCCCCCGCCAACCCCGCTAGCTAATTGTAGCAAACTCTGATGATGTGGGCTAGTGATATGGCCATATTTCATTTCTGGCAAATGGATGTTATTTACATTTGAAAAAGTGAACCATACTTCACTTTCATTATGAAACACTGTCTTCAAAGCAACATCCCCAAAGCTCTTTTAATGAGAGAGGAGAGGGAGTGAGAGACTGTTTCTTCAGCAGGAAATAACTGTCCCCAAACTTACCAGTTTGGTATACTTACAGTTTTCTGCCTATTTTCTTTTCTCTCTTTCTTTCTTTCTTCTTTCTTTCCTTCCTTCCTTCCTTTTTTTCTTTCTTTCTTTCTTTTCTTTCTTTTGAGACAAACTTTCACTGTGTTGCCCAGGTTAGAGTGCAGTGGTGCAATCTTGGCTCACTGCAACCTCAGCCTCCCAGGTTCAAATGATTCTCCTGTCTCTGCCTCCCGAGTAGCTGGGATTACAGGCACACACCACCGTCCCAGCTCACTTTTGTATTTTTAGTAGAGAAGGGGTTTCACCATGTTGGCCAGGCTGGTCTCAAACTCCTGACCTCAAGTAATCCACCTGCCTCGGCCTCCCAAATTGCGAGGATTACAGGCATGACCCACCGTGTCCAGCCGTCTGCATATTTTCTTAAAGCCTGTACCGGCCTAGATGATTCATCAAAGAAGCCGTGACTCTTTGAACATGAGTGGGTCACCCATTTTTACTAAGAGAAGGAACCACCCTCAATAACTCCATTTCATCTTTGAGAAGTTTGGTCTAGAGTCATCCAAAGAAAATAAAGCATACACTTCTATGGATATTATTTGGATTAAATTCTTTGAAAACCTTCACACCTTTATGATTCCACTTAGAACATGCTGCCATTATGAGAAGGTTGACAGCTGCACACCCCTGTGCATAGGCAGGATTGGAGTCACACATCTTACTGTGCTCTCCATACTCTGGTACTGTTCACAGGCATATTTATAAGACCTCTAAAGAACTGCTTCAGGCTTTCAGGGAATGAGAAATTAATTCCGTGTTCATCGTTCCAAGAGAAGTATTTCTGGGGCTGCAAAACCAATACCACAGAGGATATGATTGCCTGGTGTTCTGGAACCTGAGAGCAAACAAAAGACAATATGCCATTTACACAGCTTTGCAGAGCTTATTCAAACATGCATTGGGACATGGACATTTTCATTAAGCTTACCAACTTTTCTTTCCTCTCTCTTTCCTTACCTCTTCTCTCTTCCTCCTTTTTTTTCAACTCATTTGGAGAACACACTAATATTTGTAACAATGCTATTTTCCTGGAGTAAGAAATTCACAACCACATGAAACACACTTGTAAGAGGTTAGAGAGAAGCCAGCTCTTCCGTGGGAAGCTAGTTGCCTGAAAGTGCTCAAGATTTTTTTTTTTTTTAATGATTTTATTACTTGGCTTGTTAGGGCTTATTTTCATAGCTGCTACCAAACTTTATAAGAATATTCTTTATCCAGGTCATTAATTTACCTTGCTGAAATTGATAATCTAGGAAGCCAGAATCCATTGAAATCTTGATCCCAAATGGATTTATCTCTTCAGGAAGGGATCCAAGTTTCATTTTATTTTTAGTGCTTTTTAAGGTATTCTTCACAGGAGGGAGAGAACGATGTGAGAGTGTTAATGAAAAAACTAAATAACTTTCCTAACATGAACCCATCATCTGAAAAGCAGAACCTAATTTTGAATTATTAAAGGAGGCTGGATCACAACTCACCACTGAGAAATCGAGGGAGGGAAAATGGTGTTTGGGAAGTCCAATTATTTCTGAACCAGAGACAGTCTTATTAAGTTGGGCAGAAAATTAATTAGGCTAATTAGAAAACCTCATTGGAATTCAGCAAGGAGTTATGAGAAGAAGCATGACAACACTGGAAGTGTTGATAGAGGGAGAAGGTTCTATGGGAGAGAAATGAGTTTTTCCGGAAGCAGATGCAGGGTGATTCATGCATATTGCGGTTGATCATTGGGTCACTTCGGATGGAAGCAGCAGCGTTTTTATAGACTTTCTGTTCCCAGTGGTGGGTCTTCACTGAGTATTAAAAATGATGTCTGGTGTATGTTGTAAGGGAAAAAAGAAAAAAATCCCTGAGATTTATTCCAAGGCTTCAGTGGGATTTTATATTTATTTTGGTATTTCCGATATGCTGGTTCATCAGCATGGCGCATTGTTAAAAAGTGCTGGGTGGGTGGTTTTTTATCTTCACGGATTTATGGAGTCCTTAAAACATCTGTTCCGTTCTGATTCCCCCGCTCAGTACAAAGACGTTAGTCAGGGGAAGCATCTCACACTGCACTGTTTCCACGCACTGACGTTGGCAGCGGCTAATAGAGATAACCCTGCTGAGACAGTCAGTGCTGTGTGGGGGCCGGGGAGGGGCCGGGGTTCCATCTCCGGGAAGAATCTCATGGGATCTGGGCCCTGCAACACAAGGGCCTTTGAAGTGAGACGAGGAGGAGCCTCAGGAAGGGTCGCCGGGGTGACTAAAGAAACCTGCGGAGGGAGCTAAGGAAACCTGTTCCAGGGGACGTTGGAGCGTAGGAAGAGGACTGTGCCCACGATGCTGGAGAATGATCTCCACGTCCCTCCTAAGCCCCTGTGACAGTGACGTCTTCCTTTCTGGGGCTCTAGGGAAAGGAGGAGCCTTCCTAGCTCCTGGGAGAGAATTATCAGGGCTGCTGTTGTTTTTGAGAAAATAGCTGCAACCCAGCCAAAACCACCGGGATGGAGGGACTCTTAAATAAGATGTTTCTCATGTGGGGTGGGCAGGGCAGGGGAAGCGGGGAGGACAGAACTCTTGATGAAAACTGGTGCCAGACTAAATCAGAGACGCCGTGAAAGTGGCAAGAGGCAGGGAGGAGAATCGACTTTGCAGGACCTGTTATGCGTTACGGCTTTTTCTGTGTGAACACATCCTATTCCTCACAGCAGTTCAGTGTAGTAGGCTTATTAGTCACATTTTACAGGTGCGGTAACTGAAATTCAGAGGGCTGAAGTCATTTAGGATCCACACCTAACAAGAAGCTGAAATTAAAACCCAAGGGTTACAGATGGAATGTTTTATATCCCCCTCCCCAAATTCCTATGTTGAAGGCCTAACTTTTAGCATCTGAATAATGGTGTTTGGAGATGGGGCCTTTGAGAGGTAATTAGGGCTAAATATAGTGATGAGGGTGAGGCCTGCGTGATTGGAATTAGTGCCCTCATAAGAGGAGAAAGCCGGGCACGGTGGCTCACGCCTGTTATCCCTGCACTTTGGGCGGCTGAGGTGGGCAGATCACCTGAGGTCGGGAGTTGGAGACTATCCTCCTGACCAACATAGAGAAACCCCATCTCTACTAAAAACACAAAAAAATTAGCCAGGCGTGGTGGCGCATCCCTGTAATCCCAGCTACTCAGGTGGCTGGGGCAGGGGAATCGCTTGAACCTGGCAGGCGGAGGTTGTGGTGAGCAGAGATAGCGCCATTGCACTCCAGCCTGGGCAATAAGAGCGAAACTCTGTCTCAATAAATAAATAAATAAATAAATAAATAAATAAATAAATAAATAAATAAATAATAAATGCAGAGGAGGAAGAGCGCGCATGCTCTCTCTGTCTCCTCTCTCTGTCTCTCTCTTCACTATGTGAGGATACAATGGGAAGGCAGCTGTCTGCAAGCCAGGGAGAGATCCCTGATCAGAGCCCAGCCATGCTGGCATGGCACCTTGATCTTGGACTTCCAGCCTTCAGAACTATAAGAAAATGAATTTTTGTTGTTGAAGCCAACCTGTGGTTGGCTATTGTGTTTTGCTATAGCAGCCCAGGCGGACTAATACACCAGGTTCATTTGTTATCAAAGCCCCAGCACTTTCGGCAGCACCCTAGCGCCTCAGGAGCGCCCTCTTTGGTATCTGAAGGAAATGGACACTCTTTGCCTAGGTTCCCATGTGGCTCAATAGAAAAATAGTACAAAGAGCCCTTAGAAAAGTTCCTATGGTCCCAGGATTGTGGGAATTGTCTCTGCTTATTTGGAGAAGGACCCTATTTTCACCCTCTTCTGGGGCAAGATAAAAAGGATCACAGGATTAAAGTTGGGATACCCAGGGGTGGAGACAAAATGACGACAGAGGGTTTGAGTTCTACATGTTCTTCATCCCCGTAGCATAGGGACATGGACAGATGGGCAGTGTGGGCTGCATGCAGGCCAAGGGCAGGTTGGCGCTGAATACTGGAAAATGACGACCCGAGCTGGAGGACCTGAAGCCGGGCAGTCTGCTCCAGCTCCCCAAGTCCAGCAGGTGTGACGGCCCTGTCGCCCTTCCCCTTCCTTGGCGTGGGCCTCTCCTGAGGCCGTCCTTTTCCAATCACCAGGTTTGCCTGTCAAGTTGAGCCAAGTAACAAGACAGGAGTCAATTTGTTCTCCCCAATAGACTGCTCCTCTGTCTATTCCCAGACTCCCAGGTGACCCCATTATGATAATGCCCAGCCTGACTGCTCTTAGAACAGGCCTGATGGAGAACTGAGAGCTTCCTTGAAATGTGAATCACAGAGAGGCTGGCAGCCCATGGCTCTGTCCCCTGCTGGCTCTGGACAGGAGCCTTCTGCCTCCCCATTGTCACCGCTGAGCGATGCCATGTGCTTATTCATGCTGCCTGCTGCTGGCAGCCCGGGAATGTCGCATCATGCCATCCATTCAAACAACGGGCTCGGTTCTGCTGACACCCAGGGAGACAGGCGGATTCAGGGTGTGAAGTGTGTTGCCATCACTTTGGCATCCCAATCTGAACTCAGTCTTTAGAGCAGGGGCTGGTTTTATGGTCCTCAGGTAGGGGATGGTGCCCCCACACCAGATCTCCATAAACACACCTTTACATAAAACCCAGGCAGCCTGACTGCCAAGCTTTGGTATAAAAAATTAGCAAGTCAGTCAGTCAACTGGATATTTGATTTAACATCAAATATTTTAGTCTTTCCAAATATTTGGATATGTTAATATTATGATAACCCAACCAAAGAAATGTGGTGATGCAAGATTGAGTGTCTGAATAATTTTCAAAACAGTAATATTCTCTACCCTGGCAAGAACTCCACCCCACGTGCACCCACTAGTCATTGAATCAATGCAGGTCGTTGAAGAGTAGTTATATAACACTTAGCCAAGACTAAAGCTAAATTTTGAGATAATTTAAAACACAGAGATTAAATGTATGCCACACATGATAAGCTGTTCAGTTTAGGGGATTATATTATCCAAGTGATTTATAGCCTTACACAACTTACTTTGTGTTTCGGGAGTGATAAAATCCCTATACATGTCTGAATCTAGAATGGGAAGCTGAAGAGCTCTGGGTACTACAAACCCCAGGGATCCTCATTCCCAGGCCCATGCTGCTCTGCTTCTTATCCACAGGCCCATCTCTCTCTCTTTTTTTTTTTTTTTTTTTTTTTTTTGGCATTGCTTAATGATTTCCTTTTCCCCTCCATTCTGTACGCTGCTTTATATAGTGCATGTCCCTGTAGTTCCAGGATAATTTATTATTTAATTATGTAACCATTACATAATTCTTCAGCTTTAGCCTTCAATGTTTTCATTGTTGTTAATATAACTGCTATCAAGACATGTAAGTTTTATTTATCGTTTCCATTGAGGAGCAATAATTATGTAACTCTGCAATTCTGCAACGATTATTTCTATTTGTTTAATTACATAACTATAACAATATTAAACCTCTAAAACATTTGGTGATAGATTTATGGTGAAGATGCTAGGAGACAGCAATAATAATGATGTATCAGAGTAATAATAAAACTAAATAATAGCATTAATATTAATATTAATGGCCATAACAGTAATAAGCGGCAACATTACCACTTGCTTTTTGTTCACACTGTATTTGGTCTCTTTAATAGATTTCTTCCCAAATCTCTGTGGTTAATTAGCTATATAACATTTGGTACTCAGCAGTGGGTGCAACTTCATTTCCAGACTTTACCTGGCAAAGCTGTGCTTTATAGAACACCAGATGGAACCGGTCTCTTTTGTCCTTTTTTATCAGGCTTGGAGAGGGCAGATTTCCTTCTTCCTCATGTCACCTGGGGACTTCCATAGACAGGATACCCTGTGTTGAGAGACACAGGTGTTGTAGAATCCCAAGAACCCGAGATGTGTTTGGAAAGCAGCTGTCGAACTGTTGGATGAGCCGTTATGGTGGAGAGAGCATGGGGTTTGGATTCCAACAGATCTGGACTGAATTTTGGCTCTGCCACTAACTGGGTGACCTTGAGCAAATTACCTAACCTCTGTGGACTACAATTTTCTGATATCAAAAAAGGGGATAATTATATAATACAGTAATGTCTGCATTGCAAGACTATTGTGAGAATTAAATACAATCATGTGTGCAATTACATGGGGTATAATTGATGCCTGTTGACAGCTATGTTTTGGAGCTACCAGTTGATGAGATTAATGGGAGAACATGACTCGAAGTTGCTCCTTCCTATAAATCACCTTGTCCTCACCCTCCCAGGAGCTCCCTTCTCACAGATGCCCCAGAGACATCATAACAGTTAAAGAGAGCTAACCTCTAACACAATGAGTGATCACTATGTGCTGGACAAGTCACACACATCATCTGATTAAATCATCACAGCTATCCTATAAGGGAGCTGTGATTATTTCATCCAGGTGAGGCTTGAGAACCAGGAACCTTAGAAGACATGCCAAAGTTCTTGCCGCTCACTGGTAGTGGAACCCAGCCGGCGCTTCTCCAGTTACACTGTGTACTCCCTGCAGGCGCACATCCTGAAAGCCACTTAAAGAATGCTCTGTATGAGAGCCGTCCTCCTGGGACAAATCCACTCCCTGCTTCTCCTGGTGCCCATACCAATCCATTCTCCACAGAGCAGCCAGCCCGATCACCTTAAAATGCAAAGCTGATGCCATTATTGCCCTTCTTCAACCCTCCAATGGCTTTCCGTTGCTCTGAAAGTAAAACCAACCTCCTAAATCTAAATACCTTTATGATTTGACTTCTGCATATCAAACTCCCCTCCTCTCACTCTTCATTACAGACCAGGGCGCCACACCTTCTGAGGCTACGCCAGGTTCAACCCCCATCTCTCTAGGGCCTTTGCACTCAGTTTCCTCTTCCTGGAAATCTTTCTATCTTATCATGTAGTATGTATTTTCTATCTTATCCGCTTATGTATAATCTCTTCTAGGAAAATTCCCCTCAAAGCTTCATGTAAATCAACCCAGCCCCATGTCCTGTATTCATTAGTACATGTCCTACTTATCTCATGTATAACATGGACCATGTATACAGCCATCTTCCTTATTCTTCTGATCATTTGGCTTTATGTCTTGTGTCCTTCACCAAAATATAATCTTCATGAGGCCAGGCACCGGGCCCGGCTTCACAGTCATACCCCATCCACAGCTCAGCACCTGCAGCAAAGCAGACACTCAGGAAACATTTGCTCATGTCAATCTAAAAAGAATTAATCTAAGTAGAGCGTTTACTTGGGCCAAGATCGAGGACTGCAACCCCAGAGCATAGAATCAAGAAGCCCTGAGTATACACTCCCATTAGCTGCAGTTACAAGTGGATTCTTAAAGGAAAAGAAGAGGCAGTTTCTGAGTTGATTACCAATAATTTACATTAAAATAACATAAACTATTGACTAGCTGTACATTGTTCTTTGTATCACAAATTCTAGGGACCTGAATATAATGGGTGAGGCAGCTGGTTAGGAACAAAATGACTAAACAATTGCCCTGGGCATGGAGGGGGCTGACTGAGGTCCCATACTCTTGTCTTTTTAGACCTGCATACCTCACACAGCTCAGACGGCAGCCAGCTGTTTCTCTTTCCTCACTTAAGGGAAGAATGACCACTTGCTCTCATGTGTCCATATATGCCCTTTGGGTTTAAATAGTTCCTGTGTGATGGGAAGCAAAGCAGGTTGCATTTTCACTTGAGGAGTTGATGACCAGCATCCAAGTGACATAGCACCCATCTCCAGAAGCTTAGGTCTGATGCTGGGTGTTCGGGGATCAGGGGCCAGGAGCTGAGAGTGCAGCAGGACTAGGCTGTAGTCAGCCCAGGTGCAGAGGGCGATGCGACAGAATGGCAGCAAAATCAGATGCACCGAGGAGCGAGGGAGAGCCAGCTTGTCACCTCGCCACACACGGGAGGTACGTCAAGGCTGTCATTATAAACTGGTATTTGAGCAGGAACTCTGGGGCTCATTCATAACACTGACATTTCCAGGGGTCACACAGCAGGCCCCCCCCTTCTGCTGAGAATCTTTCATTTGTACAATTATCAACCGCAGAACTCAGACAGAGCAGCCTCCATTATTCCACCTGTCCTTGAGTTATTATTATTTTATTGAAGCATTTTCCTTCCTTGGGTTATATATATGTGTGATTTTAAAAATATAAATGACATTATTTATAGCAAGGCGTTCTCTCTCCTTTCCACTGACGATTTTCCTTTTCAATCAGATTCTCTTCATTCTTACACATCCCATTTGAGTCACTGCCACGTGAGTAACGGGGCCCGTAAATATTCAGCCACAGCCTCTTGATCCCTTTCTTAATCCCATTTTTCTCCTCACTTCACCTTCACTAGGATATTTCCCGTCCTTTTTTCCCAGTGGCTTTGTTACCACAACCATATCTTTTTTGCTTTGTCTTAGCGCCTATTTTTTAATGTTTAAATTATTCACTAATATAACCAAGTAAATGTCAGTTAAATATTTCAGTCATCTCTCTGTGTGTGTCTGCTTTTGTACCTAGAACTCTGGACAAGGCAGTAAGTAAGTCTCATGTAAGGATCAACAGTTCAGGCTCCAGATTCCCGATTTACTAAATTCTCAAAGACAAATTACTTAACCAAATATGGTTTCTTCAAATCCAAAAAGAGTTAAACAATCTTACCTCATAGGATTGTTGTAAGAATTAAACAAGAATATCCATGCTTTGGCCAGGCACAGTGGCTCATGCCTGGAACCCCAGCAGCTTGGGAGGCTGAGGCAGGAGGATTGCATGAGGCCAGGAGTTTGAAACCAGTTTAGGCAACATAGCAAGATCCTGTCCCTACAAAAAGAAAAAAAGAAAATCTACATGCTGTGGACTACATATTTGTGTCTCCCCCAAATTTATATTGAAACCCTAACCCAACCCCCAGTGGGAAAGTCTTAGGAGGGGGACTCTGGGAGGAGATTAAGTTTTGATGAGGTCAAGAGGGAGAAGCACCCATGGCAGGATTTGTGAGTCATAAGAAAAGACAGAGGTTAGAGCAATGTGAGGACACAAAGGAAAGAAAAGCCTCTGCAAACCAGGAAATGAGTCCTCGCCAGACACAGAATCCACCGGCACTGTGACCTCAACTTTCCAGCATCCAGAACTGTGAGAAACAAATTTGGGAAACAAATTTTCTTCTTTTAAGCCCCTCAGCCTTTTTGCTGAACCAGACCCATTTGCCCGACACATGGCAAGCCAATCCCTGAGCCTTCGAGATTTGCAGCAGAGAAAGGCTTTATTCATGAGACATCCAAGCGAGGAGACAGGAGAGCAAGTCTCAAATCCACCTCCCGATGGGTCATTTGTAAGGTAGTTTTAGGATAGGACCAATGGGATGGGGAGTGGGTGATGAGAGGTCATGTGTTGATTGGCTGGGATGGAGGAAATTCCGGTGTCCATGGATCAGGCTATTTGAGGAATTCCTTTTTTTTTTAAGTTTTTAATTTTTTTATTTTTTGGTCCATGATTAGAGTTTCAGCCTTCTGACATCAAATGTTCATCCATTGAACACTTGCAAAAACTTATTTTTTTTTTTTTTTTTTGAGACGGAGTCTTGCTCTTGTCGCCCAGGCTGGAGTGCAATGGTGTGATCTCGACTACAACCTCCGCCTCCTGGGTTCAAGCAATTCTCCTGCCTCAGCCTCCCAAGTAGCTGGGATTATAGGCATGCGCCACCATGCCCGGCTAATTTTGTATTTTTAGTACAGACGGGGTTTCTCCATGTTGGTCAAGCTGGTCTCGAACTCCCAACCTCAGGTGATCCACCTGCCTCGGCCTCTCAAAGTGCTGGGATTACAGGCGTGAGCCACTGTGCTTGGCTGTGAAAATGTAATTCAGGACTAGTTTGAGCTGAATTCGGAGCTGAGTCTTGAGTTACGGAAAAACAGCTTAGCCAGCGTCCTGTGATCCATACATCAGGGTGAAATGCTATCTATAGGATCATTGCGGAAACTGAGGTGAGGCAGTGCAGCTGAGTAAGCAGGACAGCTAACAATGGGTAAACAAACAGCTAAAGTCAATAACTGCCTAGAGAAACTTCAGCTACTGGCTACCTCATCATTAATGGCTATCTGGCCACTGGTTTTAAGCCCATGGTATCTTGTTATAGCAACATGAACTAGGTGTCACGTAAAATGCTTCGCAATGTCTTGATACATGGGAACTCTATTGTTATTATTATTCGTTGCTATAGCAAAAGTGGAAGCATTTATGCCACCAATAGCACCAGTAGAGAGTAAGCCATGACTTCTAATCCGTGGGTCCAGAGTCCAGGCCAGTGTAGACTGGACAAATAATATGCCCTAGACATTTTTGTATTACTTTTGAAAATGTGCAGTTGCCATTATGTTTAATAGTATAAAATGATTTAAGTGCTATTGATATTATCAGATAATAGTAAACCTTAATAGGGGAGGTATAGGGTCTTCATGTCTGTAAAAGCAGGTAAACATTGACCTGAATTACCATCAAGTATGAAGACCAGGCATAGAGCATGTGCTGCAGGCAGTTCCCTCCCAGGGCAACAGGCTATTAAGCATCCATTGGCTTCTTTTCTGATGCCCCTGCACTTACCTCACAGAGATTATCTCCTAAGGTTTTCCTAGGTTTAACATTTTATTCCCACCTCAAAATCCATTACTTTGTTTTCCTCCATTCTTTCAGTTCTTATTTTATTCTCTAATGATTTGGTTTTCTCATTTTTTTTTGAGGCTAAAATATCTCCTACTGAAGCTACTCTTTCAATTAGGGAGAAAAGCACTCAAAGCCTCTTCAAGCTTCTGCCTCTGAAACTGCTAGCAGGGAAACTCCAGTGCAAAAAGATGAGAGTGGATGCAAACAGGGAGGAAAGAAAAAGAAACTAAAGAACAAAGAAGGAAAATAAGTGTTCATGAGGAACTAATTATTCTGGTATTTATAAAGAAGTTATTGTTTCGTTTCCTTTTTTTTCTGGAAGATCAAAATATGTGTATCTCATTAATCACAGACATTTGGATAATGCTGTCCTGCATGAGCTCCACACAATCCTGCCTGTGGAGCAGATAGCATGAGCTCGCTTTTACAGACGAGGCAACCGGGAGATTCAGAGCATTGGTGAGAAGCACACAAGGCGGCACAGCCAGTGACTTGGATCAAGGCCTTTGGTGTCAAATGCTGTGCTTTTTCCACCTCTCCTTGAGGGAAGGCTTGAGGAGAAAGAAGCACTTAGCACACATCTCTGCCTGCATATTCCAAACCAATGGAGAAACACACCAGGAAGCCACATGAAGGATGACAACATCAGCTTTGCCGCTGGTAATGAATAGTATCTATTCCAGGCCCTTCTTTCATTGGCAGGCTGCTCGCCACCTTTTGCCTGAGCCCTGGACCTCACATGCTCAGGAAGTCCCCCAGGCTGACCAGTCAGGCAGATCTCTCCTTCCCTCTGAAGAAGAGCCAGTGAGAGGGAGAAGAGGGCCAGTGTATGTTTCCAACTCACATTCTTTCACTGACATAGGAGGGCTGATCAACAGGTTCCTCCCAAACCATCCATGTTACTGTTTTGTGTGCTCATTTGTTTTATTAAATCCTTTATCCAGCTAACCAGGTAGCAGGATTCTAGTCACTCGATTTGCCTGTCCCCTGACAGAGGAGACCAGAAGTCCCCGCTGAGCAGCCCAGACCTTTGCTTTCTTCTCCTTTTACAAAAAAGGTGGAAAACTCAGGGTGTTAATGTCAAAGGGAAGACGAGGAGCTGTAGCTCTAGACCTAGTGTAGGCTTAGAGAGCTGGAGTCATCAGCACAGTTGACTTTGTCTCTTCCTTCTATCAGCCACAAAAGTACTCACATTTCAAATGACAAAACACAAGTCTCAGGCTTCCAAGAGCAGTCACTTCAGCTATCCTGCCTGAGTTCTTAGGCAAGTCTGAGAGGAATTAGGTGTTTCCTTTCCAGGCACCAGGGTTATGACCACTTCAGAGCCTTGCCTTCACTGAGTTATAAAATTTTTTTAATAAGAAATGTCTGGTAAATTAAATCAACAGTCTGTTGATGAAGATGATAGCTCCCACGTGCAGAAATCCCTAAATTCTGAGCTTCACGAAACTGAGCTAGATCTGTTTGAAGTCTTCCATTGTTTTTTTCTCTCTCCCAGTTGGGAACACTGGCACTTCCCGAATTTGCTTTACAGTTTCAACGTCAGCCTCGTTAGCATCACCACCAGCTTCCTCACTCTCATTTGCCACTGTTTCTTGAGTCAACTGGATCAGAAACATCAATCATTGAACAGACACCCTATGCGTCTGTCCCTGTTTTCAAAGTCTGCAGCTTTTGGTGTGGTGCTGTTGCTCTTTCTGCTGCTCTTCTGTGACCCAAACAGTGGTTTTTTGCAGATCTTCAGATTCAGGATGATGTCGCCTTTCACATTTACCGTAGCACTGGTGACTCACAAGAAAAGTCCTCTAAGCATATGCCTAGAAAAACTTGAGATCCACCTCTCAGAATGAGCTGTAAAATGCAAACACCACAACCGTAAAACTTATAAAAAAAAAGTTCGGCCATAAAAAAAATATAGTCTCCTGATCCATGGCATCTTGGAAATTCTCAAACTCCTGCCTCCATCTCACCATAAAGCTTTTATCAATTATGTTATTCTTGTTCATGACTGCAGTAAAATGCAGTTTGGTTTTTATGCAATTCTGTAAGTGTACTGCTGGATGGGAAGGTCTCAGGCTTTGTGCTTTGTTCTGTGTCCATTACACAGATGATAGGTTTGGAAATGAAGATGCCAGGGTTTTAGTCATAATTGTCACAGAATATGTGACAGAATATTGTGGCTAATACCACAATCTATTCAGGTACACCATTCAGGATTTAAGGGAGCATGTTCTGGGCCTTAATCATCTTCATCATCTGATTAAACCCAGTAGCAGCTTAAGGTTACCAGGCCTCCTTTGGGCCCAAATCTGTATTTTAGAGTCAGAAATTTTCAGTATTTTCAAGAACGGTGAAGCTGTGATTGAATCACTAAAAGTGATTGTCTCAGATCCAGCCATGCCAAGCACCAGCTGTGTACACACTGGATCTCAGTGTTCTCCTCCTCAGAGGTCTTCCTTAGCTCCTCCTCTCTCCTGTGGAACACACTTGGAGCTCTGTGACCAGGAGGGAGTACAGTATAGAGCCTGATCCCTGCATTTCTGAGACAGTCAGGTTGTTTCTCTTTGATTTAAAATGATATCAGAAGAAATTTAACAGTCTATTGGTAGTAGTGTGAAATAGTACATGCTTTATGAAGAAGTCTGGATGAAACATGACAAGCTGAATTGGCCCCATCGTGAGAAGACGTCATCCATAATTCCCAGGATTTTTTCCCCTTCCTTTTTCTATCTTCTGATGCCATTTTCAAATCTATTTTTCATTATTCCTCCCAACCTAATCCCAAGTTTCACTGTTGTTTGTTTATGTTGCTTTTCTACTGCCATTTAACTTAAAAGTTATTGAATTTCTACTATATTTTGAGCTCATGCTAGTTGCTGATTATCAAGCTCCTGATTTGAGTAGACACAGTCTCTGCCCTCAGGGAGCTTGTGATCTGAAGAGACTGTGTATGCATGCATATTTTCTAGCCACAATAGACATGGGGATATAACACACGTTCATTGTTATAGAGTATAGGAGGCCGAATTCTAAGATAACCCTCTAGTCCATCCGCCTACCCCTGTATACACCCTGTATAATCTCCCCAACTTGAATGTGGGAGGCACCAACAAGCGTCATGAGATATCACCCCTGTGACTAGATTCCTAATCAATTGCCTTTAATCAAAAAGGAGATTATCCTGGGTGGGCCTGACCTAATCAGGTCAACCCTGTTAAAGGGGAGGTATCAGAGAGACCTTCTTCTGCTGGCCTGGAAGCAGCCTATGGGAAAGGACCACATGTCTAGAACTGAAGGACAACCAGCAAGAAAACAGGACTTCAGCCTTGCAGGTGCAAGGAAATAGTTCTGCCAGCAGCCAGAGGGAGCTTGAAAGCAGATACTTCCTTACTTCCAAGTCTCTAGATGAAGATGTGGCCAGCTCACACCTTGACTTTAGCCTTGTGAGATTCTGAGGAGACCCCCCAGCCTGAACATAAGGACTCCTAATCCATGGAAACTGCGAGATAACAAATTTGTGTTGCTTTAAGATGTTAAATTGGTGATAATTTGTTTTGCAACAGTATAAAGTTCACACATGGAATTTAAACCAAATGCAAGAGGATGAGAAAGGAGGAAACAGGTCATTCTATCTGAGAAGTGGTGGAAATATGATAGAGAGGAAGGCATTATCTGAGGTGAGACTTAACTGATGAGTAGACATTTTTTAGACAGACAAAGAGAAGAGACATTTATGGCTGCGACATCATCCACAATATGTTTGTAGAACTGATGTACTGACATAAATAAAGGATAGGCATTTTAATCTGTCCCTGATGTTAGAACAAAATATCATAGACTGAGTATCTTATAAATAAAAGAAATTCATTTCTCATAGTTCTGGAAGCTGGGAAGTCCAAGGTCAAGGTGCCAGCAGGTCAGTGTCTGGTGAGGACCTGGTCTCTGCTTCCAAGGTGGTGCCTTGTTGCTGTGTCCTCCGGAGGGGCCAAGGCTGTGTCCTCACATGGTGTAAGGGATGGTGGGGCAAAAAAGGGCCAAGCACCTTTCTGAAGGCTCTTTTGGAGCCCTCGTGAACTAATCACATCCCCAAAGCCCCACTGCTTAATACCATTATTTTGGTGATTATGTTTCAATACATACAGTTGAGAGTGACACATATGTTCAAACCATAGCACTAGGGTGCCTATACTTACATTTCTTTTTCCTTAAGACAACAGTTTTAAAATTTTATTTATGAACTTTCCGTGGGTAAAGAAGTGAAGTGAGCCTTTCTTAGTTTCCCATATCATTAATGGCCCCCATATATGTTGTTGTCCAGCATTTTCTGTAGCTCCTTTTCAGCATTAGTCTCATATTGATGCATTTTTAAATCAGAAATAAATTATGAATGCACACAGCAAAAAGTTGAATGGATTTCTTTGCCATATCTTTTAACATTTTCTTTTCTTCCTGACTGCTTACATTCTGGTATGGCTAATACGTTGCTTCAAACTCATAACCTAGCCATCTAAAGTCACATACTGTCTTGTGAAATACAATGTCTTTATCCAGGAGTGGTTAGTAACCTGACTGTGTTCCAACTTCATTTTGCCCTGCACTTTCACTTAGGGTGACTAAGCAGCGCATGATCTTCCATCGTTTTATTGCATGGTCTGGGTCCTTGTGCATCATTCTGTCAGCTACGACTGCTGGACTCACTGTACAATTCCCACAAGTGTGTTAAAGCCCAAATCCAATAGTGTTAAGGACCTCCAATTCCTGACATCTTCCGTCGTCTCATTTTTAAACAAAATAGTCAATAGCCTTGGTGTCATTGACTTTGCCTTCCTCTGTTGTTCCAATGTTGTTCCAAAATTGCTCTGAAACCTTCCACCAAGCTTACAGTACTTAATCATCAGCGAATTCTTCATAAATGTCAGTGGGAAACCCATCAGCTCTAAGAGATTTTCTTTATCTCCATAGCCTTTATGAGGCTTCTTACCCCTCAGGCACTGATTTTTGCCCCTTACAACCTCAATTTCTTCTTCTTAGTAGCATCTCAGGCAGAACAGGGATGGGCTTCTCCATTTCTTCTTTGCTCCTCATGTCTGTCTTCCCCTTGGGGAAGCCCATTCTTATCATTCACAGTAATCCTTGACTTTTCACACAATTAACATACTTTCTTAGGGAGCTGGAAAAATCACTGTCAAAAGTCCCTTTGCCATAATTCTTTTTGGTAAAATAGTACACATTTTTGTATTGTTTTCTTTCTGAAATAGTCTTCTCCACTGTGTATCATTCCACCTAGGTCAATTGAGCATCTATTTGTCAGAGATTTATTGATGGCATGCGGAATACATGAGGAGTGTAAGATTTTTTGGCTCCAAATATAATTTTTCTCCTTGTTTTAGGCAATTGTGAGGTCACAAAAAATTGTAGAAAGAGTTTATTCTACAACTTGCCATTAAGGGATGCCCTCAGAGCAGTTCTCTTTGTGGTTTCCAGGAATGCATTAAGCTTAAGGTGAAGATAATCTGCCTCAGCATTCAATATAAGAGTATCATTAACACTCTGAGTGCTGCTGTGGGCTCTTCCTAGATGCATGTGCCTTTCAGAACAGACTGGGATTTCAGAACTGCTGAGAGAACCTCAGGCTGCTGGAGAAATTCTGTAATGTCTCATGAGAAACAGAGTGCACAAGCTCCTTTCCCCTTTCTCTTCCTCTCCGTTCCCTGCAGTGGTTTCCCTAGGTTCAGCAAATGCACATCTCTCTGGGAGTTTTGTTTCCATGGGAGTTGAAAATAAGCACTCCAAAGGTGAATGCTCGCCCAGTTTACAGTCAGTATGACCATTGCTTCTATTCAAATATCCCTAGATAATAATAATTCAGCACAGGGCTCCTCCAGGGGAATGCTGTGCTTCCAGCAAATCTGTAATTTACAAAACAGTCACCTGAGTTTTAAAAAGATAATTTGAAAATATTCAGAAAAACGATGCCTGTCTCCCACAAATGTTAGATTTGGAGCATTACAACTCATCTGTGCTTGGTGCCTTTATTTAGTTTACTTGGTTTAGTTTACTTATTAGTTCATTTGTTTTAGTTTAATAACTAATAATAACTACTTATTCACTTGGTTTTCGTTTTTGCTGTGCATATCACTTGCTTAACAAGGAAAAAGATTATGTGTCTCCTTCCTGGAAGTGGACTTCTCTGCCAGGCAAAGATGAGATGACATTTTGGGTGATTTTTAGACAGCAGAAATCAACATGACTAAAAATTTGGTCATTTTAGTTGCTCTTATTTAATAAATCCCCAAAGAGAAAACATTAGTTCCTGCATGTCCCTCTTCCCTCTGTTGACACCATTTATAGGTAGTCATTTAGGGAACATCTCTTCTGGATACTAGTTTTGATAATTTCTTCCATCCAAAAAGAGTAGTCCTTAAGCAATTCTTGGTATATGGTATATCCTGTAGCTCTGTCTGACTTAGGAACAGCATGAAAAAAATTGTATATACTTGGTATATTTATTCTAGGAGCTTTTAATTCAAGATGTACAGTAATGTAAGAAACTCAGTCAACATGATATCTATGGCTAAATGAAGGCTTCTCTGCCAAAACACAATGGTAATGTGAGATTAATGTGGAGCCGGTGCAAGTTGGGAGAGTAGCTATGCATAATAAGTGACTATTTGGGATAGTGCATTTATTAGGGCAGACTAAGTGCTTTGACAAAGATAACCCACACTGCTCATTGTGTTTCCAGCATCCACGGGCCAGGAAACTCAACAGAAGTTCTTTCCTGGAACAACTGTGGGGCCTGCTTTATTTCTCTGCATATATCTCTGGCCCCTGTGTCTCTCTCTGTCAAGGTGATGCTGAGAACCTTGAGGCTATCTGGAATAATAATCCTGTGTGGAAGCTCCACTCTTAATTAGGTTCAAACTACAAAGCTCTGCCACTTTGCTTAACTGAGAAATTTTAGTAGACATTTGTGGCTCAAAGGCTTTTAAAGTCTTATTTCACATTGTCCTCCAGAATCTGTTTCCAACCTGTGCGACTCCAAATTTCTGATACTTTAATTCTGTTTCTTTTTGTGTGCAAACCAGCTAATTTTATCTTGAACTCATCTTTCTTGCAATACCTTGCCAAACACAGTGAGGGAAGAGCAACATATGCTAGCATTCTGGCTCTTTCCTGCTACTTCCCTGAGAAGCACGGGCTCAGTAGGCACTTGGTCTGCCTTCCACGTTAACAAGGGTGACAGTTTTACCAAATGTTTCACTACAGCAGAGCAGCAATTTCCAGCTTGCTAGGCCTGTTTCCTCAGTGTCTACCACAAAACTGCTAAGCTGGTGTCAGATATTTTAGACATTTTTTTTTTTTTGTCAGCATCTACTTCAAGGCTTTGACTTCTGTATTGGTTAGGGTAACGTTAGCTGCTGCAACAAACAAATTCCAACATTGAATGGCACAACAAAACAAATGTTTATTTTTCCCTATACATAAATTCCAGTGCAAGAGTTCCTGGAGCAAGAAAAGATAGATTTCCGCCACATGGTGTCACAGGGATCCAGGTTCCTTCTGTCCTGTGACTCCACTATGCACTAGAGCCTTTGAATCCTCAGCATCCAGCCAGCCAAAGAAGGAAGAGTAGGAGGCTTTTGTGTACCAGCCTTGAAGGTGGTACATATTACTTCTGCTCGATCCCATTTTGCTAGAACTTAGTAAAGGCTATACCAATGTATAAGAGACAGGTGAAGTTGTCTCTGGGCAGCTGCTTCTCATCAACAACAGTGCATATACTACAAAAGGTTGAATCATGAATTTTGGGTGGCAGAAAGTTGCTTCTGCCATACATAGAAAAGGTGTTGGAAGAAATTATTGATTTCTATTATTGAAGGAAGTACTCAGTGTATTTATATATATTGCATATAACATCTCCACCAATGCCCACTACTGCCTTGGTAGAGTGCCCTCTCTTTGCAAGCCTGAGCTAGACACCTTGGTTTGGGAAGGGTTAATGTTAAGGAGAAATACTAGGCTCAATAAAGAAAGCACATACATTCACACGCATGCAGATACCCATACACATACATCTTAAATGAAGATCTTTATTGTGGACAATATGATTCCAATTATATTCATTTTTATTATATAAGGGATATTTTTAAAGTTGTGAGATACATAAACCACGTGTTTCTCTCCCAATTTTTATGAGTACATCCCCCCCACCCCCCACCCCATGCAATCCTAGTGTGAGTCTACCTGGAAGCATGCAGTGCCAGGCTCTTCTCTAATGCTACCATTCTTAGCATGAGTTTGATAACTGCTCTCCATGGCATGCTTTCTAATTCTGCGTTCTTGTTTCAGAAAAATGGCATAACAAAGCCCCAAACCCCAAAATTTTACCCTCATTTTTTCAAAAATGACTTCCAAAAGTATTGTTAGTAATACAGCAAGTTCCCTCTAGTTTCCTTGCAAATTGACATACTGAGATATTACAGTTGCTATGAAGTTTCTGGTGACTTTAAAAACTTTTACATTACATTAGTGTAATGACAGGGTTTATCTACAGCTTATGACTGTGAATGCTTCAGCATACATTTCCATAAATAGAAACACTGTAGATTTTACATTAATCATAAAGGGAATTGATAATTGCCTATGGGAGTTTTTAGCTATGAGCAAAAATGTTTGACCCAATTATGCTTGCATGGTGAGGGACAAATATATTGAATTATGATGCATAGATCATTGGTGGATTTCAGGGAAGGAAAGTAACTATCCCAAGGGAATAATCCAGAAGTGAGCAAGTGTTTACAACTCAAAAACTGATAAGACTGTCATTACATCAACTGTCACAGCTCAGAAGTTTAACCCCACTCAATACATAGGATGAAAAGGTAAACCTGGGCTGTTCAATAATGTTAAGCACCTGTCATTCAAATCCCAATATCCAGATGGGTGTGTTGAGAAGAAACATGCAACCTCTACATGTAGCTGAAACCCGTGGTGATAGTTGGTGACTGGTTTTCCAAAAGGTTAAACTGAAGCTAGTGCCACAGGCTTCCACATTTGAATGATTTGCCAAAAGATAAGCTTCCAGTCTTAATTCAAAAGCCATCAACTACATTCTTTGAATGTTGCTTAAGATTCTATTTGGTGTTGATAAAGTTGAATGAGAAACTTAAAAGTGATTTATCAGATTTAATTTCAAAGTAAAGTCCCTTTTCACATACTTAACCATTCAAAGCCTGAGGATTTTTTGCTTGCTATTATGAATTGAATGGAAGTCAACTACAAGAGAGAAGAAAGATCAATCACTTTAGTAGTCATCAGGAATTCTGCTTCTACCACAAATTACAAGTTCCTCAGATTCTATTTTCATTTATAAAATGAAGAATTTAAACATAAAAACTAGCTCTAGCATATAGTGATGGTAAAAGTCATATGCAGTACAGGAACTTTAGTCTCATTCTATCTTCCTCTTCAATATTGACTCTCTTTCCCATTTTCTCAAAACTTCTGATGACTAGCTCAATTTTCCGGTTAACTATTGTAGTAGGGAGAACTCTAAGATGGCATCCAAGATCTTCACCCTCAAATGTACACACCAGTGTACTACTTGATCTTTGAGTGAAGGCCGAAACTGTGAATAGGATGGGATAGTCTATCATAGCTCCCTGGGCTAGGTTATGCCACATGGCAAATGCCGGTGGGATAGTCACCCCTGTGATTACATCACATTATATAAGTTTTCATCATAGTAAACTGGGGAGCAATAGGAAGTCAGTGAGGCAAAATCCTTCTGTCCTGGAAGGAAGCAAACGGCACCATTGTGGACTGCCGATGGGGGCTACGTGGCCAACAACCACATCACAGTAAGCATCTAGGAACTGGGAGTGGCCCCAGCTGACAGCTCATAAGATCACAAGGACCTCAGTTCCAACGCCACAGAAAATGAATTCTGCCCACACAAATGAGCCTGGAAGAGGATTCGAAACCTCAGGTGAGAATCTCAGCCCTGGCTGACACCTTGATTTCAGCTTGGGCAGATTTAGAGCAGAGAACTCAGGAAATTATGACCCATAACAACTATGAGATAATAAATGTGTGCTGTTTTAAACTGCCTAGTCGGTGATAATTCATTATGCAGCTGTAGAAAACTAATATAACTATATACAACATTTCCAATCAATATTCAACTCATTCTTGTATTTCATTGTATCTTTATTCCTTCTTGCAAAAAATATTTTTTAAGCACCAGCAATATGATAGATGGTGTCCTTGCCACCAATGATATAACATAGTCTGTGCCGTTTATTTTTCGTAGACTAGTAGGGAAAATAATTATATAAACAAAATAGATTAAGAAAGTATCACATGTGCTCTAAGAGTAGCTTCTACCTGAGATAGCCAGGGCACAAGGAGGAAGTCAGTCAGTCTACCAGTGGAGCAGGGGAGACACAAGAAAAGATTCTACTATAAGCTGCAACTCAGGGCAAGTGTTGAAAGACAAGCAGATGTTCTTTAGGTGGAGAGGGAATAGAAGAGCAATCTGAAAAGAAAAGCTATAGGAGTAATCACACAGAGATGTTTTTCTAGGAACTGTAAGTGGGTAAGAATGGTGAAAAGGATGGGAGTGCAGGCTAGAGGTGATTGGGATTAGGAAGACATACCTTAGAGAAGCACTACTCCAAGTGTCATCCAAGGGGGAACAGCACGGGTGTCACCAGGGAAAGTGTTGGATGTACAGAATCTCAGTCCCACCCACTCCCCTATATCAGAATCTCTGCCTTCACCACATCCCTGGGGCGTTCACAGGAACTTTCATAGGTTTCAGTGTCTTGAGGCTAGTGAATCTGGATGCTGTCTTTCAGAGAAAGGGAAGATAATGAAATGGTTTAAGTTGGATAACAACATAGCCAAATCCATCTTTTAGAAATAGCAGGAATAAGGAGGGGAGGTGAATTTGTGAGGCACGAAATAGGAAGCAGAGAAACCAGTTAGATCCTGATTCTAATGTCCAGACAAGAGAGCCACGCAGGGACAGCAGGTGCAGAGAGGAGTGCATAAGGAAGTCAGATCTTCATGAGGCAGATCATCCAGGGTGTGAACGATAGACGAGACGACCTCACTGAGGGACAATGGCTTATTTAAGAAGCATCTTAGCTGTCTGCTTGAGACTATGGGTCATTCTCAAATGTAGGAGTTTTATTTTGGACATGTGGAGTTTGAGATGCCTGTAGGACTGAGGTAAGATATTTAGGAAGAAGTGGGTGTATGGGTCTGAGATCACTAGGAGAATCTGGTTCATTAATTCAAATACCAAGGACTTGCAGGGTTTATCAGAAGACATGAGAGCGAATGAGTGCTTCCAAGCTATTAATTTCTATTCAATGTTGTTTTCTAATATGCTTGACACTTCTATACTCAAGATTTCCATGGCACTTGATTTTCCCTCTTCCACCTTATTAAAAGAATATTTATGAAAACACAAAAATATGTCCAATGTTAAAAAGTTTGAAGTGGACTAAGTACACGAAGCAGCCTTTAGAATCTAATGTGAGAGGGTCCTTATGGTTCCCAGGTGGAAGGTGAGGCTGTGATGGAGGAAAATCCACCCACCCATTAAATTTCATATACCTTCTCCTTGATGGTTAAATACAAAGAAAGAACTAATAACCATAAGGAACTTGTGAAAAGATTTGCTGGAATCTGTGTCGTACTTACAAGATGAATACCATTACACCTAAAATGTAACGGAGGAAACACAATTTTTAAAAAATTATACTACAGAAACCAGAAGACAACTTTAGAAAGTATCTTGTACATAATTTTCATAAAGGCAAAAAAATCACTAACTATGAAAAAGAGATAAAATAGAAAATGATGTAACTGCAGACTGATTTTAAAAGAGAGCTCTATTATATCAAGAAATATTTCAGGAAACCATAAATGCAAGAAAGGAGTATAAGACAGAAATAGCACTCTAAAATTTAATCAGCAATGCAGAGAACACATTTGAGAATTTTTTTCAAAATTAAAAGATAAAGAACAAAGAAGTAAAAAAAAATTAATGTAGAAAGCATAAAAGTTTTGAACTCAGGAGAATTTAAGTTCATAAAAACAAATCATACTGAATAGGAGTAATATTCAAATAATAAATAATTGTTTCCTCAGTTGAATAAACATTTTAATTTACAGATAGAAAACATTCAGGAAACACCAGGTGAAATAAATGAAAAAAAAAGAACATGATAATATATGAACTCAACTTAAATATGCTATATACTAATTTATTATTGTTAAATGTGTGCCACCATAGCAAATACTAAGTAATATACTGTTGAATTAATTAATGGAATATAGCATAAAATAAACATCAAAAGGCCAATAGTGAGGTTTCCAGAATTTTGCTTCTGGCAATGAGAGATTAGTACCAAATTCCCTTCAGCTGTAAGCAACTAGAAACTGGCACAAAATATATGAATCATTGCTTTTCAGATATTGGATGACAGTCAATGAAGACAGTGATCCTTGAGGAAATAAAACAGATGAAGTGAAGCCCATGGACCACTCTGCACTCTGCCTAGATGCACTCTCTGGAAGCTCATTATCTTGCTGAGTTAAATAGAAATCAGCCTTCAGTGAGGCTGAGGAGACTGCAGAAGGAGGTATAAAGGACTACAAAAATTGACACAGAGGTCTTCTAGACTTTATTGGTGAACACAAAGAGGCATTAGCACAGGGTGAACCTGCACACAGCATGGTGGAGGACTCCTGGAATTCATTAATGGTTTATTTGAGTTCTGACCAGCTAGAGTGGAGAGATTTTATTGAGCAAGTGGGACATTCAGTGAAGACAAAAGAAGGGTTATAATACAGGAAAACGTTTATTATTTGAAAAGATCAGGAAGATTAATAAATCCCAAAAGACTGCTTAATAAAATACAGAAGAGGTGACAATTAGTGAAACAGAGATGAAAGAAAAGCTATCACTATCACTTCTACAGACATTAAAAGGATAATAAGGTTGTATAATAAAAACTGTAGGTCAACAAATGTCAAATTAGATGTAATGAAAAAATTCCCCACAAACCAAAAATTACCAAAATAGTCACAAGAATAAATAGAATACATATATAATGTTTCCACAAAAAAAAACAACTCTAGGTCTGCATGGCTTCACTGGTTAATTATATAAAATATTTAAGGAGGAAATAATAACAAATCTATAGAAATAATTTCAGAAAATAGAGAAAAAAGAAACACTTCTTAGTTTATTTTATGAGGCCATTATTACACTTATATCAAAATCAAAGAAATTACAAGGAAAAAAGCTCTATTAATCAAAATTATGCATAAACATGGACACAACAGTCCTTGACAATGTATTACACAATTAAATCCAGAAATATATAAATAGGATAGTTTATGACAAGTATATTTTATCCTAGGAATTCAAGGTTGGTTTAACATTTAAAAAGCAATTGATATAACTGTATATTAATAAAATGAAGGGGACAAAAATTAATAGAAGTGGTAAAGCATTTGATAAATTCAACATTCCTTTGTGATACAAACTCTCAGCAAACTAAGTAAAGAAAGTAACTTTCTCAACCTGATAATTGTAATCTACAGAAAACCTATAGCTATTATCATACTTCGTAGAGGACGGAATGAATACTTTCCCTCTAAGAATAAGAACGAGAAAAGAATATCTGCTCTCACCACTGCTATCTGTTATTAAGCTGGAGGTCCTAGCTATTGCAATAATGTAAGAAAATGAATAATATGTATACAGATTGGAAAGAAAAGTGTTAAATTCTCTGAATTTATGAGTGGCATGATTGTGTACATAGAAAATTCAAAGCAATCTACAGAAACACAAATATTAATAGGTGAATTTAACAAGGGTTTATGATTACAATACCAATATATAGAAATCAAGTTTATTTCTGTATATTGGCAACCAATTGGAAAATTTAATTAAAAATCCTATTTACAGGGTCATCCAAAAGCATAAAATATTTAGAAATGAATTTTTAAAGATATGTATAAGACTGTTCACTTGAAACTACAAAACATTGCTGAGGAAATATAAAGGAAATCTCAATAAAAAAGAAGAGACAGTGCGCCATATCCATGGGTTGGAAGATGATAGTTTTAAGGTGTCAGTGCTTCCCAAACTATACATATGCTCAACAAAATTCTAATCAAAATCTCAGCATATTTTTGGGGAGGAATTGACAGTCTGACTCAAAATAGCCATACACATATGTTCCACTGATTTTCAGCAAAGAGGCCATGATGATTAAGTGGGGAAAAAGATTCTCTTTTCAATGTATGGTGCTCAAAAAACTGAATATTTATATGGAAGAGAATAAACATCCATTCTTACCTCATGTCATACACAAAAACTCAACTCAAAATGAACCACAGTTCATATAAGAGCAATAATTATACAACTTCTAGAAAAAAAATACGAGAAAATATGTGTTGGCCTTGAGTAGGTAAATATTTCTTAGACCGAAGGCAAAAAGGACAAACTGAAGAAGAAAACTTAAGCAGTTAAACCTCATCCAAACTGAAATCTTTTACTCTGTGGATGTGTAAAGAAAATGACAAGATAAGACACAAAATGGAAGACAATATTATCAATGCATTTATTTGGCAAATGACTTGTAACCATAATCTATAAAACAGTCATAACAACTCAATCCTGAGAAGACAAATTATCCGTTTTTTAAAATAAGTAAAATGTTTAAACAAATACTTCACCAAAGGCCAATGAGAAAGATCAATAATCACATGAAAAGAGGCTCAACATCAAGCAAGTCAAAAAGAAAATGCAAACTGAAACCACAATGAACGCCTCTTCCCACATTCTAGGATAAATAAAAACTTAAAAGACTGAAAAAGAAAGTGTTAAGGAGGATGTGGGAACAAGTCAAATTCTCATATATTGCTGGTAGGAATGTCAAAATTGTACAACCATTTTGGAAAATAATTTGGTGGTTTCTTCTAAAAATTAACCATACAATAACATATGACCTAGTAATCTCTATGTATTTATATAAGAAAACGTTCATAGCAGTTTCATTTATGATAGCCAAAACTAATACTAATTCAAATGCTCATCAGAAAGTGAATAGATTAAAATTTATATTAGATTCATACAGTGAAATTCTATTGAGTAATGAGTAATGAAAAGAAACTTTGATACACAAAGCAGAAGGAATAAATTCAAAAAACATTATGCTGAGCCAAAAAAACTAGATCTGAAAAAGAACACATATGATTGCAATCATGTAAAGCTCTAGAATAGGTGAAACCAAACTGTAGCAAGAGAAAGCAAAGCCACATTTCCTGGGGTCCGGGCTTGGGGGTTAGGGGTTGCTGAAATACACTGGAGAGGGACATGTGTTGAGAATGTTCAACAGTGGTGATTACAGTGGTGGTGACACACACAGACACATATACACACATATGTGTAATTGTACACTTTCAAACTGCACACTTTAAGTGGTCGCATTTTATCACGTGCAAAATACACCTTAATAAAGTTGGTTAGAGAGTTCACAATCGTTCTAAATCTATCTTTTTAGCTTTTTCCATATTTTATAAATTCTTTCTCCAAATACCTGTATTAATATTTTCATCAGTGATAACCTAATAAAAATATTTTTATATATTTTTATTGCTCATGTCAAAGACCCCACGTAAGCACTCTTTGCAAGCAACTTAATCAACTCTACCTGATATAATAGTAATGTATAAAAACTACAGTCTTTAAAATCTTCCTTACTGTGTGTGTGCGTGTGTGTGTCTGTGTGGGTACACATATTGGTAGGTTTTCTTTTACTGATGACATACTGGACTCATCATTTTAAAAAGAAAAGAAAACCTGCAAGACACAACTAGCCTTTGCATGTATAATTTTCCCCATCAGTCTTGCTGAAGCTGACCCGTACAGCTTCTGGCCTTGTAACATATCTGGGTGTGGGCAGTGGCAGGTGGGAGCCTGGCAAGCCAACCACAGGCAGAGTGAAAACACCTGAAAGCACCTGAGCCATGGTGAGGCCAGCGTCGGATCAGAAGCAGAAATGAAGACGATATGAATTTTAACGAGTTAAACATAGTGCAAAATGAGACAGAGATAAAAATAGATCAGATAGAGTCTCAAAAGTGAGATTCAATTCTTCTAAATGTCCGAGAAAGCTAATTCTACAATTGGACCCTTGGCAGCTAAGGCTAACAAAGAAATTATGTAGTATTACTTAATTATCCTTTTCCACTGAAAGAAAGAGCATGCTGGTTTTCTGAAAGAAAATATGTTCCTGGAGAAGAACTCAAGACAGAATTTACTATGAGGATAATGAATCTTTGGTAACGAGGTAAATGGTCTCTTCAAGAGAATTTTGAACAAGGCAGAAATCTTGCTCAAAGACACTGTTCTTGTACCCAAGACTGCAGAGGTGAGACTAAGATAGAGACCTGATGAAGATGGCTAATTTGGGACACAAGGTTACGGTAATTTTTTAATCTGATAACCTAACAATACAATGCAAGTAGGACTAGGAGGGGACAGAATGTGCTTTATAAAGACTGATATGCCTATTAAACAGTCTGTCAAATATCAGAAATATTAGGATAGCCTTTGGCGAGTGCCGGGGCTCAGACGGTTTACGATTGAATTTTCTAACAGGTACCTGTAGTGCAGGCGTTCTATGTTGCTGTGATGGCCATATGCTTTAGATACCAGATGGAAAGGAAGGTGTCATTCTGCTGGAAAGTTGAGGAGACAGACAGAAGGCTATCTCACTTCAGAGCAGGTGGAGACAGCAGGGTTTCTTTCAGGGAGAGCCAGCATTTTCTTCGGGGAAGAGATTTCTATCTTCTAAAGTACTTAAGCATGTGTTTGCTTAAGACCTCAAAGTTCTAAACAACCTCGGAAAAAAATGGCATTAGCTTGAAAATTTTTAAGACAGGTCTTGGAGCTGACCACCTTATCCATCAAAGGAACTTCAGCATTCATTCTGTGGAATATCTATCTTTAGACAGACTACACTTTGATGTGTTTTGCCAAGATGACTAAGTTACAAGAGGAGCTAAAAACGTCACCTGTGCATTGGGGTTATATCTGTTTTACCATGTTTACGCTCATGAATGCCTTACAAATTCTGTGTTTGCAGTTTGGGTAAGAGTAATGCAGAGATGCTCAAGTTCACATTCTTCTTGAGAACAATTACTAAAGTCAACAGAGGTTGGAGGAAAGCAATTGCTTAATTCAGCTTTATTTAATGACCCAGATGATTACTGAGCACCCTCCAAGATAAAGAAAGAGTAAAATACAGAAGCTGTAGGGAATTTTTTTTAAAATAGTAAAACCCAGTGCCAGAGAGCTTGACATATACAGCCATGATTGTGTGATTGATCTTTTAGATTTATCGTGCTATTTAAATATGAAAATAGAACTAGAAAACATGTTAAAGTCAAGCTCCAATTGATAGCATTTAAATTAGAGGTTGTACCTGCAGGAGGCTATTCCCATCATCAACACTGGTTAGCAGAAGGGTTTAGAAGCACGTCTGAAGAGGCATTCTTAGACTAGGCTCTGTTGGCTACAGGCTATTCCTGTCCATTGAGCTAAACACTAGTTTAATGAGCACTGAAAATAGGCTTAACTTTAATTATCATGTGTTTTCTTTCATGTGAGGAAATTTTATAAGTGGAATTATATAAACTCTGGCTTCCTATAAACATCCATGCATATGCTATTTTGTGAGCATTAGTATTACTAAATCTTCACTTGCTATTGTGTTTGATAACTAAGACCAAATGTTTGAAAATTAACTACAAAAACTAAACTCATTAAGGTAAACAGATTACTCTTTAAAGTTCCCAAGTTAAAATAGTTCTCAACCCATTCTAACTTTCAGTAACCTTTTGATTCTGTTACAGTTTTACTTAGAGTCCCTCTACCCTTGGGATAAAACAACAGTTTATTATGATATAATATTTTATAGTTAATTGTTCAATTCTATTACTAATATTTAAATGATATATTTGTGCCTATACACAAAAATGAAAATACTTCACAGTATTTTTATTAGATTTTAATATTAACATAATACAAGATTATTATTATTATTATTATTATTATTTTATTTTTATTTTTTTTGAGACAGAGTCTCTCTCTGGCGCCAGGCTGGAGTGCAGTGGCATGAGCTCGGCTCTCTGCAGCCTCCTCCTCCTCCTCCTGGGTTCAAGCGATTCTCCTGCCTCAGCCTTTGGAGTAGCTGGGGCTACAGGCACGCAGCACCATGCCCAGCTAATTTTTGTATTTTTAGTACAGACGGGGTTTCACCATGTTGGCCAGGATGGTCTGGATCTCTTGACCTCGTGATCCACCCACCTTGGCCTCCCAAAGTGCTGGGATTGGGTGTGAGCCACGGCGCTCGGCCAATACTGGATTTTTAAACCAAATTTGGAAGTTTTATTGTTTTCTATGCCATGGGATAGTTTAAATATTATAGGAATTTAAAGGTTAGTTGAACCTCAGCTGTGAACCCTTCTGGTCCTCGTGCCTACTAAAAATGACAGGTGCTTAAGTTGATCTGTTCAGCGTTTCTACTTTCTAGATGAATTTTGGTAGTTAGCATTTTGCTAGGATAGCATCCATTTTTTTCTATGTTGTTATTGAGTTTCACATAGTATTCCTATAAAACACTTCAATCTGTCTGGACTCAGTGTTTTGTTGTGATTGTTTCTTTTCTCTTTTCTTAGTCCTAATTGTGTCTATAATTGTTTTCTCTGTTTTCTTCTTCATCAGACTCACAAAGGACTTTTCAATGAATTGGCATTTGAATTTCCTCCCCTGCTCTTTTTAATTTGTTCCTTTGTTTGTTTTTAATTCTTGATCATATCCATGTTAAGTCCGTCATTTTAGGTCTGTTTAATTATTTTGTTGTTCTTTCTGTAATTTCTTAAGATGAGTTACTATATTCTTCAATTTATCTATCTTCTTACTGTTAGTTTTTTATGAACTATGCCAACTTAAAAAAATTTATTACTCTTTCCCATTATAATTATTTTTGTCAGATCCTTCCTGCCTTATGGATCATTTCATTTTATATAATTGCCTATATATTATATAGTATATGGAGATTTATACCTAATACATCTTAATCTTTATCCATTTGGTGGCTCTCTTTTGTATTTTTATTTGTAATTTTAAAAATTTATTTTAATTTTTTGACTGAGTCATTGGTAGATATTCTTTTGTATTTTTAGACCTTCCATTCTACGTTATTAACAGTTATAGTCTTCCGTGCTGACACAATCAGACGTGTTTTCTCTCTATTGTTTGAAAACAATATAAAATATAACTTCCTCACCAAGACTGACTTTCACCCATCAAAATGCCCGATTTCCTTTCCTATCCTCCCTCATTAGATGTAATATTTGGGAAATGTTTCTTCCTCCTCCCCACTTACCTCACAGCAAATCTTTGGTATTTTTTAGGGTGCTTCTCCCACTTTCTTTTCTTCCAACTTAAAGTTCTAGTTATAATGTAGTGTTCTAGGCAGCATTTAGACTTTTTTGGGGTCCATGCTCTCCTTTTCAAGGGTGGGTTTGAACACATTCTCGGGCAATCTCTCCGTGGCCACCTGGGAAGGAAGATAGGCGCTTACTTCTCACCCTCGTTTCTTCTTCCTCACCCCTCCCTCCCTGCGGTCTCTGTTCTGGCTCATTACCCGTTTGCTGAGCTGTTCTTGAGTGTTTCCTTCCAGGGGGCCGGGGTCTCTGCGTGGAGCACTCTCTGAATGAGTGTCGACTCTCGAAATCTTTCTTCTGCTCTGACAAGTGAATGACATCTTGACCGAATACAGGAGTCTAGTATTGCAGTCCTTTTCTCTCAGTCATCGCTGGATGTTATGTTTCTTCTAGCTTCCTGTGTTGCCGATGATTCTATTTCTTTTTCCTTTGTAAGTGACTGGTTCCCTCTACACAAGAGTTCCTAAAGTTATATAGTTATATAGAAATCGGAAATTTCATTGCAGTTAAGAGTATTTTAAAAAGACACATGCCCAGTGAAATAGAGATGCTGAAGATGACAAAGTGAATTTAAAAATAATAATAATAATAATAAAGAAGAAGATTTAAGGGGAGCTCAGAAGTATTGCTGCAGTTAAAAGAAAAAAAGAAGAAGGAAGAAGAAGAAGAAGAAGAAGAAGAAGAAGAAGAAGAAGAAGAAGAAGAAGAAGAAGAAGAGGAAAGAAGAAGAAGAAGAAGAAGAAGAAGAAGAAGAAGAAGAAGAAGAAGAAGAAAAGAAGAAGAAGAAGAAGAAGAAGAAGAAGAAGAAGAAGAAGAAGAAGAAGAAGAAGAAGAAGAAGAAGAAGAAGAAGAAGAAGAAGAAAAGAAGAAGAAGAAGAAGAAGAAGAAGAAGAAAGCATGGGCCGGGGGCGGTGGCTCTCGCCTGTAATCCCAGCACTTTGGGAGGTGGAGGCAGGCGGATCACGAGGTCAGGAGATCAAGACCATCCTGGCTAACACGGTGAAACCCCGTCTCTACTAAAAATACAAAAAATTAGCCGGGTGTGGTGGCGGGAGCCTGTAGTCCCAGCTACACGGGAGGCTGAGGCAGGAGAATGGCGTGAACCCGGGAGGCGGAGCTTGCAGTGAGCCGAGATCGCGCCACTGCACTCCAGCCTGGGCGACAGAGCGAGACTCCGTCTCAAAAAAAAAAAAAAAAAAAAAAAAAAGCATGCTTCTCAATGAAGAAAACAACACATTTTGTAGTTAAATGAAAACAGAAAGTGTCACTGTTGAGACTCAAATTAGTGGCCTACAATAAAAAGTGTAAATTATATTTCAAAGTACAGATTAAAAGGATAAGAAGATGGCAATTATGAATATGGACATAGAAGTTTAATATGCAAATAAAAATTATTTCATATGGAGAAAAAGATTGATAAGATCAAGGTAAAATCCGAGCAAATCATAGAAAATTATTTGGGCAAGCTGAAGAGAGACCTGAGCCTCAGTGGGTTTGCTCTATTCCAGGATAGACTGATGAGAAAAACACATGCCATTTTGCACGTGTTTTATTGCACCATCATATTGCAATGACATTTCTGAATCTTGATAATCTATTATTTTTCTTCAATACATTGGGATTCAGGTAATGTTGTGAAATTACTACATAGGTGAGGGGAGATAAAGTGGTCTCTTACTCTGGGTGGTATAAAAATAGTAAAGTCTCCCCTACTGACACACATTTCCTTTTACCCTCATGGCCTCAGAGGCAAGAAGGATGCATCCCATGTATTCAGCCCCTTCTAGGCTTCCTGGTCATTTGAGAGAGTCAGGCCATTCAAAGTAGGCAAATGTTGCAATGTCAACCTTCACCTGGGGTCCTCACAGACTGTTGTGGTATAGGCTTGCCTTAAGATTCCCCACTTTCTGGTCCTGGACAAAAATACCCTGTGGCTAATATCTAGTCCTCTTACAGCTCACAAGACAGTAAGTCCTGTGGGAATTCTCTCCATAGCAATTTCAGCAGTTACTAGCATCAGAATTGCCCTTTGGTCCCAGATGTGTGAGTCAAGAGGCACAGATTAAAGTTGCAAGTAAGGAGAAAAGAGAAACATTCAGATCTGCACTGCAAAGTTTGTTTTAATCATTCGGAAATATCTTTGGAGCAATCTCTATCACACTCAGAATACAAATAGCAGCAATAACTACTACTAATTAATATTGATGCTTTAAGGTTTACAAAACACATTTGATCTTTGAAGTCACCCTGTGTTATGGGTGTTATTGTGAGAAAATAAGTTCAAAGTGGTTTAGTGCGGTGCCTATGTGTACAAGTTGGCAAAAAACAACAACAAAACTAAGGCTTTGTCTCTCCAAGTCCAATGATTTTTGCATAATCATTTTAACAAGCAAGAGGAGGTCAAAGCTAGTTTCAGCCTACTGACTTTAATCTAAGTGTATAATAAAGTAGTAAGGTGTATGATAAAGCAAACAACTCCCAACATCAAGATGAATAAGGTACTTGCAGATATTCTGGCAAAGGAGGAGTTATTTTCTTTAATCCAATGCAGTGTTATCTTTCTAAAGCCAAGGACAGTATCATTTTTGCTTGCTTGTTTTTGTCTGTGTTTATCCTTTTATTAAATGTAATGAGTGAGTGTAAGTAATACATACATCAATATATGCATACAGAGAAATCCACATATCACGGATGTACAACTTATAAATTTTCCTAACTGAATACAACTATGTAACTACCACCCAGGTCAAGCAACATAACATCACTCACATCTGAGAAGGCCCCTCAGGCTCCTTCACAATCTTTGCCTCCCCTGACAAAGACAGCTATGACCCTGACTTCCAACAGTTTAGAAGACTTTTGCAAGGACAGTCTTACTTGCCATTCTACACACATCATGTAACACAGAATATCTGCTGTGTTTGATAAGTATCTGTCGGATGTGTGAATGAATGAATGCATCAGTGAATAACTGAGTGAGTCAGTGATTAAATGAAGAGACCCTTAGAAGACGAAGTGTTACCAAATATGGCTTTGGAGGGAGAGTTTGAAGTGAGGTTCTGAGCTTAGCTGGTTGTTTAATTTGAGGCAAGTTGTTTAACCTCATTGAGACTCAGGTTACTTATCTATAAATAGAAACAGCAGTGTCTATCCCATAGGACTGTTTGTCATAAGCCTAAGGTTAATGTATATAGAACCAGTGCCTGGCACCTGTAGGCTATAACTGATACGTAATAATTGTTATTACAAGAGAGGGATCCAGCTATCTGCATTTGGGGCATGAATAACCTCCTTACCCTGATCTTTTCTGTTTTAAATAACTTTCAAATCCTTTCAGAAATGATACAATTTTAATACAGTGGAAAATGTGTAACCATACCCAGCATATCCTAGCAAAAATAAAAACAGTCATGTACCTCATAAATATATACCTACTATCTACCCATAAAAAATAAAAATTAAAAAAACACACAAAAATAAACAACAAATGCAAAAGAAACAAACAGAAAATATTTGGTGGGTAATGCAACTGGTTCGTGTCCTGGAGTAAGTTTGGGTGGAGATCTGGTTTTCTGTTCCTTTGCCTGCAGTGCCTGCTGGTGATAGTATGTTCTCAGATTTCTGACACTCCAGGTTTGAATTATTCCTGGTGGTGGTGACTCACCAGCCAAGCCGGGTTGGATTTAAGCTGGGATAGATCAATCAAATTCCCACTCTACACCTTGGGTGTTCGAGTCCCACAATAATCAAACCTCATGTGATCTCTACCACTACAGCCCATATTCTTCATCTCTATTTAATGCCATCACCACCTCTTCATAAAACTCCACCTTTCTGGCCACCACCCCCAACCTCATTGCTTCCTCCCTCTGTGGCTTAGACGGTGATGCTGAGATGTCCATAACAAATGGGCACGGTGCCTTCACACTGCTCTTTCTGAAACGCCACGTGCAGCCCCTTGATCTTTGAATTGGTATTGCTTTCATCTGGCTTTCCAGTTAAGAAGAGTGGCAATTCGTTTCATATGTAAGAAGAAAGACTGGGCTTTAAAAAGGTTTGTTTTCTGTAGATCTAGTCAAATATTTCTTTAGAATATAAATACTTATGGAAGAAGTCATATTCACATTAGTTAAGTTGCTTAATTTCTCTTACTAACCGGTTATCTCTACTGTAAAATGGAGACAGTCTGGATTGGATTCTCCAGAGAGCAGTTAGGGAAATGCACATATGGAAGGTGAGTGGACAGAGTCCCATTAAAGTGAAGGCCCTGGAACCGCTCCTTAGCGAGAATCGCCAACGTACTTAGAAGGGCTTTTTAGTATTTCCATGATCGATCTACATAAAAAATAAAACTGCAACACACGAAGGACTACCCATGAATGTGGACCAAGAGGTTTGTAGGGAGTCTGCTATGTTGGAAGAGTAATTTTCCTATTAGTAATAATGGTAATGCTACTATTATTTGGTTGCTATCGTTTTTTTCATTGTTACTATTAATGATAATAAGGACATTAATTTGTTCAGTGTCTGTTGAACTTTGTGAGGTGAAAGACCATCTCTGTCTTTTTGTACCCTATCCTCAGCACTTAATATTTAGCACCAGCTAGGTTCTCAGGTGACTCAATGACTGAATAAATGAGAGACAGATACACTGTGCCCAATACTTTACTGTGTTATGTTCTTTAACTTGAAGCAACTCTAGCAAATAGCAAGCATTATCTCCATCTTACAGATTTTTAAAACTGAGTAGCAGAGATGTTAAACAATTTCTCAAAGCCATAGCACCTATGTGTTTCCATCCCGGTCAGTCTGATTCCAAGAAAGTCTAAACAGCACTTACCACTGCTCTGTAATAGTTCAGGTTTACAAGGTGGAAGCCTCCTTTAGACCACTGGAAACCCCTATATTATCCTGTCACGCTTCCCACCTCCCACCCTATTATTTTCAAAAATGGGGATCGGCATGCTAGTTAGAGGTCCTGGCAGAAGTTTCTGGAAGGCGAGGTTGAAAATGTTGAGGCCTGTGCATGGATCTGAGCATCAGCATACGGGCTGAGGGCCAGCTCTACCTTCCAGCTGCTGTGCTGGGCTCTGCTTCAGGTCATTTCTATACCAAAGAAAGGTAGATTGGAAGGTTCTGACCATGGAACCACAAGAACGACTAGAGTGCTGGAGGGATTGACTGGTGAGATAAGATTAAAAGACCTCAATATTTATCATTTTTCTAAGCCGAGACTGTGGGACAGATGGGATAACCATCGACAAATATTTGCTAGGTGTAATCACTTCAGACTACTGAACTCATGGACGGTTCTCCAGGCAGGGACATGCTGCTTGTCAGAAGGGAATGAAGGGGGCTTGGAGGGTGTGGAGTGCCACGGTGCGTGCTGATCCTCCTTGACACCACCTCTGTGTGCAGGGCCTGTCTCGCACCTCTGGCTTGGGAGGGTAGATCATCTCTGCACCTCCCCTGTGAGCAGTCACACTGCTGTTTTGAGTACAAGCCAATCACCAGGATAAACGTTTTGTAATGGCCCAACTTAAGGCAATGGAAGAAAGGGACAAATCCTTCAACGCAGTGATCCTCATGTAATTGATCTGCAATAGCCATTAGCCTAAAACTCACCTTCCATCTACATGCTCCGTAGTTTCTGTGTAAGCGAATGCTGTCACATGAGGCGTTTGCCTTTCCTCCCCACCCGCCGTTTACTACTTTGTTCCTTGGGAGTCAGCCTAAGAAAGAAAGAATTTTACTCCTTGCTGCTTTTTACCTATTCATTCACTGAGTTCTACAAGTGCTTGAATAAGAAATGGCAATAGACCGACACAAAATAAGTGCTGGATGAGTGTTGAATGAATGAATGAATGAATGAGTAGTGCATATACGGGCAAAACTGCACCTTTTAGAAGTCATTTTTAAGACACAGTGTCCTAGAATGCATCTAAAAGCAGAGATAGCTTGTGTAGGACTTAGAACAATGGTGAGCTCCACACACCATGTGAAAAGCATTCATGTACTTTGGAAGCCCCTACCTAGATTATGCTACATTAAAGAAAAAGCCCAGGCAGAAAGCTGCCATAGGTAACGGCCTCCACAGAGAATATATGATGGCCACCCTTGTCACTGCAGGGAGTGTTGGGTAACCAAGGCTTTGGAGTTAGGGGAACCTGAACCCGCATGTCAGTGCCTCTCCTCACTGGAGGGGCAGCCTTGGGCAGGCTACAGAAGTACTCAGCCGTGCTCCTTCCTGGACCCTGTAGCCAAAGGGGGGGAAAAAAACAGCACTAGTGATGTGGTCTTTATTTAAACTGTTCACATCTTGTTTATTCTTTACTTTTTCATTAAAAGTATTGTATTAAAGTATGCATCTCAATCGCTGAGTTTTTTGTCACCCACTTAAATTTCACTCCAGTGGTGAAGGCTTACTCACGGCAGCCTAATCCCAGCTCTCTCGTATCTCTTCTTCTTCATTTGAAAAATAGGATAATCATTTCTTCCTTATAGGGTTGTTGTTAGGATTTAATGAGAGAATGCAGTGCCCAGGCGCTCCTAATATATGCTTAATAAGTGGGAGATGTTATTGTTATGAGCTATTTACTTAGCATCACTTAAAAAGGGAATAGTGATATTTTAGGACTGTCCTTAAATACACTATTGGTATAAAGTCAAATGCTTGATATGCAGCTTGTGGAAATGATACCTGGTTGCCTCCAAGCTGCCCTTTATTGCTCTTGTTTATTCGTCTGTCTCATAGCCAGACACTGCTCTGTCAGGATACAGCATGATGTTTGCATAACGGGAGTCCCCGCGAGAACCCTGGTCCCACAGAGTCATGGGAGACCCTTGTAGGAGCTTGATTCCCATGTAGGCCAGTACAGTGCCAGTGCCCATAAGTTCAGGGCGAACAGCAGATATTTACGGCATTTTCTTTCTGTGCTGGGCATTGCCTGAGGTGGTGACAGTGTAGTGGTTCAGGTCATGATACTGCCTTGTGGGAGCAGTTGACTGGGGTTGGGGGGTGGTGGGAGCACAGAACTCTCAGAGTGATGGAATGCCTGCACCATGGCAAGAATGCACAGGGTGCTCCTGAACCATAGAGACCGCCTGCCTTGTCTAGTGTGGAGGGATCACTTTATTGGAGTAAGCGATGCCTGAGCTGCAGCATGGAAGTGGTTAGGATATTCCAGATGGGAGGAAGGGAAAAAGGTGTTTCAGATTGAAGAAGTTGTGTGCAGGGGCAATCAGCTGCCAGCCAGCATGTGCATCGAGGTGTAATGATCAGTGCCAAACAGGAAAGCGTAACTCACACTAGTTATTTTCCCGGGGGAAATCTAGGGAACTGGCCACAGGAAGTTGAAGGACTGGAAGGGCAAAATGAAATATCGAAGCCCTCCTGCAGCTGGGGAAACAAAGGAAAAGGTTAAGGTGGTCAGAAACTAGAACCTGTACCTGTGGAAGAGGCCATGCACAGGTGCGGCCCAGCCCTCTCAGGAGTAGAGGCTGCTGCCTGCCTGGCTGTGCTGGTGTCTCAGGAGCACGCAGGAGGCAGGAGGGTCACGCGGAGCTGGGAGTTGGGCCTCTGCAGAGGGGCATTGCTGCTGCTGCTGGTTCCTATGACGGTGAATAGTAGGTGTTGAAGGAAGATGGAAGCAGAACTCACTTCCCCTGGAACTAGTGGCTGCTGCCAGTATGAAGGGCCTTTGCAGGGAAAATGCCACAGGAACCGCAGGCCAACACAAAGGGGCAAGTGCCTGTCCCCTTTTCTGCCTTCCACCCTTCTTAGTGACCCCTTCTGAGGAGCCAACAGGAAACCAGTTGACAAAGAAGAAATGGAGTGTGTAGAGTCCCAGCCTCAACATCACAAGGCAGCATAGAGAGGGTGCATCTGGAGCTGAGAGACACAGGAGCTTATCAAGAACGTGGGATGGCCTCGACATCAGCGCATGCGTAAGGTGAGAGGCTGGAGCTGGCACAGGGTAGGGCCCTGGGGAGGATAGCACAGTAACAGCAGTTCTCTGTCATGCACCAATGACGGCAATGCCTGATCTATCAGGAGGATGCCTCCCTGTCTTCCTTCCTCCTAGAGAGAGTGGCATTAACAAGTCAGTGTAGGAGTTGCATTTATTACACTTACAAATAGTCAAAAGTGATCCTGAGCAATTCATTGAAAATATTTAGCTAATGATGAAATAGAAATATCTTTCTTCCTTTTGTTTTCTCTTAGTAAAGCACTTAATTGTTTAAAGACTAAAGGAAATATTAATACTTAGAAGGCTCTAATAATGTAATTCTAATTTAATGCTTTTTAGCACAAAAAAGATTTTGACTAATGTGTTTAGTAAGTAATGGTTTTCCTGAGTAATCTTTACAGCAAGTAAATGACTTGAGATCATTTATTAGAAACTAGTGAGGTATGTTTTTCGTTGTTTTTTCCTTGTGGTTTTCAAGGGTGAGTAAAAGGACATCAATAAAACAGTGAAAGGCAGATTGACAACTATCTCTGCTCCACATCTCCATCCACACATTGTTATAGAACATTTGCTCTAGGTGGGACTCTGTAAGGGGGGGCAGGATGCAGCAAGCCGTAAAAAGTGACCTGGCTCCTGCCCTCTAGGAACTGATAATGGAAATGAAGACACTGGGTGGACAAAGAGCATTTGAGTATGACTATGGCAACACATTTGTTTATTCCGGATAGAATCGAAGGAAATATGAGACAAATGGGACCTGTGCAAAGATATGCCTTTTCCTCTAGTTGATGACCCACTCTGGGAGTTGTTACTTACTTTTATGTTCTTTTGCTGATGAAGGCAAGAATCCCTCAAATATTGAAAAGTAATCACACAAAGTATGGTAATGGTAATGTGTATAAATCAATAATGCAGTTTAGAACAATTACCAACGTAACTCCCAGGTGTCTTTTCTCACAGATGGATTTTTATATTTGCTAGAAAATAACAATTACTTTAGTATGTATCACTAATTAAAAACTGTTGAATAATTTTCAACAGATATTAAGTAATTATTGGCAATTCCATGTCAGCACCAGTAAATAATAATCTCACCTTGTATCATATAATTAAAACTACAATGGCCCCCTCCACAAATTTTAAGCAGTCATAAATAATTCCAATTGTGCACAAGTAGCAGCCACGCATTCAACTCGGTTTTGTTTGTAATTTAAAATGACATTTTTCATTTGATGGCTGATTTATGAAATTAAAAAAAAATGAATTTACCTTTCATAATGGTCTAATGCCCTTTGGGGATATAACAGATGTTCGACTGCCCAAGGTTGGCAGCTGGGCAGAAAAAAAATTAGCCAAGCATGTTGATACAAGACCTAAACAAGAAAAGGGTAGTAATAATGGGTGTCAGGGTAAAATAAATTAACTGAAGGTTTGCCGTAGCGTGGTCCTCATGATCTCCATCTTGTTGTGTGTGGGTGCATGGGCTGCCGTCTGCAGGCTCCCCTGGGCATCTGTCTGCTCCTCTTCCCAGTCGCCATTGTTATCATGGACGTAGCCGAGAACTGGCACAGTGCTGCAGTTGTTTTTTCTTCTCCTGCAAGGGAACAACATCTAGGAAAGAGGGAAGATGGAGACTCCTCCAAATGCCTTATGCATCTGTCCTCCCGTGGCCTCGCTTCCCCCAGAAGGACATGGTAGCAGAGGTGGCAAGGATGGGGAGTCTAAAGCCTGACTACAAAGCAGATTCAGTTGTTCCACCTATCTATCTAACAAATATTTACTGGGCATTTACTATGTGCCATGTACTATGGTTGGTGCTGATTTTAAGGTTTCCTGACTTTTAAAAGGAGACGCAATAAACTTTCTTTATTCCTTCACCTCAAACAATTTAAGACCTATTGATTTGTATCCATAAAACAGTATGTGGCCATTGTCCATTTCTACTAAGGTGTGAATATCAGCTATTATATAGACAGAACATCTGCAACTCTATTGATTCAGAGATATCGTTCTGGGTCATTTAAGATGTCTGCAACCTCCTTCCCTGTAGATGGATAATAACCCTCTGTACTGGCACCTGCCTTGGGTTATTTAGGTGCTTTCAGGAAGCAGATGGTAACGCCCAGTGAACTTCTAACTGCTTGTTCAGTGATATCTCCCCTATTCGATCGCTATGGTCCATGACAGGAGAGTCCATGTCCGTATTAATTAACAATGCATTTCCAGCAATTAGCTCAGTGTAAATATTTGTTCAATTAATTATTGATTGAAATTCCAAAACAGAAAAAAGGGCAGACAGAAAATTTGCCAGCAACTCTTTTAGTAAAGCACTTTCTTGTTTAATTGTTAACTTTTTTGTTTAGTAAACGACTTCATTGTTTATAACTAATATCTCTCACTTTTTATAATCAAGAGTATACATCTTGAAAGATAAATATGGCCATACATACTATATCCCACCCTACCCCACTCTAATTAGGCTCATCCTATATGATCCATCCTTAGAGTGTGTACTTGAAACTATCGCATACTAATGCACAGAGTCAACCTGGAGTGGAATCCTCTGCACAGAATTCTTGGATGTCTAGCTCCTGGGACACATCAGGAAATGCTCTTTTTTGAGCTAATGGGCATCTTCACTCATTGAATCAAGAAGGCATATTGCAGGTGTACAAACAAATCAAAAAGGATTTTATTTATTTATTCTATATCCTCAGGTAATGTGGGGCCATACGTAGGGTAGGATTCATGAAGAGGTCTGGGTTGGAAAAGAGGGGAGGCAATTCAAGGCCCCTGAAGATCACAGGGAAACTAGAAGGGCTTTGGGTTTGGAGCCAGCCAAATACATCCCGGCTCAGTGGAGAGTTTGTTTCCATCTGTCCACCAGAATTGAGGAGGCAGGTTCTGGAGCTTTAAATCCAGTGATAGCTGATCCAAGCAGTAATGTCAAGTAGACTGTCTTCCCCAGGAGGGGTGGGCACAGGAGAGGACCTATAAGAAGGGAGCAACATGAGAAATAGAAGATCAGTATGTCTGACTTGGTGTGCCCTCAGCTAGAATCCTAGTGGCCTGCAGTTAACTATGGCAGCAGCCCAGTGTGATGGAAGGCATCTGGGTTTGGGTGTCAGGATGATTTTAGTTTGTATCCTAGTCCACCTCTCCCCATATATAAGAACTTACCTATTTTTTCTAACTTTGATGAAACTCCTTGCCTTTATTTGAAAATGGGGAAACAGTAGCCATCCCTAAAATTATTGGAGGATGTGATGAGATGATGGACATAAAGCACCTGGTGTGGTTCTCAGCACACTCTAGATCCTCAGTCAATCTTAGATCCCCACACATAGTGCCAAGCCAGCGGAATGGGTGATGCTGAAGGAATTGAAGCTCTCTCTAAAGTACACGTACTTACAAAGCAAACAGATTTTCAAACATGAAGGGTCTATGACTTTTGGAATCCGAGAACAGGATTTAAAGAAGTAATTGCAATCCCCATTGTCTCATCTGGTAGAATTTACCTAAACAAGTGGAGTTTCCCATTTTACTGAAAACAAACCAAGCAGGCTAAACGGTTTTACTTCCATTTTGCCCATCATTCTGTGTTTGTGACAGGAGACTGCTTTAGAGCTGTGAGCTTCACCTTCTATCCCTTCCTGGCCCCAAGGCTCTCCATGGGAATTGTGAAACACAGAACCACAGGTGTCTCCAAAGGAAGCAACATATCTTTTCTTCTCCCTGCAAAAGATTCATATAGGCTAAAGAAATTGCATGAATACATATCGCTTTGTTTAAATAACACTTGGTTTTGCTGCTTTTAATCATTGGTTCCCCTGAGCCTGGCATGCTTTCTGCAGCACACACTGGCTGCATACCTAACAGATATTTTGAATACAACAGCTTGACTCCCCTGCTGCTTGGATGATAGCAATTGCCTAGGTGTTCCATCCTCTTCCTTCTCCCCCGCTCTATGGTTGCAAGGAGATTTCAAGTGCAATTTGGCCTTGCACATCAAACAGCAATTTTCCTGCAGACATCACAACCTCCAAAAACTCTACCCTAATCAAATCTATCAAGCCCAATTTAGGGGTGAGCTTGTGTCTGTTTATCAAGGAAATGGAGTTGAAATTGTCCCCTTTAATGGAATCACAGCTGCCCACCATAATCTTTCACATGGATGTTTGAATTAATAGTAGGACGTGGCCCGTGCTCTCCAACCTTGGAATTTGATTCCGGTTATAGGAAATTGCTATAATTTCTGTTGGGACTCTCAGAGATGTTGGGGCATTTGGGGCTGGGGTTAGAATTAATATGTCAGAGGAATTTAAGAATTCAGAAGTGGTTGGGGGAAGATTAGCACTTTTACACAACACCCAATGAGTCACCTCTGCATCAAATCAAACCTGCTGTGACCCACGTGAACTACTTTTACCAAGTCAAGGAGAAAGAGCAGAGGAATGTTTTTTTCTGAAGTTCAAATTTTAAATGAGAACACAGCAGATATGGGTAGAATGCTATTTGTCCTTCTGAAGTGTAGGGCAGCTCACTTGAATCAATTGTGTGTTGGGAGTTGCCATACTGGGTGGCCAGCAGCCCAGCTGAGATGTCCAGGTCATCCCTGAGCGAGGGAGAAGGCCAGTAGCCAGTCCTGGGGCCCACTCATTCACTCCCATTGTTACCTTGGGACATTGTATTTCTCCTGAGGAAGCCTCAGTATCCCCTTAGAGGTTGTGTTCCGCTCAGCTTGGAGACAGAGCCTGTGGCAGTTTCGCCATAGCACAGGGTCATTTCACCTTTTAAAATGCCCTTACCAAAGGACATTCACTTCCTCTTTCAAGCACCTTAGCACCTTTTGTTTATATCTTGCTATGTAGACCCCTTTTTTTCTTGCACATTTTTGTGTTTGTATCCCGTGTCATCCTCATGCTACAGAAGGGAGGTAAACCATTCCTGATGCAGTATTGTAAATGAGGAAAGCCCAGCTAGATGACCTTTTCAATTAATGGTGGCACGGGAACCAGGCCGCCTTGCACAAACCCGTGCTCTTCCCGTAACACGTTCTGACGTCCTGTCCTGAACCTTTCTCTCAATCTCCTTGATCAGAATGTGAGCTGGGCCCATCTTTCCTGAGGCAGCATCCATGACCCCAGCCCTGTGCCACCCACACAGACCTGGTTACCTCTGACCTCTCAAGGAATTTTCTCCTCATATTACCCTCCCCTCAAGAATTCATTCTGATAGAGGGTATTTCAGGGAGACATGCCTTGTATAATTTTTTTAGGTGCAGTATAATAAAAAAAATTAAAATCCTAAAAAAACTAATTCTGAGCATTACAATGCATAGGTAAGAGAGAGTCTCTTTCCCTGAAATACACCTGAAGTTTTCCATCTTTCAACTGACAATAAAAGACTCCTAAATTAGAGAATCATAGACATTTAATACATGTGGGGAGAGAACCTATTCATTTTCTTCAAGAGTGGCTAATGCCTCTCAGAAAATTCTCCCATTTAGAATTAATTCAGCTTTTCTCTTGGATTCCTTTCTTGTTTCCTTTCCTCCTGCATTGTCGTGCCTCTTTTCATTTTACTTAGGGCCATTTGCATGAAAACAGCATTTCAGCTACTTGGGGTTTTATCTGCTGCCATTTACTCTCCCTCAGAATTCATAATTCCCTGCTATCGCCTCCAACTCTGCACCCACCACGCTTGGGCTGCCTTCAGGTAGGAGGGCACATGCCACCCATCCCCATGAGCAGCACCCTCTGTGGGAGCCTGGAGGCCTGGCTGTCCCCAGAGTAGCCTTGCTGGACAGAAGGATTGCCTGGTAAGTGATGCGTGGGGGTTAGGGCCGTGAGGGTGTGTGGCCAAGCTCTCTCCCTGTGCCATCAGCAGCTCTGCCCTTGTCTGTTATCAATGGTCGGTATGTGTGGGGAGTGCAGAAAGCTGTGGCTCCTTTCTCGTGCAAACAGAGTGCTGCGCTAACCTTCCTCACTGCACTCCGTATGGCTAACAAATAGTCAGAGCCTGAGAAACTGTGAAAAGAAAGCGAGAAACAAAAACTCAGTGTTATTTTCCCCCACTTTATACAATTGCCTCAGATTATTGATTGAGCTTTATCCATTATGCTGTGCAACAGCCTTTGCTGCTGTTGAGAATTGTGAAAGGGTGTCTGTTACTCAGGAGAGAGCCTGATGGGTTGTGGATGTGTTTGTGAGCAGACAGATGCAGCCCAGCTCCAGATTGTCGAGTACTGAAAGGACTATAGGCATCAGCCAATAATTCTAGCATGTCATGTACCTGGCACCCTCCATTTCCAGACACTTCACAGAGCTGTGAGGTAGCAAATACAGGACATTTGAATGAGATTTTCCCCCTATGGCAGGAGGTCATCCTCATTCAATTTGTGGGATGTTTTATTCCTTTCACTGACAAACTTAATTGAGAGGGGACATTATACACAGAGTTTCCTGGCATCTTCACGCTTCTTCATCTTTTGCCACCTGTTTCCTTCCCAGAAAACTCCTCTCTTGAAGTTTGTCACTAACGTATTTTGGGAGTGGGTTTTTTTTTTTCTTTCTTTTTCAGAGTCTCACTCTGTCGCCAGGCTGGAGTGCTGGAGTACAGTGGTGCAATCTTGGCTCACCGCAAGCTCTGCCTCCTGGGTTCAAGCAATTCTCCTGCCTCAGCCTCCCAAGTAGCTGGGACTACAGGTGTGCACCACCACACCCAGCTAATTTTTATATTTTTAAGTAGAGATAGGGTTTCCCTATGTTGGCGAGGCTAGTCTCAAACTCCTGACCTCAAGCAATCCGCCCACGTTGGCCTCCCAAAGTGCTGGGATTACAGGTGTAAGCCACTGCGCCCGGCCATCACTGACTTATTAATTATCAAATAAACTGGCTGAATCTCAAGCCAACCTACTTGTTTCTGCAGCACTTGCTCCCAGCCACCAGCTGCTCCTCTCTGTGAAATCTGCTTTCCTGGCCCTCCAGATTTTGACCTTCCTGCCTCCCCCGAACCTGGCTGCCTGGCCTCTGCCCCTTGTGGGCTCCTCCGCCTTGTCTGCCTCCTGAGTGAAAGCATTCTCTAGAGTTCTGTCCCCAACCTTTCTCTTGTCCTTTCTTTTCTTTTTATACATTCTTTTCCTTGGTGTTCTCTTCACCTCCCACTGTCCAATTATCACCTCTGTGGGAATGATGCCTAAATCTGTTTCCAGCCTTGACTATTTATCCAAAAATCTCATCTTGCATCTATAATTGCCTTCACAGTATTACCAGCTCTGTCTTCCTTGCCCCGACATAAAATCTGTCTCTCAGGCCTGCTGATCTGTTGATTTTAACTTTGCTATTTCGTACCACTCCTTTTCATCTCCACCACCTGCATCCTAGTTTGGTATTTATTGCTTCTCACTCAAACTAGCAGAACAAACAATTAGTTAATCACTCTCCCTTCCATCTCTTGCCCTACACACCTCTGCTAGATTAATCTTCCCAAAGTACAACTCTGACCCTCACACTTTCTAATAAAAAGCCGTTAATGATACCCTTATTTTTGCCAGGTAAGTTAAGTCCAGCTTATTTATTGAGGCAGGGGTGAGGGGGTTGGGGTACGGCCACACTCATAAGTGTGACGTCTGCTGTTTCCTGTGCCTACTCTGGTCTATCTCAAGCCCTCACCTTCTTAATCTTCACGCGCACCCAGCTTTCATGCCATAAAGGGCAAGAGTAGTTTCCTGAACATCCACACTCAGTGAGACCTCTGGATTTGATCCTGCCATCCCCTCTGCCTGGATCAGCGTTCCTTTTCCCATCCCATCCACCTCACCACCTCCTTGCTTACCCGACACAGTCTTTATCATCTTTCAAAACTCACAGCAAGGGTTATAGCCTCTGCAACATCTTCTCTCAGCCAACCTGACAGCATCAGCCATTCCCTTCCTTGTACCCCCAGGCCGCATACTATGTCTCTATTGCTGTGGTTTGCATGTGTTTCCTGCAAAATTCATGTGTCGAAGCTTAATCCCCACTGTGCTGGTGTCAGGAAAGGGGACCTTTTGGGAAGTGATTAAGTCATGAAAGCTCTACCCTCATGAGTAGGTTAGTGCCTTGTCAAAGGGCTGGAGGGAAGTAGTCGTGACTCTTTTTCGCCCCTTCTGACCTTCCTGCCATGGAAAGACACAGCGTTCCTTCCTTCTGGATGATACAGCCACAGGTGCTCTCTTGGAAGGGATGACATCAGGCATTAAACCTGCTGGCAACTGGATGTTGCACCCCAGCCTCCAGAACTGTGAGAAATAAATGTCTGATTTTTATAAATTAATCACTCTCAGGCATTTTGTTAAATAAGTACAAATAGATGAAACATTCACGTTATAATATATGCTCCTATAAAGTAGAGGCCATCCTCACCATCTTCATCACTGTAGCCCCAGCACCTAGCATGGAATAAGCATGAAATCAGGACCAGCCTCACCTTCCAACCTGACAGAAATTCTTTTCTTTACATGAGCATGTACTATGCTTCCTTCTGTCTTTGCTTTTGCTCTGGTACTTCCTTCCCACAGAAATTTCCTCTCTATTATGGATTCACCAGAATTCTACCCATCCTAAACAAAGCTCAGCGTACATATCTTTTCCCACAAGAAGCCTTGTTTGATCTGTTTTCATTCATCCTACATGCATGTGTGATGTGTGTGTGTAAGTGTGTGAACTCCCAAACATGAAAATCGTATGATTTACTGTTATCCGATTATATTAGAATTTGGATTCAGATTTTAAAGCTTTATTCCTTAATTTAAAAAAAGTTTGCCCTACTCTAATAATAAAACTCATCTTGCAGGGGCAATAACACTAATTTCTAATAATAGATCTTATGATAGCATCTGGAATACAGTAAATGATCAATAATGTTAATTCATGTTCTTTCTTCTTTAAGAGACTTAACATTTTATGACTTCAGCATATTCATACACTTCTTTATTGTCAATAATAGAACAAAACTCCCGGTGGAAGAACAATATCTTATTCACATTTCTCTTGCCAGCAGTGAATATCAGAGATTCTTATATACTTGTATTGCTTGGGATATTTATTAAATTTAACGGAGCAAACAGATTTAGAAAGCTTTATGCTTTAAAAAAGAATATAGTTTTCTTATTTGCACAAAATTAAACATGATGTTTATGGTCATGCCTATAAAATGTTGGACTTCACGCTTTTGATAAGGAATATAACCACATGATAACATATTTTCTATGGGAAAATCAGATTTGACATCCATTGTTTCAATTTAGTGTTGTTAGCAGAAATTTTGTTTCTTTTCTCTGTTGTATCTTTATATAAGCATGAAAACATGAAACAGCATTGACTTGACAACATTTTTTTAAAAGGTGGCCAATGAGGTAAATTAGATTACCTGCTAAATTCCATGCAGTAATTGAGTTTTTCTGTAAGTCTAAGTGCAACATCTTTGAAGAAATTTGTTTTCCACTATGGGGCAAGTTGTAAAGAATTGTTTATATGCACTCAACTGCTATGACCCAGAATCTTAAAAATATCTAATAATCATAAAATTTGAAGCTCTCTGGACTTCAGTTTTTCTTTTGAAAAAAGATATGTGGTTAAAACTGCCCCACTTAGATTGCAATGTTGATATGAAAAGCTCATGTGAGCCTCTCAATTCCAGAGTTTGTCTTTGTTTCCACATCCCTGAAGCCTAGTAGAGTGTCTGGAAGAGAAAAAGTGCTCAACAACTATTTATTAAATATATAAAGATTATGAGAAAGATTGTTGAGGATGTTAAACTGTAATATAATATAATTTATATTATCTGTACTACCCTCTCATTTTAGATGGGGTAATGAGGCCCAGAAAGGAGAAGGAATTTGCCCAGTGACACACAGGAAGCTAGTGGCAGAGCGAGGAGTGGTTCCCGGATTTTATGCTTCCAGGTCTAATGCTCTTCACACACATCTCACCGTATCGGTCATGTCACAGATGACACACACTCTCTGATATTAGAAAAACCAGTCCAATTCAACTGATATTTATGGATTTCTTATTAGGCTCCAGGCACAATGCTAAGCAGTGCAGGATTACAAGATGAGCTATACAGTCTCTGCTTTTAAGTTCACAAATTTACATGGAGGAGAAAACACATAAACCACTACCAAATAGTTATTAGGGTATAAATATTGCCATGGGGATATAAAGAAACTGCTGGGAGCTCACAGTGAATGGAGTCATGATGCTGGATTACAGGATGAGCAACGTTAAAGGCCTTTCATGGGAAAAGCGTTTTAGGCTATTCTTTGGAAGAAACACAGGGCAGTCAAGCTAAGAAGAGAAGGAACATTCCAGTCCAAGGAAAAGTACAGAGCACAAAGGCCCTGCCTCCCCCATGGCTGTGACTGAAAGGAGTTATAGTAGTAATTATGGAATAAAGACTGAGAATATGAATTTGTCCAGGTCATCAAGGGCCAGGAATACCACGCTTGGGAATCCAGACTTTATTTGATAGGGAATGGGAGCTTTTAAAGGTTATTTGAAGTCAGGCACTATATTTTTTTGAAAGCCATTCCGGCTGCCGTAGCATGAAAGTGGAGGGACTGGAGACAAGAAAAGCTACAAGGCCACTTCAAAATCTAGAAAGCTTTCTCCAAATAGGAAAGTAGTGCTAAGAACAGAAAGGATACAGCAAATAGGAGAAACATTATGGAGAAGAATTAGCAGTGTGGGCTCTGGATTCAGACTGGCTGTCCCTTTGTGTCTTTACGCAAGTTAATTATATTATTTGTGCTTGGTTTCATCATCAGCACAATAGTGCTAGAGCGCCCACTCACAGTATTGGAGGTGTAAAGTGCTAAAAGGGATGCCCGTCTCATAGAAAGATCTCAATAAGTGTTCATGGTGGTTGTTGAAACAAAGATGTTAACACAGAAGGCAAGTCTCACCAGAGCTGGCACCCACCACTGTCTTCAGTGCCTAGAAAAGTCTTTGGCACCTGTTAGGCATTAAATATTTTTTATTGCTTGTATTGTATCTTCTTTGTATTTTCTCCCTTTATACCTTTCAGACATGATCATATATGAAGTTATTTGCATAACGACTACGACTGGAGTCTTCAGATAGTTTGTGTTGATATGGGAAAGATTATTAATGATATCATGATTTTCTCTAAAAGTGACTATCACTTTCAATGTGTTGGCAGAAGGTTTGGGAAACAAAATGTTTAAGTGAAGGTGAACATTTTGGAGACGTCCTTCCTTGAATTTGATTTACAAGATCAGTGAGCTAAGGTTCAGCGGTAATGATTCACAAGCCTGGGGCTCTGTCTTGGCTGGACAGGTGACTCACTGGGTCACCAGAGCTCCATGCTTTCTCTAGGACTCACTTTACTTATCTTTGAAATGGGATTTATTATCTGACCCCTAGAAATGCTATGTTCATGAATTGATACACATTGATGGCTTAAGAGGAGGAAGGCAGTAGGCAGCTGATAAAACCCTCTGGTTTACAAAGTTTGCACAGGGTCCTAAGATAATCAGGAATTGACAGTCCAGTTGTATCTCCAGGGGCTGGGATTCTCTTTGTATTTGTTCAATCATTTGTTCGATCAGGATTCATTTTCCTTCATTAAAACATCATTAGTGAAAAATATCCTTCCAGCCACCTTCAGCAAAGCATCTAAGATGGGCCACACACACTGCCTAGCATGATGTAAATAAGCGTAACTAAGACATAGTCTCTGTGAACTTAAGAAAGCCATATCTGTTAAAAATAAGTTCAATCAAAATTTAAAATGCTCTCATAGAGATATGTACAAGGTGCAAACAAAGAAAATTAGCAGTACTCAGTGGACCAGGTGTTGGTCCGGGGAAGTGTCACAGAGGAGTGGTCATGAACCTGGTGTCTCAGGGTGAGTCACATCACATGGGTTGTAGGGAGAGGAGTGCTCCTAGCTGTGGGAGACAGCACGTGCAAAGCTTTGACAAGTCATCACTGAGAAGCAGCACAAATAGGAGGGGGAATATTCAAAATTAGGCTGGAAAGAGAGAAAGGAGTCAAGTACGTAGAAGCATGCCCGTGCACACGCACAAACACACCCAGAGGCTGGCGGGACAAAAGAAAAAGCTTATTGGGGTCAGAAAGACCCAGGCTAAAATCCCAGCTTCTTGATCATTTCATGTCTCAATTTTCTCATCATTGATAGAAGATACATCACACCTACCTAGCAATGCTAATGTGAATAGAAATGTAGCAGACTTTTTATGAACTGGAAAATAAAGGAATAAGTGGATGCATGTGCAATATGTGGATATATTAGCATTAGCATTAGCATATATGCATAGACCATTCTATATCTACAAGATGTGTGCAGAGAGAGATACTAATGGATGGACTGATTGATTGGTTTGGTGATAGATGCTCAACACTTAATTTCTTTAGTCCCTTCCAGGATTTCTACAAAAGTCTTTGAAAGAATAGTAAAATTATATGTATACCATGCAATAACAGTGCTGATGGGTCAGCTGGTAAGTAGCCATCCTCCCCGCACTGCCAGCTTTCTTGGGAGATCTTGGGCAGCTGATTAACACTGCCTGTGTCTGATTCACCTTTTCAAGTCATAGAGCTGCTGCTCTGCATCTAGACTTCCCTGTCCCAAGGGATTTGCTGGCATCAGTCCCTGGCCATGCCTCATGGAGCAGCTGATCACTGCTGTGGCCCCGGTGAGGCCACCCGTATAAGACTAGGGTACCAGGGAGCATGGGAGAGAATGACAGGCGGGTTTCACAGTTATGCCCAGCACTTCAAACTGTGTTTGAACACAGGTTTCTGGATTCCCTAGATATGTTCCTCCTCTCCCCACTTTTTTGTCAGCTGTTATCTCAGTTTTGTTGCTGTGAAATCTCCTTTCTCCTTTTTGGAGAACTCTTCCTGATTTTGATCTGAGGCAGCTGTCGTCTGGTGACAACCAGCAATTTCTGCTAACGGCACCAATATAAATCTTCGGCTTCCCCCTCAGTTCTTGTCAAAGACGTGGGCCAGGGTGCAGAGTGAGACAGCAGCCCTTCTGTGTCCCAAAGGTAGGTGAGCTATTGGGCTCTGCCAGCTGTCCTTCGAAATCACCTACGAGATTTGTTTCCAAATTCCTGCCTTGACGTGGATGTATGTTTTGATAGAAGGTTAATGCATACGTGAATACACAACTTTTTGATTTATTGTCATTGTGAACTTATCACTCTTTCCTTTAAATTAAAACTCCCTCCAGATGGGGATCTGTGACACAGATTTATCGATCTGCAATAAAACCTCACTCATAATCTCTACAGCTGCCCATTCGTCTTCTCGAGAAAGAGGGTTCATTACTCTGGATGTCCCAGGAATGAAAGCAAGAAGCTAACTTTCTCCTTTGTTCTACTCCTGTCCCTCCTCTGCTTAAGGCTTCTGTCCTCCTACCTTTCTCCTCCACCTCCTCCTCCCACGTCATGAGACCAGCTGAATCCCCCAAACACATTGACTCCCTGTCCCCATGTTGCTCAGATTCCCTCATATTTCTTCTTACTCCCCTGTCACCCACCTCAAAGATGCCCTACCATTTTGTGGGCACCCAGAGAGTGCTGTGACATTGAATCTGATTTGTGGCAGTACAGCAATAGCGTAGCCCTCTGCTCTGCTCCTTCCAGATGGGTCTGCACCCCCCAATCTGGACAAACCACTGTGGACTCTGGTAGATGAATGAGATCATTAGAAAAGGGAGACTCGAGCAGCCAGACTGATAGGAATGAGCACGAGCGGCAGGTGGGCAGGTACCATGCTTGTGTCTGAATGGGTAAATGTGGATAAAGAATTCTTACTACTCTGCGTTTTGCTGGGTCCAGAGAACCCTCTGATTTATTGCTTAGGAGATATTCCGACATGTGAACATGATCCAGGCTGCTTCCCCTGGTCAGCAGATGGTTTGGTCACTGTGCCAGGAAGCAGAAGTTGCTGCTATCTCAGACTCAACAGAAGGAAGGGCAAAAGGACTTTTAGAGGGATCAGATGGATTGCCTAGTCAGCTCAGTGGAGTATTGATTCAGTGCTGGAATTTTCTTGGATTTCCCTGCCGAAAAATAAAGCATGGGCATCATCTAGTCTAGTGGATTTCCAGTGGAGTGTCATGATACACTGGTGTGTTGCAGTCAGCTTATGGTGTGATGTAATATTCCAGTGTGTCACAAGTAATTTATTACTTCTAATAATAAAATACTAAAGTTTACAAATGAAATACTTTAAAAAATCAGAACAGATTCAAAGCTACATTTATAATAATGTGATTGTCACTCACGTGAATTCCAATGTGCTTTCCTGAGTAGGAATGGGATGTTGTTATGGCTAACCTGCCAGAAATTACCCATTGTATATAGAGATCTAGTGGTTATGTGGCCAGTATCCACTACTGGGAGTTGAGAATTGCTGTTCTGGTCTGTCTCTCCCTATTAGGCAGGAGGACTGTCCTTAGAAGAATTCTAAGTCCTCATCCTTTGTGTCCTCATAGCAGAACAAAGGATGCAGCCTCTCATCATCATTTAGAAATAGCAAAGGCATAACCCAGACCCAAGCAGTGATTGCTAATGTCAAGGCTTGAACCCAAGTGTACAAATCAGGATTTCAGTGTGCACATCCCACTGACCACTACCTCCTCCAACAGGCAGGCTTGAGGAGCTTGGGGCAGAGGCAAGGCACAGGTGGAGGAAGAGCGAGTGGGAAATGAATCATCATTAATCACTGTAATCAGGAAGCTACCCCAAGCAGGTTTAATCACCGCATGCAGGGAGGGCTGCAGAGCAAGTTTATGGTTTACAGTGAGCAGGCTGACACAGCTGATTGATGTCAAATATGTCATGATGTATATTGTAAAGCAGGGAGATTTAATGGTGTAACTCTATGGCAGGCTTAGAAATGAGCTGCTGCAGAGTGAGTCGTGATGGATGGGCTCATTTACATGTAAAATTGCCAATGGCATTGACAGCATTGGTATGTGAGGGGAAGATAAGAGGCACATAGCAAGATTCACTCTTGTCCTAGTGTTGGAATATTAAAATACAGCTGCGGCAGCATCTGGAATTTGCAATGGCCTCTAAAGATAAAATTGTTTTTCACCTTTCAGACCTGAGATAATCTACATCTTTTATAAGGTTTTCTAAAAAGTCACCATACCGTTCCTGGATCAAGTATTTACAGTAGATGATGCTGGTATGAAATTCAGTTGTATGGAGGTTGTTAGCAAACCAAGACATTCCACGGCTTTTATCTCCACCCAGCCTAACAACCACCCAGTGCGTGTAGAGTAACCATATGAAAGACCAGAGAACTGACTTTAAAACTCCATTTGGTCTCTTCCAAACTCATGCCCTCTTGTGTTTTTTCTCTACCCTTTGTCAGAAAGATAATTAGTCAGCCTCTCTCTCTCTCTCTCTCTCTCTCTCTCTCTCTCTCTTCCCCTTCCTCCCTCTCATTCTCCCCCTTATTTTCTCCTCTAATGAGGCTGCCATTATCATATGTGGGCTAATGTCTGTAATATATGAGGGTACGGGGAATTGAGGTATCCTTTCAGTAAATAGTGATGTTTGGATCACCTCCAGTTAAGCATTCAGGCATGAGGATAGACCCTAGGACCTGAATTGGCTAACTGAAGAGCACTTCATATTTGCCCCCTAACATTAGAATAATGACCATGTGGCATTAGAGCCTGCCTTGCCTTCTCTCCATCCCTCCTTTTTCCTTTCCTCCTCCATACAATGTACACCAGGCATTGTGCTAGGGACTGGGGCACAACACACCAAATGAGCTACTAGGGATGCCGAGAAGGAAAGAGCCTCCCACCGGAACTCCAGATGGCTTCTACAAATGCCTGAGAGGAGCTAGGGGAGTGCATGGGACAAAGGTGGAGGGGAGCTGTCTGATAAACAGGGGTGACATCTCAGGGGAATTCATATCTGAACCAAGACTGAAGGGGACTTGAAGGTAGCAAAGCAAGGGAGGCCGAAGTGGAGAGGGAAGATGACTGCAAGGAAAGAACGGTGCCCATGTCTCCACAGCAAGAAAGCATTTAGCAAATTCAAGGGCCTGTGAGGAGCTTGAGGCAGGAGCAAAGGAGCATGTGAGGAGGGACAGCCAGGAGATGAGGCTGGAGAAGTGTCAGTACCCCTGCCAGTCTCCAGCTGGCTCAAAGGTGGAGACTATTGCACCGTAAGGCATCCCTTGGTTTTTATGACAACGTTTCAGTTTTGCCCTATCTATGGCTTTGCCTTTAGTGAGTTGGGTCTTATTTCTGGACAGGATTATCAATTGTGGTAAGGAAGTTATGTTGACAATCACAAAAGTTATCAAAGTTACGCCTTCGGGGGTGCTCACTGTCATTCAGCGTGTAGTGCTAAGTGCTGAGGACTTACCAAACATCAATTTAGTTTAAGGTATCTCATGTATTTTTTCAGTAACCAGATCGTTGCCATCATGACATTGAATGATTTTTACACACAAACTAATAGCATCTGTGCTTTATGATTCAATCATTCTTTCGCACCTTCAAAACATATCTAGTAAGAACCTACTAAGTTCAAGGCACACTGCTACGTGCTGGGGATGCAAAGATGAATAATATGAGATTCCTTCTCATAAGCTAATGAGGAAGACACATATGCAGAATCATGGCCAACTCATCATAGATGGAGCTCCTGTAAAGGACGGATGAAGGCTGTAGGGAGTACAGGAACTTATGGCCTTTCTCTGGGGGAGTCTGGGATGCTCAACAAAAGAGATATGTGAGCTTTATCTTAAAGAATGGTTAAGACTTTTCCATAGGTAGATGTTACAGATGAGGAGGCTTAAAGAGTTTGGATGCAGACAGCTCAGCCACGTGGAGTTTCACTGAGTTCCCCCAATAAAATCAAAGTGGTATTATAATTATTAGATACATTCAGCTCTACAAATCATCTTTTCTTTCTTCTAGAAACTTGACTGCAACACTACTTCTGTGATGCAATTGGCAGTATAACTTAGTGGTTAGGACCAGAACCTCTAAAATGACAGAGACCCGGGTTCTAACTTCATCTTTACCATCTCATAGTTGTGAGGCCTTGGGGGAGTCCCTTCAACCCACAGCCCTCATTCTCCTCATTCGTAACAGTGCCTACTTCACAGACTTCATGGAGTATTAAAAGAGGTAATGTACTGGACTCAGTGTTGAGCCCACAGTAAGAGTTCAACAAATGTTAGCCATGTATGATTAATAATAATATTATTATTATCTGTCATTTAACACCTAATGAAGCATTGACTGAACCACAACCTAGTGACTTTATAGAGCTAATGTACTTCCCAGAGAGCTTAATAGAGCGCTCCACTCTTCTCTCTTCAGAAAGAATGTGCTCCCATTGCAGTAAATCACCAACACAAAAGTGGGTACACATGGTCCCTATTCTCTGCTGGCCACTTTGGGTTTTACTCCAATTATTGTGCTATGTTCCCTGGTGTTTCCCTTTCTGGCTACTCAGCTGAAAACTTCCTGAATGCCTAGTTTACTTCCCCTTCCAGATCATTAACAAAGCGGCTCTGAAAGCCCACACCTGGCACCACTCCACCAGCTCCCAAATAGGTGCCTCCCCAGCTGGTCCTTTGCCGAACCAGATTGTGTGTCCACACAAATGGTTCTGATCACACTCAAGTGTTGTCATCCTGAAAGCACAGGTTCTGGAACCTTTCCATACGGTTTCAGATGGCAGTACATTTTCATTCCTCAACTGTACTCCCTGCTTAAAAAGGAAAAAAAAATAAAAGAAAGAAAATGTATCAATGGTGTGGATCCTAAAAGGTCGCCTAATCTTGTCCGTTGGTAATCAATGCAAAGAAAATAAAAGTAAACAGACAACTGGAGTGGGGAGGTGAGCGGCAACACCATTTAAAACCATGCCCACTCCTTGCTGCGCGTCTTGCGTTTTGCCTCCACTGTCCTGCCGGGCTACGTCTGCAGCCTAATCCACCACCTCTGCAGCTGCTTTTCATTCGTGTTGCTACACTCACTCCAGCGTCCAGTCTAGAAACCTGGGCTTTCATCTTGATTTCTTTCTATTCCTCAGCCATCGCATGCAAGCAATCACCAAGTAAACTCTGACAACCCAGCTTCCTATATATCTCTCCAAACCCACTACCTCTCCCAGCTCTGCTGCCAGCTTCCCATACCAACACACTGCGGGCCATGGATTTTGATCTTCTTCATTTTGCCCTCTGCCAGTCCGTTTTCTATTGAGCAATCCGAGATTTTTAAAAATGCAAGCATGATCACCTCGCTCTGCAGGTAGAAATACTCGTGTGGCTTCTGTCACCCTCAGGATCAAGCTCGAACTCCTCCGCTTGGCTTAGAGGGACCATCTGGACTTTCCCGGCCCTCTCATCCCCTTGCGGCCTATGGCTGTTCTTCTGCCCCCGCCTTCTCCCACCTCACCTTTCTGGGTGCACTGGCTAACTACAGTTTTTGTGTCTGATAAGAGCTTACAAAGGACTGCCTTCTGGGAGCTGTCCCACCGTGCCCGCCTCAGCTCTCTGCCCTCTTGTATGCTGGGCCAGCTTCCCCACCCTCCATCCCAGCCCTCGCCCACCCTGTGCTGGGCCAGAGCTGCTGTCTCCCTAGCTGGGCTGTGCGCAAAGAGCAGGCACCATCCCTCCTCCCCACAGCAAGCTTCCAGCAGGGTTCTGGAGCACAGTAGACACTCAGTATGGACTGGTAGAGCTCTTAAAGAATTTTCTTGAAGAATCCTTTTGAGAAGTAAAATGAAGCCAGCGAGGAATGAAACCAAATTTGTCCTGTGCTCTGCAGAGGAAAGGGGGTGGCTTACCCAACCCCCACTTCCCCCCTCCTGCTGCCCGCGCCTCTCCCCCAGCCCCTCGGATCAGGATCCAGCCTCTCCCTTCTCTCAACTTGACAGTCAGCAGAAGGGCCTAAATTGGGATATTTTCCAGAGGCAGGTTGAGTAAGCACTGACTGAGCTGACCCTGATAGAAATACTTAAGAAGCTTTGCAGGGGGATTAAGCGGCTGCCTTTAATCTTGCTTCCTTCCGGGTGGCCGCGGTGGGAGCGGATTCCAGCGTGTTGGCAGGGCTGGGTTGAGGGTCCTGAGCCCCAGCTGGTCTCTGCAGGAGGCGGGGCTTGTGAGCTGGGGAAACTGGGAGTTGGAGATGGGGAGAGAGATGGCGGTGAAACTGACCATGGTTTCCATTTCAACCTTTGAAAACCTAACTGAATTGCCTTCTCTTTTCTCCTCCTTTATTTTCAATTCAGGAAGCTTTCATATTTCCAGATGTGAGGTGCTCTCATTAGTTGCTGGAAAATTCTGCCTTTTTTGATTATGTAACGACCAAGGCTAAATCCAGAGATGCATAAGCGGAAGAGGATTTGTTCTGGATCACACCAAGTGAATCCATGGAGGGAAACCTCTGAGGCTCAGTCACTCATCATGAAAGCATCTCAGATGCAACAATCCTGACTCAGTATGCTGTTTTCACAAGGGTCATGTGGCATAGCCTGGGAGTACAATGTCCATGCCTTAGTCCCTTATACTCTCCAAATAACAGTCAACCCCTTAGATTACCTACCATCGTAGTTTTTTAAAAGCCGTGGAAGAGGGGAAATGATATTTTTACTAAATCTGGGGTACGTATCTTCCTGGATACCCTGTATCTTAGAGGCTTTGTTAATAGAGATTACAGACGAAATGACGGTAGTTGACTTCTGGGTGGGGAAACAAGTTCATTGAATATTAAAGCAAGAAAAAAAAAAAAAGGAATTTAAAGATTATTAGTCCAATTTATCACTGGCAAATAAGGAACCTGAGTCTTGGAGACCTGTCCCCAAATCGTACACCTCTATAACAACCCTGCTGGATTAGAATTAGATCCCACTTTCTTTCAGCCATACCAAATTTGAGGTTTTAGAGGCGAAGTGTTCTGTAGGTATCTTTCCTAGGAGCCCTATTCAGAGCTAAATTGGGCTATTCATCATTTGAGCCTCCTTTCAGCTTGAGGGCTTAGAGTTGAGGTTTTAGGTCAAGGGTCCATACTTAGCATAGCCTAAAACACTGGGCACTCAACGCACGTTAATTAAATAAATGTTAAATTCATGTGGTTTAGTTTACATGTATTCTGAGTGGGTTTCTGAGTGTCTGGAACTTCCAAATATTTTACTTAATCTTCCCTGAAATTTTTAACTATTTCCTCTCCTTCCTGTGGCACAGCATCTATTTACAAGTATTTCTGATTCTGGCCACATGTTGTGTGGGCATTTTAAAACCCAGGGGGCACATGGGGCTGCATCTTCTAATTTTGGTTTGGCTGGGTCTATTATTTTAGGTTTTAATTTTAGTTTGTTTTGGTCTCTCCATGATTACTCAGTCTTTCTTTGCATTCGCATCCAGGCTGTTCTGAGTACCTGTATCCCTAAAAGGCTCAAGCATATCATTGTACTTGTGTATTAATTATGTATTTCATTCATTACTACTGTACCTCGAGCAATACGACCTTAGGGCATATACCTGACATTTAAGACTAACAATGATTTCACATACAGCATATCTGCTCAAAAAATAAAATCATCATTAGAGATTTAGGGGGAGTGAGAATTTAATGGATAGTACTGACTTTTTTTTTAAGCAAACACTTGACCCTAAAACTGCTTCTTTCCATCTTTTGCTTCAGCCTGACCTAGAAGTAGCTTTGACTTACAACTGGGCACCTCAGGGGCTCCTCTCCCAGCAGATTCACTGCTGCTATCATCCCTTAGCCAATGTTCATGTTTATTGGTGGCGGGGAGAGCCCACCTGAACATTCAAGGAATACTCAGAGTTTTAGTGCAGCATGCAGCTGGGTATATACAAAGGTTTTCCTGGGAGGGGCCTCTGAGCTTCCATGAGGATGGTTCCCTCTGCTCCACCTCCTTCCACCCCTCTGGTCCTACCTTTCTGAGCTGACACATTGTCCAGCACCGTGAAGTTGGCAACACATCCCAATTAACAATAATTGCCAGCCCTTGCGGGCACTGACTAGACTCATCGCAGCCCCTGTGTACCATGGTTTACACTGAAAGACTTCTCATGGGAGCTGAGAGGCCCTTGGGGCTGGTGCCAGCTCCTGTTCCTGGGTTTGAACTGCACCACTTAGTCTTTATAAATAAGTGTCAGTCCCATTGACTGTGCTTTATTCCAAACAGATTTTTCACCAGCAACAACACTGAAGATGATAGGCGGGGGAGCAGGGGTGTTGACAGTACACACTTGACACACATCAGCGGCTTTTGGCACCCACCAGTCATCAACTAAAGGAGTCTGGGAGGGACAATAGACTGAAATCTCCCTCCTTGCTTCAGAACCCACCTTCACGCTGCAGTGCATCCTTTACAGTGATTTCCAGGGAATTAATTTAAAATTGCTCGTTCAGTCCTGTCGGTATCTCCTCAGAGGGCTCCCACCACCCAGGCCTGCCTCATTTCAACCCAGACTCGCTCCCATTGACTTTGGGAAATAGGTAAAACATACTTAAACAAAACAGAGGACAGTTTTTAAAGGAGTTATAAAGATTTTTACCTAGTGACATAGACTAAAATCTCAACAGGTGCAAACTTATTCTTCCTGGAAGAGGGACTATATCCCTCTTGGCTCTAAAGACATAGATTTGCATATTGATAGAATCCATGGATTTGTATAGCTGGATAGGGATATTAGAAACCATTAATCACCGTTCAGCACAGCAGTCAGCCTCTTGAAAGTTGTTGGGGGTTGGGGGCAGGCTATTTAACATCTAGTCAAGCAGAAATACTCAATTGCCAAAAACAGGCCACACTGATTCATCCAACAGAGGTACCATTCATTCATTCATTCATTTAATCATTCACAGGATAGCTATTGCACGTCATTTGTGTCAGGCCTTATCGGTGGCTGGAGATAATGAATGTGAAAGGCGGTTGCTATCGTGCTTTTACACTTACCGATCATCTGAGTGTCTGTCCTTCTATCCAGAATCTATGTGGACTATAATGGGAATTACGAGGTCTTCTCTCTGCCTTTTACTAGATACACATCTTTGATCTCCCCGCAGAGATGCAGTACACGGAAAAGGAACTCAGTACCATTTATGCTGGTTGTTCTGCATGAGTTCTGGGATTTGGGGCTTCAAGGTCACACAGCTGTCAAATCTAAAGAAACCATGAAGATACCTAGCTATCATCCCCTCCTAACTGTTTAAACTGTTGAGGACACTGAGATTTGAAGTTTAGTGTACCTGCCCAATGTTGCAAAGCTAAATTCTGGCAGGGGTGAGACCACACATCACCTGCCTTCATGGCCTGCTGGTTGCTCTGTCTACTCTGAAGTTCATGACGAAACCCCATGAGTCCAGGTGAAGAAGACTGTAAGAGACCCTCTAGTTCAAAACTTCTCTACTGGGGAGACCTTGTAGTTCAAAGCTTCTCAACTTTGGCTGCACATATCTAGGGACCCGAGGGAGCATGCCACACTACAGAAGCCTGAGCTGCACCCCCAGAAATGTAAGTTTACTTGGTTTGGGGTCAGGTCTGGACATCTACATTTTTAAAAGATGCCCTAGATGATTATTGAGTTTAGGGAAAACTCAGATAAACCACACATCCTACTGTCCTGCTCACTCACATACCCGCTCACTCATTCACTCATTCATTCATTCATTTGTTCATTTCACAATTTTCCTCAAACATTACTTTAGCAAGAGAGACATACATAAAAAATCTCCAAAGTCATCCACATCCTGTGTCAGGAAAATCCTGCCAGGCTGTTGGCACACCAGAGGCACTTTCCAAGTTCCTCACCCAGCTTTTAAATATCACTAATAAACAGCACTAGCCAGCATGCCCATGAAAGCCTGCAGCTTGTCCCCATTTCCAAGCTCACTTTGCCCAGGAGTCACTCTGGAGCCCTGCCACCATGGGATGGAAACACGTCCGTGTTCGGGGCTGTGACAGAAGGGCACCAGGAGCTTGTTGCTCTTTATTTACCTTTAATTAGAATTTTCCTGTGTGTCTCTGCCCTCCCATGAGAGCAGCAGCACCCTGTTAATGGGATTATGTGGTATGGATGCTGCTGTGGACGTGTGGGCCGCTACTCCGTCTCTGAATTTCACCCAGATAATTGATTTCGGTCTGTTCCCTGACACTCGCCTTCGTGGCACAGGGTGTTATTAGGGCCTTTGTTCCATTTTTGAGTGACAAAGCCTTTACATGCCAGCCAAGCAAAAGCAATTGTTGCATCTCTCACTTTTCTTATTAACTAACAGAGAATTGCAGGCAGCTTGAAGCCCGCTGAGAGAAATAATAACATAAGCGGCTGCTTGGGCGCAAAGTGGGTCCTTTCAACCACAACAGCCTGGTGAGATTAACAAGGGCCCCTCCTCTCCTGCAGCCACTGGATCCCCACTCTCCATCTTCCCTGTCTGTCTCCCTCTGCCTTTCCCTTATCGCCTCTATGTCTGCTTCTGGAAACCCTCTGGTTCTCTAAAGCACCAAGTGGTCCGTGGAGAGCAGGAGTCCTCCAAGATTCTGGGTAGGCCTGCTCCATGTCTTAACTCCCTGTGGATTGGAATCACGCATTCCCATATCACCACTAGTTGGTGTTTCTGTGTTTCCATGCTTGCTTTTCATTTTTAAATATGTATTATGAAATAAATATGTATTATGAAAGAATTTAGACATATAAAAAAGGATGAGAGAAAATGAACATTAGTGTATCTACTACCTAGATTAATTTTTTTAAATGGGGCCAAGGCCACCTGAGAGTCTTTTCCTGATCTGCTCTCCCTCTCTCCCACAGAGTTCACTATCCTTAATTTGATATCTGTCATTCCCAGGCATCCATTTACATTTCTACCATATATGTGTGCACCACTAAGCAATACAAAGGATTGGCACTTTTTTAAACTTATAAAGATATTAAATACCAGGTGTATTTCACGATCTGAAAGTTTCGTGACATTTTTTCACTTGGTAAATGAGCTGGAGTGTTCTGTGATCAATCACAATGTTGTACTTAGCAATCCATTTGTCGGAGGATGTTCAGGGTTTAAGGTGTCTCCATTCATTTTGCTATTACAAACGCGGCCACTATGAGTATTTGGATTCACACCTCCTTGTGCACACACACAAGCCTTTCCTGACATACAAGCCTAGAAGGGTTGTAAGGATTGCTCATCTTCAACTCTAGCAGTAACACCAAGATGCCTCCAAAGGGTTTTTTTTTTTTTCTAATTATGTAATAAGATGAAATGTAGGGATTGGTAATCCCATTTCACACGCAAGTACAAAGATGATTTCTCCCTGTGTTTGGCCAGGAAGGCAACAGCAATGAGGAAAGGAAAATTACTTCCCCCTAGTTTCTATTCTTGGTCTCCCACTATCCCAGGTACCTAAGCTGTCAAGAAGCATTACCATCATCCTAATGGAACTGGGAACTCATTCCTGTTCCTACTTCCTTGGTAACTTTGTTTTCCATCCTTGAGCCATTGGCAGGTGAGATCCTTAGTCATGACCTGCTCTTTCTTGTGGTCCAGGCAGGGCAATTCCTGCTGTGTGAAAAGTACTGTGTGATCAGTTACCCAGAGCTCTGAGCTGATAGGCACTCTGTTTCCATGGTTGCTTCAGCAAGTCGGTGGTCACGCCAGCAAACACTTGAGTCTATCCTGAATTTGCATTCTCATGCTCACTAATTTTGTGGACCACAATCAAATACTTAACTTCTCAGATGCTGTCTCCTCATCTTTAAAATGGGAATGATTGTACATACCTTTCAGAAAAGTTGTGAGAATCACGTAAACAAAGCAAAGCGACAAGCACAATGTTTAATACTCTGTGGTCATCCTGTAAAAAGCATAAATGACTTTAAAATGCATGCTTTGCTCTGCGTATGTGGCGTGAGGTGGAGGAAGGGCTCTGGGGCTGGGGAGAACCATGCCCCCACTGACTCTCTTTGTTTGGATTCCAAATACTAGGGTTGGAAGACACTGACGAGTTTTACACCATTGACTGATCCATGATAGTTTAGAAAGGAAGCTGATTTCACAGAACTTTCTTAGGTCTACTAGTTCTTACCCCAAAGAGGCTAGTAAAACTAGTTTCTTTGTGGACAAAAGACTCAAATGTATATATGACACTTCTGCCTTGATTCTGTACCTCTCCTAAGTGAAATTTTACTTTGAGAAGGTAGAATTTCCTTCCTTTATCAATAAAAGCTCAGGAAAGTCGAAACACTTTTAGAGCTCCCTTTAGGGGTACAAGAAAGGACAGGGTTCAGAACCCATTGTATGCTCCCAGGCACATAAAGTGACAGTACTGCTATGTTGTCTTCTTCTTAGCAGTTCTTGTTTTCTCATGCAGTCGTCACCCCGTTTAATTACCCCTCTGTCTTTGTTTCCATCTTTATCCACTCCCCTCTCCTCCCTTCTTCCTTTTCACTGCATCCTCATCCTTTCTTCTTCATTCTCATGGCCTCCTGGCACCTCCACAATTCACCTGCTTGTCCCCAAAGACTCTCACGCAGCTTTCTTGAATGACTGATTACTGGAAGGAATAGAATTGTTAAAAACAACAATGTTTTCTATACACCAGTGTGTAAAATGTATAATAATAAAATGGAATTGCACTAAATGAATTATGGTTTTTTTAAAAAAACAAATTACCCACCTGTCAAATACTATTAACGCTCAAATCAGTGTGAAGAATAAGAACGCGTGTACAGAGGGAGCTTTTCTTCCTTTGTAAAACAAATACCAGCCCCTCATAACAGCTGCTTTCAGTGTCTTGAATCAGCAACTGATAAGGGGAAGGAAGGTAGAAAACTCTCCAACAAGTCGTTTTTCATGGTGTCAATGTAATGTGTTACTTTCGTGTGTAATTCAGATGTGTTCTCATATTTGAGTGAAGGGTTCATTAACTTCCCATTGCTTAATGATATTCCATAGGATAGGGCAAATGAGAAAGGGGAACTTATGAAAACAAAAGTGAGAGTGGAGGTGGGTTTTCAACGTTCAAGGACTCATTTGCTTCTCAAAAAAAGCGGCTTTGAAAGCCAAACACACAGGGAAATACCTTGTTTTTGTGAATATGCTCAAAGGTAGCATTGATCTGGACAAAGAACAGTAGCTTTTTTCCTTCCTTTCTTTCTTCCTTCCTTCCTTCTGTCTCCCTCCCTTCCTCCTTCCCTTCCTTTCTGCCTTCTGTAGTTTATTTTGTTTTATCTTTAATGATGACAGGCAGGAGACAAATGCACTTGTTCTTCAATCCAGTGAGATTGTTTTTCCATAGAAGCACGTCTACGTTAGTGTTAGGAAAGGAAAGGACAGTTATATTACTTGGGAGGGGAGATACACTGCTGGTGATTGTCACAGGGTATCCCAGAGACCATGGAAATCCTTCATTCACTCTTAGAGGGTTATTTTCTTCCCTAACATTGGTCAAAAGTAACTGCCCCTTAGGCAGAGCAGAAGCCACACATGTCCTCAGCCTTCAGCCTCTCACAGCTTTGTTGAATTCATCTAAATCTCTCGGTTTTGTTCTCCACGTGATGACTAAGTGGCCGATGCAGTAGGTAAGCACGAAATTAGAGGGGGTTAACTGTATTATACACAGATTTAGCTCACCTGGCCCACCAGAGACGCGGCTCAGACCCTGGTTGAATTAAGGAATTTGCTATGAACCCTCTAGCTGACCTGTGGCCAGCATTCTAATTAATAAGTTCTATATCTGGCTTTTGTTCTCTGTTAACTACAAATAATTCTTCTTCCTTGACTTTAATATAATAGAATACACTCTTTAAAAGTGTCTTGGGGAAAAAAAGGAAATATAGACATAGAAATGATTATTAATGTTCTTGCTTAATTGAAAGAGTATTTTCCTGATAGTTATACGTCTTCTAATTACCTCAATGTGCATTGCTTAAAATTTAAACAAAACAAAACAAAACACCTTTGGGTTAGAGCAGTAATTGTGTTTATATTATTTCAGCTAGAGCTAAGTGGATTTCAATGGCTAACCTCAAATGTAAAAAGTTGTTACTTTGGCCTATGTTTGCATTTAAAGTGCACAAATACAAGGGCTTAAGTCAGAAAGACATGAAAGCGCATGGAATAGTTCCCAGTTTCTGTTTGTTCTTTATGCAATTCAAGGCTGTGTATGATTACAGTGTTGGTTGCATTTAAGTGCTTTGTTTTCCCCTGGGTTACAAACATCTAAGGGAGGCGGGAGGATAAGAGGATAAAGAGAATTGAAAAGAATTCTCAAAAGGCATTGTGAAGCACATCAGCTGAGGAGTGAGTTATAAATGAATCTAACAGAGAGACATTTAATTTCCTTCTACATAAGCTTGAGGCTGAAGAGGAAAAGTTAGTGGGCATAACTTTACTTACAAGGAACAGCAAATTTTAACAACTCCTTGGTGTAGGGGAGAATAATTCAAGCCATTTGGTAGTAATTATCCATTACATTTGTTCAGCACATTGGAGTTCATTGTCCCCTACAACTTCTACATAATTTGGCTCCACAAATATTTGTTGAGTGTCCGCTAAGCTCCAGACGTAGAGCTGGCTTTGGGAACATTAGGCTCAAAGAAGTAATAGCCCCCACTCTCAAGGGGGTCACAGTGTACAAGATGGACACATAAGATAATAAAAGGTAATGCGGCAAGTTCTGTAATAGTAGAAAGCGTAAATCCTTAGCTGAGTAGAAGAGTGAGCAATTAAATTCTGCTTGGACTACATTTAGAGTAACCTAGAATGTGTATTGATGTAAGCATTCATTCATTTATTTATTCACTCACTCATTCAAAGAGCAAATGTGTTTTTCTAGCCTGTATTGTGACAGACATTACACTGGTCAAAGAATGACTTGAGTGATACACAATTATGAGCTGAAACATGTTGAATAGTGAATGAATCTTACTTAGGCTGTGGTCTTCCTCAGGGATGCCTTTCTTTATTTGGCTATGGAACTGGGGAAAGAGTAGGAGTTTAAAAAGTAAATGAGAGAGGGAAAATATTCTGGACAAAAGAAATGGCTTGTGCAAAGCTCTGCTGTAAGAGGCAGAACTCTAGATGCTGGAGGACAAGGAAGGCCAGTACAGCTGTAGCTGACAGAGCAGAAGGAACACGGCATGTACGTTAGTTTGCTAGGGCTGCTGTAGTAAAGTATTGCGAAATGGATGGACTACAACAACAGAAATTTATTGTTTCACAATCCTGGAAACTAGAAGTCTGCAATCACAGTGTTGGCAGGGTGGTTCCTTCTGAGGGCTATGAGGGAGAATCTGTTCCAGGCTTCTTGTCCAGCTTCTGGTGGGTTTTGGGCAATCATTAGTGTTCCCTGGTTATAGATGCTTCATCCCAATCTCTGCCTTCATCTTCACAAGGTGTTCTTGTATGCATCTGTGCCCAAATCTCCCCTTTTCATAAAGACACCAGTCATGTTGGATGAGGGCCCCAGCCAATTCCAACATGACCTAATCTTAATTTAACTAATTACACCTGCAATTATTCTGTTTTCAAATAAGATGACATTCTGAGATATTAGGGGTTAGGACTTCAGCATATGAATTTTTGTATGGTGGTGGGGGGTGGGGACAATTTAACTGCTGACAATCTGGGATGAGGCTGGATATGAGGCTAGCACTTGATGTCTTTGGCTTCTTCGAGGACTGGTAAGTCATGTTACGGACTTGGTTCTTTATCCTCAGATTTTGAGCAGAAGATGCCATGGTCAAATTTTCATTTCACAAAAGTGTCCCAACCTCTGCACTGTATGGGAAGGTTGGGTGTGGACAGACCTGTTGAAGACAGTTGCAGCCATTCGGGTGAGAAATTATAGATTATGATATACCAGGATGGAAAAGATGGACTGGAGAAAAATTGATAGATTGGGAAGATGTTTAAAAGGCAAACAATTAATAGGACCAGTTAATGGGTTTGGGTGATAAAAAGAGGGTAGGGTACAGGATGACAACTGGATGGAAAGTGGCATCATTTACTGACACAGGGCCAGACTTAACAGAGAAAAATATGAATTCAGTCTTGACTATGAAGAGTTTATAGTACCATTTAAATATCCTAGAGGAAACAGCGAATATGTTTTTGGAGGATTTTTGAGGTTAGAAAAGAGGTCTGGGCTAGAAATATAAATTTGGAGATTATTGTTTTATATGTTAATGCATAAATTAAACCATGCACAAGAATAAAATGTCTTGGGGAGAGGGTAGTATAAAGTGGAGAGAGCCTAGGAATTTGCTTTGATAAACTCCAACTTTATAGGACGATAATGAAGGAAGATGCCTACAGGAGAATCAGAAGAAGAGTGAAGAGGTGAAAGTAGCCATACAAGTCAAAAGAAGAAAATAGTTCAAAAAGGGGCATGATCACAATTTAGATTGCTGATGGTTGAGGCAAATGAGATGGGGCAGAGGAGGGAGTTGCCCACTAGATTCCATGACATGAAGACGAATGAAGCCTTAGCATGTTGGCAGAAGAGGGAAGAAGAAGGAAGTCAGCAAGATAACAATAAGGAGAGCTAGAGGTAAAATTGACAAATGCCATGAGTCCCAGAAAAGCAATTTTAACAAGAAGGTAGATGATATGGGAGGGTGGATGATCATCAGGAAGGACGTCTCTAGACTCTGAAGCAGATGTCAGAGTGAGAGAACACAGAGCCAAGGTTGCAGACGGCAGTGTCCTCAGTAGATAGACAGGCTTGGACAGTCAGCTACGTCGAGGGATTGGTCGTAATATTCTAAAAAAAAAAAAGTCAGAAAAAGTATTCTAAATGGCGCAGTGGAAGGTGAAAAAAGAATGGAGGAAAGAAGAGCAAAGGCCAGGAGTGGGAGGGCTGGGCAGGGAGGAATTTTTTCATTTGATAGTGACAGAGATGAGAAGGGACAAGAACCAGGGTGGTTAGTGGTTCAGTCTCAAAAGTCCCTTTCAGGAGGCTGTAAGAAGATGTATACTGGTCCCAAACTGCCAGAGTGTTGGCCCTCTGGAGCTTTGGTGATATGAGCTCCAGGATCTGCAGTTTCTTCCTGTAGGAGTAGCGTGCTTGCAAATCCAGGTGTGGAGTTTATGCAGTCACATGGCATGGAGTAGTGGCATTTTATCTAGCTGGAGTGCAGAAGAAAGGTCTGAGAGTCTCTGTCCCTCTAGTTCATGGCTGGAGGTGGTAGTGCCCCCAGGGAGTGCATTAATTCATTTATTCATGCATGTATCCATTATTTCCTTTATTCATTCAACAAACCTTTTTAAGTAGCTACTTTGTACCAGACTCTGAATACACGTTGATGAATTGAAGCTATTATTCCCACCTTCATTACCCTAAAGTCTATTTGGAAAGGGGAAAATAAATAGAAAACAAAATCAACAAACATAAAATGGAATTACATATTAGAAAACTGCTATAGAGGTAAAGGCAAGATGACACAATAGGAAATAAAAGGAGAGCCATACATATACAGATACTTTGAGCCTGCACAGTGTGAGATTTTTAAGAATCAGATGGATCTGGCAATGTGAATAGTTGGAGACCAAGGCATCCTGGCAGAAGTGGGAAAGGCCAGTGGGGACAACTGTGGGTTCACACACAGTGGGTGACAAGGAGTGGCTGACTGTTATGGAGAAAGGATTGTAGAAGGGGACAAAGGGATGTAAGAGGGGTTAGTGGATTCAGAATCCATGTGTTTCAGTTCCTGGGTATCCCATTTCTGTTTAAAACAATCTGCCTGTCATTTGTCCTTTGTGGACACATTTTCAATGTCTAATGTTTTGTCCAAAACCTGAAGCCATGAAACCACACTACTTCCCCTTTATCGCTGTCCTCTACAGTGATCATGCAGATAATCCAAGATCAGGAAGTCAACTAAGAGAGAAAACAAAAGTCTATATTTTCACACTGAGTAGTTATCTTGAAGTTCAAGTTATGTATATGCTGGTAAATTACAGATATCTGGTGTCCTTCCCCAAATTAACTTGTCACATTCTAACAAAATGATCAAATTTTCTGGACAGCTACCTTGTTAATTTCTAAGTCCATTCTCGAAGCTGCCCTCTACCATCATCAGGTACTAATACCCTCCAGGTCTCCTATTCCCAGACGTTGGCACACAAACCAGTTCTCTACTGGATTAAATTTTTCTCAGTGTTGGATCCTTACTTTTCTACATTTTGTAGGCAGAGCTGTAAGATGGTTAGGCTCATGACTCTGGAGTCAAACTGCCTGGGTTCAAATATCTCACTCAACATATAGGTATGTGACCTTGAAAAGCTATTAAATTCTACCTGCCAAATTTTCCTTATTTGTAAGATGAAGAAAAAAAAAAACAACTACCTCTCAATAACGTTTTTAGGTCTAAGTGAGATGAATCAGGCAAAGCACTTATCACAACCCTGTGCGTAGCAAGTACGTAGTAAATGTCAGCTGTTATTATTTGTACTCTCGTCACTATCACCATTACCACCACGACCACTTTCACTATTAACACCAGTATCACCACCGCCTTCACCATTATTGCCAAAATTGTCACTACCACAATCATCACCATCTTTGCCATCACTGCAACATCACCACCATCACTCATCATCAGCATCACTACCACCTTCACCATCATCACCACCACCACAACTTTCATCTACATTGCCAACATTACCACCATCACCACCACCTTCACCATTATCACAAATATCACCACCATCATCATCACTACCACTAACACCTTCACCATTAATTCTGGTATTGCCACCATCATCACCACCACCTTCACAGTCATCACGAACATCATCACCGCCACCTTAACCATCATTGCCAACATCACTACCATCACTACCACCACCACTGTTACTACTATCTGATTGTGATCACCCACTGTCTTTTCTTTCCAGGTTTCACGGCACGTCTCCAAACCAGGACAAGGCATACAACTTTTACTCAACCAGCTTCTTTGTTCCCTCTTTTCTTCTCACTAACCTAGTCTCTATTCTACCTTCCAAGTATCAGAGTATCTAAAGCCCACTTTAAAAATTGAAACTCTTTATTCAGTGCAATTGATCATAAGAAAATTAAAGCTAGTAAAAATGTTCCTTTTAGCCTTATGACTACTTACCCTGTCATTACCATCTTTTATTTCTCTCTCTCTCTTCCTCTCCCTCCATCACTCTCCCTCTCTCTCTCTCTGTCTCTCTCTGCCTCCCTCTCTCTCACATACACACAAGCACTCACACATACTTATATTGAAAGTTCAAGATCATATAACCTCCTTAATCACCCCTTTGCCTAAGCTTAGACCCAGTAATGAGAACTTCCAGAGCATCAATTCTCCCTATCATTTCAGAGAAAACATTTTTTCTGTTTAAGAGTCACTTAAAAAAAAAATGATTACAAATTTTGCTTTAGATTCATGGGATACATGTCCAGGTTTGTTACTTGGGTATATCATGTGATGGTGAGGTTTGGGGAACAATTGATCCCATTACTCAGGTATTGAGAATAGTATCCAATAGTTTATCAACCTTTGTACCCCTCCCTGTCCCCTCCCTCTAGAATTCTCCAGTGTCTATTGTTCCCATCTTTATGTCCATGAGTACCCAATGTTTAGGTGTCACTTATAAGTGAGAACATGCAGCATTTGGTTTTCTGTTCCTGCATTAATTCACTTAGGATAATGGTATCCAGCTGCATACATATTGCTGCAAAGGACATAATTTCATTCTTTCCTATGGCATAGTATTCCATGGTGTATATGTACCATGTTTTCTTTATCTGATCCACCATTGATAGGCACCTATGTTGATCCTATGTCTTTGCTATTGTGAATAGTGCTGCAAGAAATATATGTGTGAATGCAACTTTTTGGTAGAATGTTTTATTTTCTTTTGGATTTATAACCAATAATGAGATTGCTGGGTTGAATGGTAGTTCTTAGTTCTTTCAGAAATCTCCAAACTGCTTCCTACAGTGGCTGAACTAATTTACATTCTCATCATAGTGTATAAGCATTCCCTTTTTTCTGCAGCCTTGCGAGCATCAGTTATTTTTTGACTTTTTAATAATAGCCACTCTGACCAGTGTGAGATGCTATCTCACTGTGGTTTTATTTGCATTTCTCTGATGATTAGTGATGTGGAACAGGTTTTTCTTAATATGTCTCTTGGCCACTTGTATGTATTCTTTTGAGAAGTGTGTGTTCACAGCTTTTGCCCATTTTTAAATGGGGTTATTTTTTGCTTTTCAAATTGTTCAAGTTTATTATGCATTCTCCATATTGACCTTTGTTGAATGCATAGTTTGCAAATATTTTCTCCCAGTCTATAGATTGTTTACTCTGTTGATAGTTTCTTTTGCTGTGCAGAAACTCTTTCATTTGATTAAGTTCCACTTGTCGATTTTTGTTTTTGTTGCAATTGTTTTTGAGGATGTAGTTCTTTCCCAAGGCTGATATCCAGAATAGTGTTTCCTGGGTTTTCTTCTAGCATTCTTATAGTTTGATGTCTTACATTTAATCTTTAATCCTCCTTGAGTTAATTTTTGTATATTGTAAAAGACAGAAGTCAAGTTTCATCCTTCTGTATATGGCTAGCCAGCTATTCCAACATGATTTATTAATAGTGAGTCCTTTCCCCATTGCTTGTTTTTGTCGACTTTGTCAAAGATCAGATGGCTGTAGGTGTGTGGCTTTATTTCTGCATTCTCTATTCTGTTCCATTGGTCTATATGTCTGTTTTTGTACCAGTGCCATGCTGTTTGGGTTACTGTAGCCCTGTAGTATGGTTTGAAGTCAGGTAGTGTGATGCCTCCAGCTTTGTTCTATTATTGCTTAGGATTGCTTTGGCTATTTGGGCTCTTTTTTGGTTCCATGTGAATTTTAGAATAGTTTTTTCTCATTCTGTGAAAAATGACATTGATAGCTGGATAGGAATAATGTTGAATCTGTAGATTGTTTTGGACATTATGGCCATTTTAACAATATCGATTCTTCCAATCTGTGAGCATGGACTGTTTTTTCATTTGTTTGTGTCATCTTTGATTTCTTTCAGCAGTGTTTTATAGTTCTCCTTGTAGATATCTTTCACCTCCTTGGTGAGCTGTATTCCTACATATTTTATTTTATTTTATTGCAGCTATTGTAAATGGGATTGCATTCTTGACTTGGCTCTCAGCTTGAAAGCTATTGGTGTATAGAAATGCTACTGATTTTTGTACATGGATTCCGAAACTTTACTGAAGTCCTTTATCAGTTCAAGAAATCATTTGGTAGAGTCTTTAGGGTTTTCTACATATGGAATCACATCATCAGCAAAGAAAGATAGTTTGACTTCTTTTTTTCCTATTTGGATGCCTTTTATTTCTTTTTCTTGCCTGATTGCTGTGGATAGGACTTGCTGGGACTCACTTTTAAAATTAATAATAGTAGCTTCCTAAACATTGGAAGGCTCCTTTTCAGGTCTACATCTATAAAATTTAGTAAAGAACTAAATTTTTGTAGTTTGCCCTTGCTTACAAGGCATATTAACAAATCTGATGCATGTTGAAGTCCCAGCACAAATAGGAGAAAGGACTAGTATCTGCTTTTGCTGATAAGCAAACCCAGCCATGAAATAGATGATATACCCATGTCCTCATGGCTGGAAAATGGCAGAATCTTAGCCTATGCCGTCCACACACCAGAACCAGGCTGGGTCACATGTGCATTCTAGTGGGAGTCCCAGCCTGAGTCTGGTGACTTCCCCAAGCCTCCAGAAAGTCAGGGCTCCAAGCAATTTGTACAGTGTTCATGCCACTGCTTAAAACTTCCCAGTCCCAAATTACTAAATGTGTAAACTTTTTAGATCTTAAAGCTTACGTAGCAAATAGCTTTCTCTTGAAAACCACTCCATAAATTCTAGGGAAAAGTCTTCTGGATTTGTGTTCATGCTGTGACTTTTCTGTAAAAATCAGGTAGCAGATACTTTGACTTTGGATCTACATTAAAGAGATTGAATCTTACTTGACCACTCTTTGACTAGGCCAGTGTTCAGATTATCTCCGGGTTTCTGAGTCCTTTAAATATTCATAAAAGCATAAAAGGTCCCAAAATTAATCCCAAAGTAATTAATTCTCCCAACATTAATTTATTCCTATGTAATTATATATATAATATATATAATTAAATATAATATATATATGAAAAGCCTAGTACATATATATATGTGAAATAATAAAATCAATATTAGTCCATTCTCCTACAGTGGAAGCTTTTTCTGCATACAGGTGGATGAACCAAAAGAAAGCACTTCGTTCCAAAACCTACTCAAACTCCCAAATTGCCCTTCAAAACACGCCACACACACACAAAAGCAAGCATAAACACTTGGGTCAAACTCCGGGTGTTAGAAGAGAAAAAAAAAAAAAACAGAGTTCATATGTATGCGTGATGCTTCCTCTTCTCACTCATGGGTTCAGAGTAATTTTTTCACTTGCTAACTCAATGTCAGAGTCTGAGAGACAAAATTCAGTCTCAGCAGCCAGGGGACTGAGCATGTGATGTTTGGCAAAGCAATCATTACAAAGAAACCTCACTTTTAAGAAAAAAAAACCATGGATACCCTGAGGAGGCTTTGACCTGTATATTTGTTCTTTGATGGTAAAAAGGTATCATGATTCTAAAGACTCACTAGCAGTCAAGAATTTACTATAAGCCTTAATTTTAATCCCAATACAGGACACATTTTGTTGTGATAAATCCCAGTAGCCTATGAAAATTAATCTTGACTTCACCCTCAGCTTGGATATGAGGCAGCTTAGTGTAGGTTAACTCAAAGCAGGGTCTGGCATTGGGGTTCTTGGTCCCTCCCTTCTAATTCCGTGGCCTTAGATGATTGATGAAGGCTTTCTAAGCCTCAGTTTCCTTGGCTGTAAAGTGAAGAAAATAATAGTAACTCCTTCCAGAGTCACATTGGAGATAAACTGAGGGAAGGTGTATGTGTATATGTATGTACGTGCATATGTATGCACATAAACACACACAGGATTAAATATATATATAGACAAGGGCGCTTTAAAAACTGTTAAGTTCTATCCAAATGATAAGCTAATTTTAAAATATAATTTAGGCTGCTCTGTTGTAAGGTATTTGTTGTAATGAGATTTCTCCTTTACTAATTGTGAACTAATTTGCTCATAGAGTGAATAAAGTATTTATAACATGTTAGAATTAAAGTTGTCATAAATACCCATAAAATAAAGTTTTTCTCTACAATAGTAACTAGCTCAGAAAACATTAAGCTCACAAAGTGTATCCTATTGGATGTATTTTGAACAGAAATTTATGTATCGTTCTGACCACATATTTTAGATTTCACCTGTTCACGTTTTCCTTAGCTATATTGTGTGATTTTTGTATTGAAGAATTGTGGTGCAGTGGAAAGGTGAGCTTTGTAGTCACATAGGCCTGAGTTTTACAGTGCACTCTGACATTTCCTAGCTTTGTCCTTGTGATTAATTCACTTTCTATTGCTATCAATATCTAACAATTGGCAGACACTTGATATGCTCCAGGAAATGTGCTACATGCTTCACATACACTACCTCATGTAACCCCCAGCATACACCATGAAGTAGATACTAATTGTATCCCTATTTTACAGGGAAGAAAACTAAAGCACAGAGAGGTTTATATGCCTTCCCTAAGGTCACACAGCCAGTAAGTGACAAAGGAATGGAAGACACTCATGGGGGAAGCCACCTCAGGAGACTGAGTGCATCTGTAGCTCACACATGAGTCAGGACGTGACTGTCAAGGCTGAATGACACAATCATCATGAATTGAAGTCTTTTCAAATAGTATTCAGTGACATGAACACACAGTGGTCCTTGGTTGGTTCTCTCCTTAACCCTGCCGTGTTTTCCATTAGGCCCTGTACCCTAAAGGAAGGAGCTCTGCCTCTTTGCTTCTGAGGAGGCAGGATAGCCTAGTGGTTAAAGATGGGGGGATGCAATATTCAAGGGCATAAATTCTATTATGCAAGAAAGGTAACTTCCTTTTTCTTCCTGTAACAACTCAATTTCTGTTTCAAGACTTTATTTTGCCCAAAGACAGAAATCTTCATTTCGAAGTCTTTTTTCTTAGAAGTTTTATAAATTCTACTTGCTCTTCTCCCCACCCTATGGTATTCTCCATTTCCACTCAGGACTCATCTAAGTTCTGGAAAGCTTACATAGCCTCATGGCATGAGGATGAGGTGGAGGTAGGGAGAACATCTGGCATAAGTACAGTCTCTTCTTTATCCTGATATCTTCTCTTTCGTTTGTTCATTGGTTTCTGTTCATTTTCTCCCTTGGCCTCTGTTTAGTCTCTGTTTAATTCTCTGCCACGGTGCTACTCAGAATAGGGAGGCTCAGGGCCCACCACACTCACGTGCCTTGAGCTGGCTTTAAAGGTTGAAATTCAGTAGTAATCAGGCTTAGGGCCTCCTTCCTTCTCACTCTATATTTTCCCAATACCCACTCCCTTCCACATCTATGGGCTTAACTATGACCTATCGGCCATTTCTTTGATTTAATTCCATGGTTTCTGCATCTAACTAATTACTGATTTATCCTTTACTCAGTCAATAAGTGTTTACTGAATTGTTTTCATGTGGTAGGCACTGTGCTGGGGTTGCAGCTGTGAGTAATTAGAATAGGATCTGACGACGTGGAGCTTCTGTTCTGGTCCCTATCATCCTAATCATCCCTGTCACCTTCATCATCACCCCCAATGCCATCATAATAATCATCATCATCACTATAAGCCAAGCATCTTCGGAATAGTGTGTGTATATATATACATATACATATATATATATATATATATGTATAATCTTCACAGCAACGCAGTGGGATAGTAAGATTATTATCTGTACTTTACACATGAGGAATCTGAGGCACAGAGGGATTATGTCACTAAACACAGTTCACACAGCTACTTTACTATTAGAGCCATGATCCAATCTAGGCATTTTTGATCTGTAGCCCATAATTTAGATCACCCTGCTATACTGCCTCCCATTGGATATGTGGCCTAAAACATTTGCTTCTTTAATGTCTAACAAGTACAGTGGAGTTGATGTTCATTATGGTCAGGGGTCAGGTAGCTAAAATCCTCAGAGAGAGGTCACCACCATTGTAACCCTGGCCATTAATTCATTCAACAAACAGCTTTAACATTCTTACTATGTGTTCAGTATTGTTCTCAATACTGAAAAATACAGCAGCAAAGAAGTTCAGCTAACATCCCTGTCCTCATGGGGCTTACACTCTGGAGACTGGATGTATTATAAGCAGAACAGGAAATTTTAGGAGATGGTAGATACCAATTATTTGTTTTCTGCCAAGATTTAACATATGTATTTGGGCTCAGATCTGAAGATATTTCTGTTTGAAAATTGAAAATTCTGTTTGAAAATACATGTGTGTTGTATGTGTACCCTGGAGTCTATGAAAGTAAACAAGTGCCATCGAGAATGTTGCTGGGATCACTTGTAATCTTTCTAGTCTGAATAGTTAGGATATTCACGATACGTATATGAAAAAAGACTTATCTCTAGGATGGATAAACACCTCCTACAAATAAAAAATATAAAGACAGACATTCAACAGAAATAGAAGAAAGATTTAAACAAGCACTTCACAAAGTGATCAAAAATGTGTAAAAGGACTCAACCTCACTAATCATTAGAGAAATGTAAGTTTAAACCACGATGATATATTGCTATATATCCATCAGAATGGGTAACATTAAAAAAAACTGGCAATACTAAGTGCTGGTGAAGATGTGAATTAACTAGATCTCTCATACCTTGCTGCTGAAACCTAATTGGTACAAACACTCTGGAAAATTATTTAGAGCTATTAATTACAGAATCTCTCATTGTTCCTCTCAGCATAGATTTCCCAAGCATAGATATATACATGCACCAAAAGACATTTTACAAAAGTGTTGATAGATGCACTATTTGTTTTAACTCCAAACTGGAAGCCACACAAACATAAACAGTAAAATGGATATATGGATAGGGACATATCCACCCAATGGAATATTCTAAAACACTAAGACTGATGACATACACATGTCATAGAAGAGTGTCACAAATACAATGTTGAGCAAAAGAAGTCAGACACTGAAGAATTTATACCAAATGATTCTGTTTATATGGAGAGTAAAAATGGGCAAAACTGATATAGTCATGAAAGTCAGGCCAGTGCTACTTTTAGAGAATGAAGACAGGCTGCAAGAATAGGAGGCTTCTGAGTACAGGTCATTTTCAATTTCTTTAACTGCTGGTAGTAATGCGGTTGTGTTTACCATGTGCATACTTATCAAGCTGTATGCTTATGATGTGCTCATTTTTTCTATATGTATGTAATGTTTCAACAAAACTTTTCTTAAAATTAAGTTATGTACCACCTTATATTTCCTGCTTATCCTTCTGTTCTCCAAGGTTTCTCATGAAATTCTAATTCTGTTGAACTAGTTCGAGAGCTTCTCCAAGCCAGAATTCTTGCTGTTTCATCTTGTAAGCCCCCTTTAAATCTTCTTGGATCTAAATAGGGAATGAATTAAAAGATTTGCTATGGAAATTCTCATTTGTATATGTAATTGTGTAGCACAGTGCTTGGAACACTGTATATAGACAGTGAATTTTGACATGTGAATGAAGGGATGAATTAATGTTTTCTAAATCATATTAATCAATTTGTTTATTATCTACACTAGTATGCAATTTATTTGAGCCTAGGAATTCAAACTCTACTTTTCCAATGAGCACATTCCCCTCTGTATGCTTCTCTCCATGTCATGAGTGGTTGGACCTTTACTGAGTTGCTGCAGAAGTCAGTTACCCAATAAGGGATGCTTTGTTTACTTTAAATATGTGAAAAATGGTTTCATTCCTCAGGGGATTATTAATTACTGGTTTACTAATTACTCTGGAACTGATTTTACAGAAAAAAATCTAGGCAGTTGTTTGAATGAATCCTTATTTAAGTGAGTAATTAGTTGGATCAAAATAATTGACTAAATTAAGAAATTCTTTAATAGACATTATTTAGGTGTCAGTTTGATTTTGCTCCTGGTGATGTGTAACAAATCCATTGTGTGATTAGTAATAAAGCTGTCACTCCTGAAGGGATCTTTTTTAAAACAAAAGGAAAGTCTCTTTTGAGGCTGGAAAAGAACTCAAGTACACATAAGCTATGAATTATTTTTCACTTTGTCCTTAAACTTTAGATTACAGACAAAACTTAAAACAAGAGTCAAGGTACAGGAAAACAAGTACATACGTATTAACATAAAAACTCTGGTGGGGAGGGAATAGATATATTTCAAGCCATTTTGGTGTCAAGACCAAAGTAGGTGGGAGCCACTTCATGATATGCATTTCCACACAGGCATCTACCGAATTTGCACCTTTGTCAGGGATCAATTCAAAAGGTACCTCCTCTTCTCTGCCTTCTCTTACCCTCATCCCCTCAATTAAGTATTTAGTGATTCCTAATGCAGTGTTTTCTAATATATTGTGAAAATCCTAAACCACTCTTCTCATTATAATTTGGGTATTCACTGATAGACTGTGGCCTGCTGGAGTGATTTCTTTGTAATCTAAGAAAGTAGCCTAGTTATTGTACAGTGAGTCCAGAATGAGTTACTATTTAGGAGAGTCACATCTAATTGGGTCCTCATTGAGAACCCCTTTTCTACTTTGCGATTAACACAGTTTTTCTAAGATGAAACAGATCACCCTTAAGTAATAATACTCCTTCTGCTACATTTGGCCTGGGTGGTCCCGGATCCTCTGTTTGAAGGTGTCCTAGACAAGCCCAGGCAAAGGTTTTTCAACGGGCCCCAACTCCTGGGTGGAAAAGGTTCCTGTGCACCCGAGGGCTATGCGTGGTGTTGCGGGAGACCTGTCATTGCTGCCTGCCGCGATGCCAGGCCCCACGCTGGGGGAGCCACCCGGGTCCTCACCTGGAGATGTGGCTCTCTGTGGCGACGTGCCCTGACGTGGGAACACATGTTCTAACTGGAGATGACTTTAACTGCCTGAAGTCGAAAAAGGTTGTGTGTAATACCAGGTTTTATACTAACCCAAAATAAATTTTCTCTAACACGAGTTTTCAGACAGGTTGGCCTAATATATTAACTTCTGTCTGTGTTTTGAATAGTCAATTTCACGGTGAAATGAGTTCTTAATAATATATTTACCACCTGGGAAACATCTCCCAGCCATCTGGAAAGGAGAGGGGATTTAGTGCCTCCAAACAGAGATTGGATTTTTTTCACAGTTATTTATTTATTTATTTTTACATCAGGTAAAAACCGGAAGGACGACTCGGTTCCAGCATCACGGATGCAGGGGGCGGGGTGTAGACGGCACAGGTCCTGCGCATGCTCAGTGATCACTCATCCCGGAAGTCGGGCTCTGTCATGTGTGTCAGGACTCCAGTCAACGATCCTGAAGGACCAGCCTATGTTATATTAAGTACTGGTGGGAAACACAAAAATAGTACAGCCGAGTGTCCACCTCCTTAGTGATTTACATATCTATGGGGGTAGCAGACGTTAAAAGGTCAGAGCAATGGCTTTGGTTGGAAAATAGTGGATTCAATTCCTGATGTCATGTATTAGTTGTGTTGCAAATTGCTAAATCCCACTGAGCTTCATTTTCTGCATTTTCCACAGGGAAATAATAATGTCTATCTTTTGATGTTGTTGTGAGATTGGAGATAGTGTAGGTAAAGTGCCAGTATCCAGGGTCAATATGGAAGTGATCAATGGAAAATATGGAACAGAGGGAGAAAGTTAAAAATTCATGGTTGTGTGTGCGTACAATGTCATATGCGCACTCAAACTGATCTGATAGAAGATATTGGAACTGGATAGATAAAACAAAGGGGGTTTATTAGGTTTTGAAAAGAATAGAATATAAACTATAGAATAAGAATACAAAAAAACATTCCATCATTCATTCATTCAAAAAATATCCACTGAGCATCTACTGTGTACCAGGTATTCTTGGAGGTGCTTTGAGTGCATCTATGAATGAAGCAAATATTCCTGCCCTCTTTGGGTTTAGATTCTCAAGGGAAGAGTGGACAGACAATCAATGGTAAATGAAATAAGTAAATAATCTTTTTTTTTTTTTTTTTAGATGGAGTCTCGCACTGTCACCCGGGCTGGAGTGCAATGGCGCAATCTCGGCTCACTGCAACCTCTGCCTCCCGGGTTCATGCGATTCTCCTGCCTCAGCCTCCTGAGTAGCTGGGATTACAGGTGCACACCACCACACCCAGCTAATTTTTTGTATTTTTAGTAGAGACAGGCTTTCACTATGTTGGCCAGACTGGTCTCGAACTCCTGACCTCAGGTGATCCGCCCGCCTCGGCCTCCCAAAGTGCCGGAATTACAGGCGTGAGCCACCATGCCTGGCCTGTATATTTTAAGGTAAGTGGTTAGGTAGAAAAATATAACAGAAATGGATTAAAGAATTGGGAGTTTCAGGACCAGGGCAGGTTGCAATATTAACAGGGTATTTGAGGTTGGTGTCATTTATAAGCTGATGTTAGAGCAAATATGTGAAGGAGATGAGGAAATGAGTCGGGGGACATCTGGGGAAAGAAAGTCCACCTGAGGAAGCAGCCAGGGCAGAAGCCCTCAGGCCATGCTATCCTGCTCAGTGTGCAGCAAGGTCAGCAGTGCGGCTGCAGCTAAGTGAGTCAGGGGAGATTAGTGGGAGTTAAGGAAGCAAGATAACAGGACACCAGAAAAGGAGACTTATAGGTCACCATAAGAACACAGACTTTTACTCTGACAGTCACTGGAGGGTTTTGCCCAGAAGAGTGAAAGAATTTAATGTACACTTGAAAAGACTCATGGATTAGTTTGCTGCTATGTTGAAACTAGATTTGAATGGGTGTGAGCAAATGCAGTTGTTGGGAAAACAGTATGGAAACTGTTGTATGAAAATGATGGGAGGTCTGACCCAGATCTGTGGCCCAGGCCAGGGTGGTAGCAGTGAACCATTGGGAGATAGTCAGTTTCTAGATGTATTTCCAAGGTAGAGAGACACATGACTTCCAAAAGTACTGCAATTTGAGTATTAGAGACAGGGAGGGGGCAGCAGATCTGACTACAAGCCTTCACACCTGGACAACTGGAGGATGGACTTGCCATCAGCTGAGACAGACGATGAAAGCTGTGTTGGGGAGTTCAGGTCAGGCCTTCAGCTTTAAGGACATCGCACTTGGTGTGTCTGTTAGACACAGGTAGAGTTGAGAGTAGGCGATTGCATATACACTCCTGTGACTCAGGAATGTACCAGACACATGCATTGGGAAGTTGTGATACGGATGCTATTTAAAGCCACGAGGCCAAATCAGATTTCCCCCAAGGAAGTGAATGGGAAAAGGAAAAACGCCTAAGGATTGAATCCTTAAGAATTCCAATATTAAGGATTAGGTGAGCAAATGAGGACACAGAGCAGGACACTGTACAGGAAAATCCCTCAGGAGGCAAACCAAGAGCATGTTCTCCTGGAAGCCATGTGAGGAAGGCACATCATGGAAGGTGGAGTGATCGATCAACTGTGTCACACGCTGCCGATGGACCAAGTAAGAGGAGGTCTGAGGATCGACCATGAGATTTGAAAACAGGGAGCTCAGTGGCAACCTTGAGTCCATTTTCAGATGTGACAGCAAAAGAAAACTTAAGGAAGAATCTGAAGAGATGGATAGGACATTAACATTGAAAACTTTCATGAGTTTTTTCTTTCTACAGAGGGGAGCAAAAACTGACACCTGTCCAAAAAAAAGAGGTATATTTTAAAGAAGTGAAATGACCTAAAAATGAAGAATGTGTTTATGTGTTGATGGGAATGACCCCCAGAAGAGGATGTGAAACTGAACAAAGCCGTGTCTTCCATCCTACATTAGAGGGTGTGGGATCTGGTGCTGGCTCACTGGAGGACCTGGAGCGGGACCCTGGAAGTGCTCTTCTGAACAGTTTTATTTTTCTCAGTGAAGGAGGAAGTGAGGCCATCGGGCAAATCTGAGAATGATGGAGGGAATGTCAGAGGTGGAGGATGACAGAAGGTGTGAAATGAAAATGTTCATCTTGAGGAGTGAGATGGTGAATGAACTAGTGGGAAAGTATGGTCTTCCAGCAGTACAAGACCCACTTGAGGTTTTCAGTGATTAGTTTAAACTGAGCTAATTCAATTTATGGTCAGTTAAATAGATTTAGTACACATTTTTAAGACATTTTATAGGTCATGCACTGTTCTTGGCTCTGGAGACATAAAAATGACTAGGATGTTGTTCCTCTCCTCAAAGTCCTGCAGGGAGAGAGACTGAAATATGAAACCAATAGCTATAATAAATTGTAATAATTCTATAATTGAGTTATACTTATTGTTTGGGGAAGTACTGCCAAGTGTTGTTGCCAAATATAGTGACACAGCAAGATGATGGTGTTTTTCACATCAGAATCAGAATGTGGTTCTCCATAGTGACCTCCCATTTCCTCAATAAACATTTATTAAATGTTCAGCACTGTGTGCTAGGTGTTAGAGCTACAACGGCAAATAAGATCATTTTTGCACTCAAAGAGCTCACCATCAAATACAGTGATTTCCAACCTTGGCAGCACACAAGAATCACTTGGGCAATTTTAAAAATCCTGATGCCCAGGCCATACCCCAAACTAATAAGTCACATTTTTTTTTAACATTCCCCAGTATTTCCAATGTACAGTCAAGGACGAGAATTGCTGATCTAGGGTGAGAGACAGATAAGAAAACAGAAAATGGAAATATAGGTGTGATAACTGCTATCAGATAGGGAGGCACAAGCTACTAAGGGAGCCCTATTGAGGGGTCAGTCCTGAAGGTAGAGGGGCCTTGATGACTTCCACGAGGAAGAGCCCCCTGAGCTGAGTGAAGGGTGACTGGGGTCAGCGTGGGAAGTAGAGGAGGGATGGGGATTACAGCTGAAGGAGCAGGAGCGGCAGAGGCCTGGGGACTGAAAGAGCGTGTCCCACTCAGAAATCTGTGATTCAGTAGAGTTAAGCCAGGGCCACAAAGCAGGAAGAAAGTGGCAAGAGATGCCCAACAGCCATTAGGCAGGAGCCACACTAGAATGGGCGAATTCAAATTTGTTTCCCCACTACTGTCAAATTCCTATTCAAATACGACCAGAGAAACGTATGGATCATACAAAACCGGTTACCCCAACTTGCACCACATGAGCGAGCAGCACCTTGAGAGAACCTCAGTGGAGTCAGAGGTTAGAGGAGCTCCTTTACAGAGCTCTAAAGGCTGGAGTGAGCCACAAGGTGGTTTTAGGGCAGAAGTTTCTGAGCAGGAACTGGTCAGATCTTGCAAACCATTTTAATCGCTGGAACAGACGGTGGTCTTTTCTTTGGAACATATGAGTCCATGAGAAGGTGTTGTTAAGTCAGTTTTTCTCTTGTCTTATTTGGATTATAAGGGTCTGAATGAGCTCCTATTAAAACATTTTGAGTTTACAGTGTTTGTGTTGTGTGTCCTGGTTCCACAGAGTTTATCTGTTGTGAATTTCAGCACAGTTTTGCAAGTCGTGGTTTCCGTTTCATTTCTTACTGTATTAAGAAAATGTGGTGTGGTAAATAGAGCATCGAGAGGCAGTAGTCTCCCATAAAATATGGTGTCCACAAATCTGCTGACTCCTGAAGGTGACCTAAAAATGAACATTATCTACTAAGCATGTTCAACGCATCCAGGACAAAAAAATCTTGAACTGACCTTTTTGAAAAAGACATTGCAAGAGAAGTACATTAATTGAGTATATCAACCACTGAGTATGAAAATCCAAAATGTTTTAGGCAAACACCATTAAATTTACTATCTAAATTTCTAATATGAGGGCAAGCAAAGTGGCTCATGCCTATAATCCCAGCATTTTGGGAGGCTGTGGCTGGCAGATCACTTGAGGTCAGGAGTTCAAGACCAGCCTGGCCAACATGGTGAAACCTCATTTCTACTAAAAATACAAAATTTAGTCGGGCGTGGTGCCGCATGCCTGTAATCCCAGCTACTCAGGAGACTGAAGCAGGAGAATCACTTGAACCCAGGAAGCAGGGGTTACAGTGAGCCAAGAGGTACCACTGCACTCCAGCCTGGGTGATAAAGCAAGACTTTGTCTCAAAAAATAAATAAATAAATAAATAAATATAAAATGAAAAGCAAAATTTCTCATATGAATATTCCAAACATATAGGAAAATATGATGAATAATAAAAAAGTTGCTAGCTACCAATTTTCCTCATGTTGTAATATTTTTGCCAAATTTATTTCACACATTATTACTAGAGAAACACAACATTAATCTAAACTGAATCCACTTGTTTATTCTTCTCTAAATCCATTTTCCCTGCTCCTGTCTCCCCTCTCCAGAGGTCCCCAAAATTATGAAGTTATCAGATTTTTCTTCTCTAGTACATTCATATGTGTTTAAATAAACTATAATATTGTTCTCCATGATTTTGAACTACTATAAATGGTCTCAGTCTGGTTAGATTCTTCAGTTACTTGCCTTGTTTATGTAACTTCATGTTTCTGAGATTTGATTTATTCCTCTTAAATAGACAGATAGACCACCCATTCATTTTAATCCAATTTATGACTATTACCACTGTTTAGCTCTCCATTATTGCAAGACCTGTGGGCTGTCTCCACCTGTAAAAACAATGCTGCAATAAACATGCATGTATGCAGCTTGTGCACATGTGAGCGGGAATTACTCAGGGTAGGATAAAAGCACCTTCAACATTTCTAAATATTGCCAAACTGCTTAATAAAATGGTTTTGCCAGTTTAAAATCTCACTAGACTGCATGCGAATAGGCAATTTTCTGGGTATATAATGATATCTTATTGTTGTTTTAATTTGTATTTTCCTGATTGCTAGTGTGGTTGAACATCTTTTTATATATTTATTAGCCATTTCATTTTCCTCTTAGTGAATTGCCTAGTTTTCCTACCAAGTTCTTTTTTCTTGTTTCTCTTATTGGTTGGTTGGGATTTTATTCTCTTTTTTTTCACATTTTCGATATGAATTCTTTTTTACATGCATTGCAGTTGCAAATTTTTTCTCCCAGCCTGTGTCTCTTGTTTACACTTTATGATGTCTTCTTTTTTTTGTAGAGAACTATTTTTCTTTTAATAAACTAAAACTTTATTTTCTTTGATGAGTTTGTGGATGTGTGTGTGCGTTTGTGTTGGCATAAAAAATAATTTCCTACCCGAAAAACATAAAAATACCTGCTTATATTTGTATTCTAATAATGGCAAAGTGTTGCTGTTGGTATTTAGCTTTTTAATCTATCTGCAATTGATGTTTGTGTGTGATGTGAGACAGGGGCCTTGGGAGCATTTGTTGATTACAGGAATCTGCAATGTTGTTTCTTTCCTTAATCCAGTTTCCATTTGGTGTGGTTCTGTATTCGGACTTTTATCGGCTTCTGTTGGTTCATTTGTCTTTCTGGGGCCCATTCCACACTACCTTAATTCCTGTAGCTCTGAAATGCATTTTGCTATCTGGTAGGATGAGTCCCCCCATCCTACTCTTCAAGTTCATCTTAATTATTCGTGATACTTTGTTCATCGCTCTAAAATTAACTTCTAGTACCACACAACATTCTCTTGATATTGTCACTGAAGTTGTATTAAATAAAACTTATAGAATATTTTTGTATGAATTGACATATTTATGATGTTGTGTTTCTCTGCCCATGAACATGTTATATGCTTTCATTTATCTAGGTTTCACTTTTTTTGGTTTTCAATAGAGTTTTGTAATTTTTGCTGGAAATCTCTTATACATGTTTTATACAGTCGGTTATTCTCACAAACTCTATTTTTGTTGTTATTATAGTGTCTCTTTTAATTAATCTTTGTTTTTGTACAGTTCACATTTTAAAATTTCATTGATATTTCTATATTCATCTTATATTCAGCAACTTTTCTAAACTCACATATTAATTCTAATTAATCATTAGATTCACTTGGATTTCCTACATAGATAATCATATCATTAGGCAGTTTGTTGTTTTCTTTTCTAATCCTTATTATCTTCATTTCTTTGTCCTGTCTCACTATGCTGACTCTGACCTCCAACTCACTGCTGAATGAAGCAGTGCAAATAAGCATCCTTGCTTTGTTTCTGACTTTAAAGTGATTGCCTCTAATATTTTGACTATTAAATAGGAAATTTGCCATATACTTTTGGTGAATGCCCTTTTTGAAGTTAAGGAATCCCCTTTAGATTCATGGTTTTCTTTGAATTTCCATCATGAATTTATCATATTTTATTAAATAGTTGTTCTGTATTCTTTGAAATAAAAAACAGTGATTTTTTTCCTCAAAGTTGATTACACATTTAAGGAATTCAGTGAATAAATCTACTAATTACATCCAGAACCTGGCTCAAGGAGAATACCTCAGACAAAAATAAATGGAGGTTGGGGGAGCTTGTGTTTGTATTCTGGAATGGGGTTGGAGAAGAGCTCCTGACTGAAATGGAAATCTGTTCCTTCAATACCAGCACTCTACATTGTTGCTTCTCAGCGTATAGTAGAGCAGCAGCAGCAGCCTCCACAGGGTGCCCAGAAATGCAGAGTCTCAGGCCCTCCCCCAGCCCTACTAAACCAGAATCTACATTTAACCAGAGAGCCGGGGGAACAATATGCATAAGCAAGTTTGAAAAGCTGGTTTACATTGTCCTTCAAATACCAGAGGCGAATCCATTCACATTATCTAGTATATCTAATTCATCTCTGGAACGTAAACCAACTTTGCACTCCTGAGATAAAATTCCTGTCATTAAAAAAAAAATACATTCCTGGATTTTTTTTAAAATATCTTTTCTTGCTCTCTAAAACCACTGTAATATTTTAAAAAAATAAAAGAAAAAAGACAAAAATATACCTTTGAACTTAATTTGCTAATGTTTACCCGAGGATTTTTCCTTCCCTATACATAAGAATGACCTCTAATTTGCCTCTCTGGTATTATCCTCTTCTGGTTTTGAATCAAGGCAGTTCTAGATAAATAAGTGATCTGTGGAGCATTTCCTGTTTTTATCCTCTCCGAAACATTCCATTTAGCTTTTGAGTTATCTGTATCTTGTATTATTGTTAGGACTCACCTATAAATTCTTCTGTGTCTAATTATGGTTGTTAAGTTTTTAAACTTCTGATAACATTTTGTTTTAAACATCACATGTATAATTTGATTTTCCGTGCTTTAATTATTTCTTTATATATTTTCTTGTTTTCAAATTTACTAGCAAGCGTCATTCCTGTTAATTAAAAGACTCTGCTGAATTTATTACTATATACCAATTTGTTGTATCCCTATTATTGCTTGTTTATACCTTTTCTGTCTTTTTTCCTTAACCTATGTTAAGAGAGGCATAAGAGTTTTGTTGTTCTCTTCAGAGAGCTACTTCTCAACTTTGTGAATTCTCTTGGATTTTTATTGGTTTTCTAAGTCAGTAGTTTCTTCTCGTATTTCAAATTATTCCTTTGTTTTATATATTCTTTGGGTTTACTCTGTTGATCTTTTCTAATGACTTTAGTAGATGATCAGCTCATTAATTTTTAATCTTTGTATTTTAAAAAATCTCCCCTTAAATACTATACTGTTTTAACTCTATCATGAACAGTTTAACAGTTAATATTTTATTAATATCTCTTTCCAAATATTTTAAAATTATTGTTTGTATTTTAGATATGTTAAATTTGAGTATGAATGAAATTTGAATTTTAAATATAACTATTGTATATGTTATTACTTGCTCTGTAGTCTAAATAGTACATATTCCATGTGTACTTGGAAATGTATGTATTATTTATAGAAATCTGTAGTTTCTATAAGCACCAGCAAGCGTACATTTCAGAAATAAGGAGCTGAGGCTGGGCTGAGGAGGCAGGATTAGCAGTGTCTCTCAGGTTGGGAGCTGAGCCCTAGGCTCAACAACAGAAATGCAGTTATTTGAGGAAAAAAATAAAAAGAGTGAGGTAGAAAATCAGGAAGGGAGGGGCAAGGCATGGGAATAGAGCTGGAGCAATCAGGAACTGGACTGTTTAGCAAAACCTGCAGTGAGAAAGGTCTAGGGTCTTGTTAAGGCTCTGGCTTAAAAGCTATAAAGTAGGAACTTGATCATGATGTGGTAGCTAAGGTTCCTGCTTCTGTGACTGCAGATTTAATTTCAAATCTGTATCTTTCATTTAGTTGTAGGGACTATGGTTATCTTTTCTATAAAGTAGGAATAATAATTATATCCCCCATATTGAGGAATATGTAGAAATTAAATATTGAGGATATCATGGAAATTAACTAGTAAAGTGGTAAGTATTAAGTGATTACTCAATAGCAAACTCAATGAATTCCACTCTTATTATATATTTAAATTATTTTAATTACATAAGTTTCAATTCTTATTAAATAAATTAAATTTAATTCTTATTAAATTCTAATAAGAATACCTGTAATTGAGAAGAAGTAGAAGGGAAGGAGGAGGGGAAAAGATGGTAAAGCAGGGAATGAGATGAGAGGAGGTACAGAAATAGACCATTGTACATCTGTGCAAGGATAGGTCCTGCTTTCGGGACCTGTAGGCTGTGGCCAACCTGCAGGAGGAGGCAGGAAGCTGTGGCTCATTTCAGGCAGAGCAAATGTGTAGGAATCCCACAGTTCCTTCAGGAATAGAAACCCAGCAATATTCTTCCCTCTTCTCCCCACTTGTTCTGGAATTACAATCAGGTAAAAAATCAGTCCAGGTTTGATGAACCATTTCTTACCTCTAGTATTGATTCCCTAGTCATGCCTCAGAGCTCAGCAGTAGGGAAATACCAAAAAAAAATAAAAATAAAATAAAAACAATAACAAATTGCAGATGGATGGGGAGCTCTGTTCACGCTCTGTGACTGGGGAGGAAGACATGCATATAAGGAAGTCCTGCTGCTTCAGTACCATCCCTCAATATCATCCTCAACTGTCAATACTTCAAATATTTTAACTGTATTTCCATCCAGTTGACGAGATTTAAAATTATTTTGAACAATGTATTCTGTTTGTATGTCTCATTGAGACCATCCTGGAGGCTGGCTACCACACATGGGAAATGTCCATTATGTATTTGTAACATTTTAACCAGTAAGAGAAACAGTTGTTCTCTTTATTCTTTATTTTATTCTTTTATAATGACGTTTGCTGAGTATCATGTAGACGTGGTGTATCACTAAATGGAATTTTATTAAGGGGTTCTAAAGTTCAGATATAAAGTTGGTATGAAAGAAAAGATATACTGAATATATACTTTTTTCTTCCTCTAATAAAAATTCCCTCTCCTCCATACAGGTCTAACTTGTGTATTTTCCCTTGGTTACAGCTAAACAATCTAACAGCTGTAGATGAAGACATGATACCTGCAGTAGCCATAACTCTCCAGTTGGAGTTTCCTTGATTTTTCTTATTAGATAGTTGATCCCGTTTTCTTCTCATCTGATAAGGTTAAACTGCAGCCATTTGGAATGCTTTTCATCTACATGAAAGTCGCCTTCCTGATGATGTGGTAATATCAATGGTAATATAGCATTCAGCTGCCTGCCAGGCTATGGGGAAGGTCACAATGGATATTATTACAGAGAACTCATCCCTCCCATGAAACATTCATGCTTTATAGCAGCCTCCACTTCACTGCTTCTTGAAGAGGTCCACTTCCCTTTGACCTTTGATGATGGCATTAAAGTGCATGCTCATTTCAAAAATACTATTAATAACTACCATTTAGATAGTCTTTATGTTTTACAAAGAGCTTTCACATCTGTCATCGCCCTTGGTTCTCATTCCAACTCTAGGCTGCAGATGTCAGATTGGCCCCAAATCGCACACCTAGGAAATATCAGAGCCAGAACTAAAACCCAAACCTTCTCCTCCAAGTCCCTGATCTTTTAATTACATCATAGTGCAAGTGGAGTTTCAACACTGTTTTTCTCACAAACCAGGGAGTGTTATTTGAGCCAGTAGCATATTATATTACTTGTCAATGTTTCCAGAAAAGGGTATCGTAAATAATTCTTTGCCAAGTGGATGACTTTTCTTACAAAAACAATTTTGCTGCTTAGAAAATTTGTTTTCTGAACTATAAAATAGGTGTATAATCATTTCTCCTAATAATGACGTGAGGCTAAATGAACTCATTACCGTTAGGATTTTTAAGCTTCCCTATTTTGGCTTATCAATGGCATGTTTCAAGCAAAGCTCAGTACTATAAGAATGAAGGATTTAGAGGAAGATAGTGACGTAGATCCTGCTCCCAGGAAAGACTGTAATTTGAGCACTTGTTCCTAATGTGTTTTGGGTCAAGTAGAACTATATTAGGCCATTTTTGCATTGCTGTAAAGAAATACCTGAGACTGGGTAATTTATAAAGAAAAGAGGTTTGATTGGCTCATGATTCTGCAGGCTGTCTAAGCATGGCACCCGTGTCTGCTTGGCTTCTGGGTTAGCCTCAAAGAGCTTTTACTCATGACAGAAGGTGAAGTGGGAGCAGACACGACAGTGGTGAAGGCAAGAGCGAGAGAGAGAGAGGGGGAAGTGCCACACACTTTTAAAGGACCAGGTCTTTGAAAAACTCACTATCACAAGGACAGCAGCAAGCCATGAGGGATCCGCCCCCATGATCCACACACACCCAACCAGGCCCCATCTCCAGCACTGGGGATTACAACTCAATGTGAGATTCGAGCAGGGCCAAATATCCCAACTATATCAAGAACTCTGGAATCTTTTGAGGACATTGACCCTTCCTGGAAAAGTCTCCACTGACAAAAATTATTGTGCAACATTTCAGAGCCCTTTATGGGTTAGCTAATGTTCATCTCTGGTTGCCGGTTAAGACCTGAGAATACATGGACACAGGAAGGGGAACATCACACACCGGGGACTGTTGTGGGGTGGGGGGCGGGGGGAGGGATAGCATTAGGAGATATACCTAATGCTAAATGACGAGTTAATGGGTGCAGCACACCAACATGGCACATGTATACATATGTAACAAACCTGCACTTTGTGTACATGTACCCTAAAACTTAAAGTATAATAATAATAATAATAATAATAATAATAAGACCTCAGATCTAGAGGCACGTAATTTGCACTCAGGTTGCTAAGTGTAGGTTGCGGTGACCATCAACAGTAACCTAATGCCCAGAATTAGCTTTAATTGCTTGCTAATATTAGTGTAGATGTAAACACTTAATTAGTGTAAATACAAATCATTCCATTGACAGGTAAAATGCACCTTAACTTCCACAGTTGCAGCTTTGGGTGTTTGGGTTAGCAAACTGATGTAAAGAATTGCCACACAATTAATAACAAACGAGGATATTCACTTAGGGCATTCATTAGGTTAAATTTGCATACTTGAAGCTATTAGAAGACATTAGCCCATTGTAACCAGGAGAAAAATAAAGCTAGCACTATCTCTTTGCCTTCCCCACTTCACTTGGCTCCAAGCTTAGCCACTCTGATGATACAGTGCTAAGAAGTCACACTTTTCTCCTTATAAATGACTCTTGGCCCCTGCAGAATACACATGTCTACTAGGGAGACACAGAGCTGGGAGGCTTTCGGGAGACTGGGGGTCGATTTCCTTTCCTTAAAATGAAAGTTTGACTTGTCCTTCCAAAAATAAGGTCTTTGTCTTCCATTTGCTTAAAGAAAACTGAGAAACAAAAAAGGGATTAGCTGAATTTCCTTTGGGTAGGTAGCGGCTGCTGATCAGAAGGGTCTAATGAGGTGAGCAGCAGCAATCAATGTTCAAAGGGAGGTGACGACAAGGTCACCAGGTCAGGCGGTGCCATCGGATTTGGCTGCGATTGTCTCGTCGATAAATGTCCTGGCAGGAAATTACTATAAACAAACTGCAGCATCTTTTTAATTCAGGTGTGGGCTGAGGCGAGGGCACTGACCCATAGGATTTCTTGAGGAGAAGAAGAGGCAGCAGGTTATTTCTCAGATTTCTTTCAACAGACAAATCTATGGAGCTGAGCTGTGTGTACAGAGATGTCCTGTTTTCCCACCTATCTTGTCTCGTCTTTGCAGAACATCATTCCTACCACTGCCGTGTTGATGCTGCTAGTGGCTGAGCTTGGGCCCTCCTGAGTGTCCACACCAAAGCTGAGTTGAGACTTGCTTTAGTCCATGGGGAACCAAAATTTGTCATGGTCAGCTAGCTCTTCATGTCTAAAGGAGAGTATTATGAGTTCAGGTCATATATAATTATTGGGGTCAAATGGATCTAAATAAGTTATTAACTAAAAGTATGAAGTATAGTGGGGGTTCCAGTATCCAAAATCTTTGGTATCATAGAGCAGTAGCATCCTTAGAATCATAGAGCTGTTGAATACTGGGCAAGGAAGGAGGCTTGGGAGGGTGTACAGTCCAGCACCGGCATTTCAGGTATAAAGCTGAAACTCCAAGTCATTAAATGATTCCCTGCTCATAAGTCAGCCCTCCCGCTAATAGAAAAAAATATTTTAATATTTTTGTTGTATGGCTAACATTTTCATTCACCATGGATTTTTATCCCTTAATAAATCTAAGGCATGACATTTCACATTCTGGCTGGTCTATAACATCACATGCCCTGGTGAGAATGGCGTGTGTGTGTGTGTGTGTGTGTGTGTGTGTGTGTGTGGCCAAGTGGAGGTGGACTCAGGGGAAGCCTTGCCTTGTCTGCAAAGCTTCTCCTAGCCCTTTGCAGAGGGCTTGGCATCTTTCTTCTGTGCCACTGATTTTTATACAAATGCCATTGCAGCACCTTTGAGGACATTCTGTCATTCTGTCCTACCAGGTAGTGAACTGCTTGAGGGTAGGAACCATAAATTAGCAATTAAAAATAACTGCCAAATGATGGACCAAAGCATGGCCCATAGATTATCTAACACTTTAGTAAAATAGGAGGCAGAGAAAATGACACAAGATAGAGAAGAAGGAGAAAAAAGCAAGGAGGAGGAAAAAGTTGTCATTTTCATAAAGAGTTCTGAAGAAGCTTTTGGTCACTTTGCATTTAATCCCCTAAATCAATTTGCCTGCCTGGAACCCGGGTCTGGGGTGCTTGCCATGTTGAGGATGAGCTGGCTTCATTTCCAGCTACTGGACTCGCAGATAGAATTGTCCTTGATGTTCCGAATAGAGAGAAAGGCAGAGACTGACAGAGCGGGAGTGTGGGGAAGGCTCCTGCAGGGACAGAGTGTTCTAACCTGCTGAGGCGGCTCCCATGGAGCCATGAGCTGCGTGCAAATGGCAGTCAGTGTGTGCTTTGAAGCCTCCAGCCTTGGGAACTTCAAACAAGGGGAGGACAGACAGATGATCTATGGGAAATTAACATCTAAAAGGTCTAAAATCTGTTCTTCCTGTCACCTTAATCTCCTGCCTGCTCACTGACAGTATTTACTTTCTGAACATAGTGAACATTTAATACAACAGAGGCTCCCACACACTTAACTTTTCTAAAACAGAAAATCTTACATTTCAATACAATCCATTTTAATTATTTTATTTCTTCACTGCATTTTGAACTGTTCCTTTCTCTAGGTTTTAGAAGATTTCCTTAAGGAGTAGAGTAAATGAACTTTGAGAGAAGAGGTAGGCTAGCAGGTGGAATGTCCTGCCACTGCTCTGGCAGCTCCATGGTCACCTGGCAGATGCTCATGGAATCATGTGGAGTAACAGTGCCTGCTGGGTCAGGGGCATGTTTTCTGCCTCTTACCTTTTGATTTATTTTGATTCCTGGAATAGATCAGCTCACTTTGAAGTATACCTAGGAAGGATATATAATTTGTCTATACCCACCCACCGATGGATTTATCCATTCACTCATCCATCCAACTATTCATCTACTCATCCATCCACCCATCTAACCACCCATTCATCCACTCATCAATTCATCTTCTATTCACCCACCCATCCATCCACCCATCCATCTATCCATCCATCCACCCATCCGTCCATCCATCCATCCACCCACCCATCCATCCATCCATCCACCCACCCATCCATCCATCCACCCACCCATTCATCCACTCATCCATCCACCCATTTATTCACCCACGCATCCATCCACCTACCACCCATCCATTTATTCTCCCACGCACCCATCCACCCATCCATCCATGCATCCATTCACTCACTATTTGTGCATTCAGGAAGAGAGTCAATCTACAAACATCTTTAGAGTACCTACTGTATGCCCAGAACTATACTAGATGCTGGCAATAAGAGAAGAATAATTTGTGGCTCTTCCTTTAATGAGAATATGTTCTACACAGTCTGAGCACCATAAGCAGACTATTTCTTTTTTTAAATTTCCAACTTTTAAGTTCATGGGTACATATGCAGGATGTGCAGGTTTGTTACATAGGCAAACATGTGCCATGGTGGTTTGCTGTGCAGATCATCCCATCACCCAGGTATTAACCCAAGAATCCATTCGCTATTCTTCCTGATCCTCTCCTTCTTCCTCCACCCCAGGCTTGGACAGGCCCAGTGTGTGTTGTTTCCCCCTGTGTGTCTTATGTTGTCATAATCTAGCTCCCACTTATAAGTGAGAGCATGCGGTATTTGGTTTTATGTTCCTGCATTAGTTTGCTAACGGCAATGGCCTCCAGCTCCGTCCGTGTCCCTGCAAAAGACATGATCTCATTCCTTTTTGTGATTGCATAGTATTCCATGGTATAAATATACTACGTTTTCTTTATTCAGTCTATCATTGATGGATATTAGGTTGGTTCCATGTCTTTGCTATTGTGAATAGTGCTGCAATAAACATACACTTACATGTGTCTTTATAAGAGAATGATTTATATTCCTTTAGGTATATAGCCAGTAATGGGATTGCTGGATCAAGTGATATTTCTGCCTCTAGGTCTTTGAGGAATCACCAGTCTGTCTTCCACAATGGCTATACTACTCTACACTCCCACCAACAGTGTCAAAGCATTCCTTCTTCTCCACAACCTTGCCAGCATCTGCTGTTTCTTTTTGAATGAGTTATACACTCCTATTTTGAATAACGACATATTTATTTTTGGCATAATTTTCTAGAAAGCTAGTAATACAGATTATACATTAGAAGGTCCTGGAGTAGATGCATGGTTCATCTGTAGTAGTTTAGGAAAGCAAGCCCAGACACATTGCAACAATTCTACTTACTACCCTCACAAAGAAAGCATTGGTATATTTTTACATCTCATAACTGAAGTCATCTTAGAATAAGGTGTTTTCTAGAGTGTTCCATGGGTAAAGGCCAAGAGGGTTTAATCCTAGATATGAAGAGGCTCTCTGAGCTGTCTTCATGGTAATCGTGGTCAGATAAGGTACACAGTGATTTAAAAAGACATACGAGTTTCTTCCTTTAGGGAGCTACCAGCTGAATGAAAAGGTACAGCATTAAACGACACCAAATTGTTTTTAAAAAGGAAAACTTCTTTTGCTCACAAGCACTGTATAGACAATAAAGAGATGTACAGGATAGCTGGGGAATTCGCATGGTGTAAAGTCAGGTAAAGTCTTTCCGAGGATGTGACATTTCAGTTGAAATCTGAAGGAAGAGGGAAAACCAGCACTGCAAAAAGCAGAAGGAAATGTACTCTACACCAAGGAAGCATCAAGTGCTGAGTCTTGACATCAGCATGAGCTCAGTATGTTGGAAAATCAAACAGAGGTGAATGTGCTTGGAGCCCAGTGTGGGAGGGAGAGTAGAGGTAAGTTCGGGAGATAGGGGAAAAATTAGGCCACGATAAGGAGTTTGGATTTTGTTTTAAGAGCAATGGGAAGACTTTGCAGGTTTTGAAGGAGAGTGAATATTTAATTTATTGTACAAATGCAGATACTTTTGAAATTAAAAGGGGCACTCTTAATCATTAGACCTGGACACAGGGCATAAACTGGGTGCTGCAGGTAACTTGGGATGTAGGTTTTTCCTGGTTTCAAGTAGTATGGAGACAAAACTTCTGTTTCTAAAAGATTGTTCAAACTGCTTAGCAAATAATACATAGGAGAGTGAGGGTGGAAATGCAGGCAATATAGACCAATGCAATGCACAGATTTGGGAAGGGAGGAATGAAGATGCGGATGTGTGGGACCGGTGCTGATGGGAACATCTGGGCCCTGTGTCTGTGAGGTGCTGAAATGCAGCAGAGTCCCAGTCCTGGACAGGGAACACAGGTGATCTGGCAATTCTAGATCATCAGAATGAAGAAGCACCACTTGCAGCTTAGAAATAGTAAATTTAGAACAATTTAAGCGGAGGACTTTTTACCCAGCAGGTAGTACGTACAAGAAACTTGCTACTCCAAGACGTGATTGAGACTCACAATCTATCAAGGTTAAAAGAAAACGAATGGAATGAGTTGCTAAGGGAAACTTGGTTATTTTGGGTATGTCCATAATGTTTTGATATTAATTTAAATGAAAGTTTACCACAGCCTCTCCATACCACACTCAGAAGCAATAGAGGACTGAAAACCTTTGTGGATAACTCTGACAATTTTCACATCTTAAATTCCCCACTCTACCAACAAGCTCAGATCTTACTCATTCCAGCAAAGAAAACAAAACAGATAACACACAAAAAAACAAAGCTTTCTTTTGTTTCTGCCTTTCCTTAAACTACCACATCATTTTCCTTTTTCCTGTTATTGCCAAATCTCTTGAAGTAGCTGTGTATGTACACTTGATAGCCTTCATTTTCTTGCCTTCTGTTGCTCCTTAAATCAATGCCTTTTAACTTTCATCCTAACAATGTGTTTAAAGAACAGTCAAAATTCTTCAGCACAGTGAAAATTCCTTAATATCAAATGCAATTACATTGCTCTTCGGATCCTTCTGTCTTGTTTGCAGCCCTAGGAGGTCTTTAAGCTCCCTACACATCAGAGACCCCCACCTCCCTGCATGGATTTTGACTTCCTTGGGGTAAGGACTGTGCTGGATCAATCCTCCATCCTCAATAGCTAGCTTAGTGTCTGACACACGTCAGATATTTATGAAATATTGTGGACTTGGATTTGGTTTAAAATGGCCTACCCTGTTCTCTGCCAGATCCCCACGCCTGAAGATGGTGAGTGTCCAATAAATGTTTGTTGAATACATGAAAGAAGAAACTCCTGGACTGATTAGACAGTCGCTGCGTATTTATTGATCCCTTCTAGGGCACAATACTGTGTTTGGAGCACTGGTACTTGCTGGGGTGAATAAAGTGAGAATCTTACAGCCACGGTCTTAGTTTCCTCATCATCCTTTCTTTCACTCTTTAGCAGCTTACAATGCTAATTTTTTCCACATCTCACTGCTACTGCAGAAACTCCATCTCTAAGAGTATGGAAATGTCCTTAAAAACATCATATATAATGACTTTTTCTTAGACCCCAGGAAAATTATATATTGCATAATTTTATAATTAAGAGACAGAGATCATCTAATCTAAGAGTCTCCAAATTTTTCAACGAATAATACTCATTTCTTAATCCCCGTAACACCATTTTCAAGAATATCTCACCAAAATTATATTCAGCAACAATTTATTTTCTCCTTCAAATAAAGGCATATACATATCTGTCCTCAAAGCCACTGACCAGCATTCATTCACAACTGAATATTTATTGAGTTATTATGACCCCAGTGCTGTGCTGGATGCCAAAAATTAAATGATGAACAAAGCAGATTCCTTTCTTGATCTTACGATCTAGTTAATGGGAAAAATCCAAGCTTCCCATACTAGTTTATGTAATACCAGCCAAAAGAAAAGAAATGTCTTATTTAGATTCAAGCGCCCTTTGAAGATGTATGTATTCTTTTATGCATGTGTTTGAAAATTTTAAAATATGCCTGACTACCTTGGAGGCTGTACTATACTGTGGGAATGTCCAGATGTGAAGCCATTCACCTGGTCTAATAGCCCATTTTACAGGCAAGGACGTTAAGGCCCATCCAGAAAGCTTTATCATAGCTTGCTAAGGATCACACATCTAAGCAATGATAAAACTGGGGCTGGCAGCCAGGTATACATTTGCAATCCTGTACTTTTTCCTTTTTTCTCCTTTGATAAAAAAGCCCTTGATCCTTTTTTTACCTTTTTATATAATCTTAAAGTATCTAAGAAGTTTGTTAGCCCTAGAACCTGTTTAACTTGGTTTAATCCAGCATTTTCCAAATGTAACTTACCCACTATCCTCTAATGTCACTGGGCAGTTGTCACCATCTCCTGGGACACAGGCCTTCCACAGAACAGACACAGGTCAACACTGACCCAGATAGTGAAGTTCTAACTCCTTTACTTGTCGTTGAAGTCTCCTAACCCCAATGTTGCCATCTCTGTCTTCCATGACTCTATGCATCCTCTTCTAAAATTATACTATACCCCTGAGCTATTTGATTCCCTTCCCCGAATATGCCTTGCCTTCCATGGCTGTGTCCTTTCTCACATCATGTCTTGGCCTGCTGCAGCGTCCCCTTCCTATCAGCCCATCTCAGTTCCAGACATCTCTCCAGCTTCCCATTCAGTGGCCCTCAATGAGTCCAGCTGGAAATCATCATTTCTCCTCTCCCTCCCATAGTACTCACTGGCTGTACCTTTCATCTGGCAGTGAAAATGCATTACTCCTTGCTGCTAGTTCTCTTTGCGTGTTCACACGTCTTTTCCTGGGGATAGGAACCTTGTCTTTTTCTTTGTAACTCCCACAGGACAAGCAGTCAGGAAAAACGAGAAATTTGAAAGCTAGTCAGGATTTCTCCTTCTCCCTCACCCTCACTAAATGACACCGCAGATTTGTACATCTTTCCTATCTCCATTGCTAAAGCCTTAATCCTGGCCTATTATTTCTTGTTTAGTCTATGTTATTGTCTCCTAACTTGTCTCCTTATCTCCTGGCTCACCCACCTCCAATCATCCTCCCTGCACCCTCCTGCTAGATGACCTTTCTAAACTAGAAATCTGATCAAGTTATTCCAATGACATCTCATCATTTGCAGGATTGAGCTTCGTCTCCTTCAGGTAACATAAAAGACCCTTTATTGTCTGGTTCCTGACAGCTCTCCCCCTTTCTCTGTCTCCCCCAATTTCCTTCATACCCCTCTCTCTGCCTACTCCATCTCTTCCAGCCTCCGCCCCGCCCATGCCTCACCCTTCCTTTCCAGTCTACATTTTATCATACTGAGCTCTTATGAGGTTCTGGAATACATAAGTTGTTTTGTGATTTCTGTACATGCTATTGTGTTTGCTTGAAATGCTAACCCTTGCCTTCCTACACACTCTCTTTTCTTCATGCTATACTTTTTCATTTCTTTTCATTGGCTCTGCTTCTGTTAGTTACTTTGCGGAAGCTTCTATGAATAGGCCAGGATGAGCAAGTTGATTCTCTCCCTCTCTCCCTCTCTCTTTCCATTTCTCCTTACCCGCCCCCACCCATGCACATATTATTAGACACATTGCTTTGCAATTATTGAAATATTTATCTGTTTCCCCAGTTGGGCTAAGAGCAGAGGGGAATGCTGTTTGGACAATCCTTGTATCTCCGTCTTCTACTAAAGAATCTGGCCAATGTGAGGAGCTCAGTATTTTTTGAGTAAATCAACACATGTATAAATTGTCACCATTCGTAGAACCCAGGAGGTTTTCCGCACGCTGGTGGGCTAAGTGAATATAAAATCGGATGGTAAGTTAAGTGAGAAGAGCCCTGCAAATGAGGCAATAGCAGCCGCAGGTGCTTTGTTCTCACCTAAGCGGACACCGAGCTCACTGGCTTTGCTGAAGCAGCTCTGCAGCACGTTGAGCCGCAGCAGCTGGAATTGCTCTCGTCTGAATCCTCCCTTCTGGAATAGGGAACGAGGGAGTGAAAGACTAGCACATAATCTGTGGGGCTTAATCTTTCTTTGCAAATCCCCAAATACTGTGAAATTGGCAATAATCCAGGCAACTCCAAACTTCTGCTCACCAAATAGTCCCCACCCTGCTTCTACAGAGGGCAGCTCAGGTGTTTTAAATGCGGAAGTAGCTAGTAGAGAGCAACTTCACTCCTGTAACCTAATTCATTCTCAGCCTGGAAAATGGAACGTAAACATCACAACCTCAGCCAGTCAGAGTTTTGCCGCACTTCAGCTCCTAGGAAATCATTTCAATTCCTCAAAGTCTATTTTCCCCTTCAACATCCATCCATCCATCCATCCGTCCATCCATGTGTGCATCCGTCTGTCCGTCTGTCCGTCCATTCATCCGAGAGACACATCGGGTGTCTTCCTGGTGCCAGGTATGTTTCAGAGAATATGGTTATGTTTATAGAGTTCACAATTTAGTAAATATTTTGTGTCATCTAAGAGTGCTCTAAAAATCTATAATCCTGACCAGTAGAAAAAATAAAACTTTTGAAAATTAAGGTTTCAAGAAAGCTCTTATTTCTTAAAACTGTATAGAGGACTGAAAATCTGGAGCTAATAAAGACCTTGGTACGGTTGACTTTCCCGTATGTGCTACTGGGAATCCAGGTGTCTCAAGGGACAATTAAGAGTATGACTGCCTCTTGTCCCTTTCGAGTAGTCCTTTGAGGGTTGTTTTATCTTTCTCCCATTTTAACCATATTTTACAAGTCTAACAAGACTTGAGAGGGTGATGCTCTGAGACTTCACTTGTGTTCTTGAGACACATACTCGAGTGGGATCTTGGTTCCATTACTTTCCAGTTCTGTGACTTGGCTACTTTCTATAACCGCTCTTTCCCTTGGTTTCCTCATCTGGAAAATAGGAATAATAATAACACTCATTCTCTAGTGCATCCCATGGTGAATGCTAGCTGAAATCAACATATGTAAAAGGCTTTGCAAATGCCTGGTTTAACGGAAGTGCTCTACAAACAGTATTGAAGAGGATGATGTCGATTATGATAGTAAAAATAGATTCTGAGACACTTTGTATTTCCATTTTAGAAGTGCCTCCCCTTTTTTTTTTCTCCTTTTCTCTTTCTGAGACTATTAAAGGTTGTTCTTATCAGTAAGGGCAGCTTTTCCCCTTTTCTCACTTCCTCCCCACTCCCCCTTTGTCTGGAGGTTCCTTGGCAGAAAGGAACATGTGTTTCTTATATGTGAGTAACTCTGATATCTATTAGAGTCTGCTGAGTGCAGAGAGCTTAGTCACTCCTGGGGGATGATGCGTCTATATCGGGCCTCAGCTCCTATCTACAGCCTCCGTCAATGTCAAAAAGATTTCAGGGCAGGTGTGAGGTTTAGAATTGAGGGAAGGACAAGAGCTAGTGAGACAGCCTTCACTGAGAGAGGGACTGACGGGGCCCCCATGACCATCTCGTGTTTGGAGGGTCTCTGGAAGGGCTCCTGAGACTCAGCACACAGTGCTGCTCATGGCTGGGCTTTATTCCTGTGCCATGGTGAGGACACAGGGCTGGATCATAAGGGGTCAAGGCACAGGCAGAGTCTGAAGGAACCCATGTGAGACTTTCTTATGCTCTTTCCGTCCCAAGAGGGTCCCACAGAGCCCACTGTCCCTCCACAAAAATGCAGCAAAACATGTGGGATGTTTCTGCCCAGGGAAGCCCAGTAGAGACTCAGAGTCTAAGGTCTTAACTGGACGCTGGTCATATCGTCACCCTCTCCCTAGCACTTACTAACATACCAGATTCCCAGAAGGAAAATACGTATTCAGCATAAACCACATTGCTTGCACGGATAATCTAGGCACAAGGAGCCACGCTTACTAGTTAACGAACAGTGGAAACCTTCCTGAAATCCAAGTTTTCTGGTGCCAGCCAAGGACCAACCATGCAAGCAGGCCTTTCTAAGGGCAGCAGGTCCCAGGAAGTACACTTTCACCACCCCCTGAATTCTTAGCTACATTTCCTTGGTAGAGGTGATGGTGGGGCTACATCATCTTTCTGATTTGCACAACCTTCATGGACACACGTTTATCTCCCTGTCTCTTGCTGGCTACATACTTATGAAAAAGGCCTGGCTGCCAGAGGCATGATAATGCCAAAGACACTGATGTCCACAACTGGGCACCTCCTTGTGAGCTGGCATCACTTAGAATCGAGCCTGATTTGCCAGGGGCTTTTGCACCCTGTCGGTTGGCCTCCACTTCCCTTAGGGTGTAATCTTAGTCCCCTAGGATTTCTTCAGCCCTACCCCTGGCTTTCTGGCTTTCCCATGGGTATCCTGTTACTGAGAGCTGAGCATGAAGGGGACAGTGGAGTCAGAAAAAATATCCCTGTCAGCTGCCAAAAGAAGACATCATTTTCCATTGCATGTGAGCTCTATTATGAAGAGCTAGGAAGGGCCTACACATCAACACCAAAATATTAATAAAAAGAAGGCTGTACGGTCCTATCCCCAAGTGCTAAAAAGACTTTAGACCAATGTGACCTGTGGTATAATTGCACAATTTCAAGCAGCCTTTCTAAATTAAAACGTAATCCCCCAGCAGTGAGGGGCTTGGGTGGCCCCTCCCCCTCCCTGGGATTCATTTCTCTCTTCCAGGCCCATCTCTTTCCTGCCGTAAATCTCTTTCCTTCTGTCTCTCTGTCTGTTCATCCTTCTATGTCCTCTATCTAGCTTTTCCTTTCTTGATAAAAATTAAGGAAAAACAACTTGATAGATTTTCCGATAACCTTCTAGAAAGTCTCACCGGGTTACATTTTGCTTTAATAGCATTTAAGCCAATCTGCCTGATGTTGCTGTAAAGGTCAATTAAATTCACCCTAAAAATTTCACTCCTGGCTCATTATACAATTGGAAAATGAATTAGAAGCACATGCTGCCCCTGAGGTTTCTGATATTTCACTAATGAATATGTCTTAAAATGCAAAAAGAAAAAAAAAGAGAGAGAGAAAAGAAAAAAAGGTGTTGTAGGCCACACAGCAGCTTGCAGTGCTACCAGCTGGTGCAGAACATTGTCATAGGCAGTGGTCTGAGACTAGTGAACACTAGGTAGGCCTGTCTCCACTCCACATTCAGAGGTGTTCACAGGTCCCAAATGCACGTGGGTCTGGTCAGCTCTTCACCACTCCTCTGCACATCCAGAGCCCACTGTTAAACCCCAGGGGAGGCATCCAGCTCACCTGACTCTTCGTTGGCTGCTCTTAGTGCGGTCTCAAGGACCACAGTTCAGTTTAATATCAGCCTGAGCAAAATGTGATTCTGAAGGTAAATCTACAAGGATCTTTGTGGGCAGAGCACGTGTGTTGCAAAGCCAGGTCTCAGTTGATCTGGGGATTCTCAGACTGTCTGAGAATTTTAGCATTGTAACTGTCTGAGGAGAGAACAGCCCTGTGGAGGAGGGAACATGTATTTCTGGGTCACTCTGAGGGCACAACTGGGGCCAAGAGTACAGAGAACACAAAGTCAAGTTTGAGCCCGACTTAAAGAAGTAATTTTAACTGACTTTCTCCCCAACTCCTGACAAAAGAAAGCCATCAGACAAGATAGCAACTTCCTGGTCCCTGAGGAAGGCTTCAACAGAACTGAGCAACCCTATCCCAGGAGTCCATGTTTCAGGTGGAAGTCTCCTTAATTCATTCACTCATTTCTTCATTCTGCATATTTATTGCTGTGTCCTAGACAGTACTAATCTTGAGAATGAACACAATTGCCTAGTTGTTATGTATGAATCGAGGGTTGTTTTTTATTTTTGTTTGATGGTAAGGTTATATTTTAAAAGAATATACCATATCTAAGTCCCTAGTTTCAAAAACTGTCCTAAAATTCAGATTTTTGCTCACATTGGAGTTGTAAAGGACTTTCATGTTCCTCTTATAGCAAAGGCTGTGACTTTTCTGCTTTCATGAAACTGCAAACTGGTATTTATTTTAGGACAAGATGGCTCCAAACCTCGAAATATGAGTTATTGGATGTCTGTCTTCAGGTTTAAGTATAAACCTAGCTGAATTGACTAAAACATATAGAGACAATCTCTCAAGCCTTTCAGAGCGGAGAGAGGAAGTCTGGTTGCTATCCTCCATGCCTCACAGATGTTCCTATAGGATTTTAGGATTCCAGACTAGAAGTGACATTGAGGTCATCTCACTGAAGCTTATCCTGTCTAAAACGAGGAAGCTGAGGAGGCTTCCCTTGGGTAGTACAAGAACAAGACATTCTTCAGCCAGGGTCTCTAGACTCAAGAGCAGTGTTCTTTCATGGTACCATATTGACTTCCTCCATTTGCAAAATTGTGCTACTCACATGTATGGTGTTTTGGAAGGTGGAACCAAAATTTCTAGGAAGAGTGAGATTGCAAACCATCATCATGTGTGTTGAGAGTGGCCAATCAGGCAGTGAAGAAAGGGGGAACTGGTGAAGCCCTGGGCATTTCACCTCAGGGCTGCTGTCTCTGGCACCCTGATGGTGCTCCTCAAAGCCTGCTTCTGAAAGATTTCATCCAGGTGTTGTTGATGTTTCCCATTCCATTTCCTGGTGTCTCCATGTCCTTTTTCTTTATTGCAAACCTGGTGTCAGCAGATGTTCTTGGGGTCCTCCTGACTCCACTGTGCAGCAGGCTGAGTGCAGTCAGACTGTCATTGAGAAGTACTGTAACCTGGGTCCAGGAAGCGATGCTCCAAGTCACTCAGCCACTCCTCAGCATCACTGACACTCAGCATTCTAACCTTGGAACTGCAGAAATATAGTCGAATGCAAAGGCCATGAGCTAGAGATTCATGTTTGAATGAGGAAGGGGATTTCCCTTTCCTTCTTTCTAAACTGAACCTGCAAACCATAACATGGAAAGCTGAATACTGTCCTGTCTGACGTCCACAAGAGCGGGATATGGAGAAACATGAGCACAGACTCAGGTCCCTCCCTCCTCCCATCTGCCTTCTCTTCCCTAAAAATCTTCCACAGGTTCAGGATGTCCTGCTGCCAATCAAACATGAGCTCCCATGCCACATGGCTGGGGAGGACCAGCCAGCGCTTGTAGGCCTGGCAAAATTGAGGATGCATTTTGATTTACTCACATTTAAATATCAGAGCTAGTTTTGATGACATACTATGTAACTGAACATAATCAAGTTTCAGATAAACCAGAGCAGGCCCCAAAAGTGCACCTGATGAATTTCCTTGTAGAAATGGAGTGTTGGCAGAATAAGAAATGGAATGCATGGAGTGCCCAGCATAAGAAGTCGGGGGTCAGGGAGGAAAGGAGGGAAGGAAGGAAGAGAAGTGAGAGGCAGGGAGTTAGATCAGTCAATCACACAATTACCCTGAAGACAAGAAATAGAAGGACTATCTAATTTAGGATGTTATATATCCTCTTGAAATGTAAAGATTTAGACAAGAAAAGGGGCAGGGGAGAAAAGCAATCCAACGAAAGACGAAACAAATCCATCAGGGCAGGATCCATCAGGAAGGAAAGAGTGTGGAGCGACTCCTTTGCTTAATGCGGGCTTCTGGTCAGTCCCTGGAGCTTGTCATGTGACAGCAGGATTCTCCTGCTGCTGGAGAGCCTAATAGGCAGGATTGGTCCAGGAACTCCTCCCGCTGGACTGACTGGTTTCAATTAAGACTATCACAAAGGCTAATTATCATTTTAAACCTGACTCTCAGGCTCACTCTCCCTCTTGCTGTAAATGGATTGCTTAATGGTCCCAGTGCAAGGCTCTGAAACCCTGGAGGTTTCCTATTATTTCTTTGCCTCCAGCAGGGACCAGGGACTTCTAGAGTGTTAGGTTTCAAGGGAGAATAAGAGTAGCAATACCCTCTTTCTTTTTCACAGAAACAAAGACTGTTAGCATTGAGGGAATGTTCGATTTTGGTTTTGATATAGTCGGACCTTCTACTGCATGAAAGAGTTTCCCTATGTGCCACCTCTGACCAGGATTTCCTGGCATTGTTTGAACACAACTGGTGAGAGGGAGCTTGTTACCTCCTGGTCCATTTTGGACAGTTCTCATATTCAGAATGTCTCTCCTAATGTTGAGCTGATATCTGCCCTTTTTAATGTCCATGATTCTTTCCCAGTTCTGCCCTGTAATGTTTCTGGGCTTAGACAACTGACAGTCGACTGAGCCAGCAGGGCCTGAGCTTGGGAAAGAGGAAAGCTTGGCAACCTCTCCCGCACCGGCCCAGTGGGTCTCCCACCTCCAGCACCATTCTGTGTGGGTGTTCCATGTTCTGGAACCTGCCTCAAGTTGCCCAGTCTTTGTTAGATGAGCACATGCTTCATTTTCTGGGCTGTATCATGCGCTCTACCCTGAGACAATGTACAAGTCCCCAAAGGCAGGTATTAGTATCCCCATTTACAGATAAGAATGCTGAGGCTTAGAAAGATCGAGTAGCCTACCCCTGATCACATGGCTGACAAATGGCAAAAGCCAACACTCAAGCCCCTTCTGTTGGATCCCAAAGCCTGTTTTACTATGTCACACCAAGACAAAATTCAGAGTATACAGTTTGCCAGGTAACAATGTGCTTGTGAGCATAATATAAATCAATGTGTGAAGTTGGGAGTGTCCAGAAGACCCCTGAATGTGTTGTATTTATATGAACTATGTGATTGGTTACCACCGGAGCTATTCCAAAGGCAATCACTGTATTGTGCTCACCCAGCCTAACAATTCCCTTGTGCTCTGCACTTGATAGCTGGTTTAAAAATCAAAACCCAAAACAAGCAAACAGAACAATGCTAGCAGATTCTTAGTACAGTTGCATGCACGTGCTTAGCCTGGCCTAGTGGGGCAGGCTCCCTGCCCTCACACCCTGCTCAACCCTCTTATGCTCACAGGTGCACACACACAGGTACACACTACACACACACTCACATACACACCAAAAACACAGACACCCCACACACTGACACACCCCACCTGCTCTCACACGTTGCACACACACAAGCTACACACACATGCTACATACACACATGCTACACACACACCTCCCACACTCACACATGCTACATACACACATGCTACACACACACCTCCCACACTCACACATGCTACATACACACATGCTACACACACACCTCCCACATTCACACATGCTACATACACACATGCTACACACACACCTCCCACACTCACACATGCTACATACACACATGCTACACATACACCTCCCACACACTCTCACACATGCTACATACACACATGCCACACTCTCACACATGCTACATACACACATGCTACACACACACTACACACACACCCCACACACTCTCACACATGCTACATGCACACACACACACATGCTGCACACACATGCCTCACATACACATGCATGCCGCACACACACGGTGCACACACACAGCACACACACCACATGCTGTTCACACCCTCATGCTGCACACACACATGCATGCGTTGGCAGGTGCTTCCTTTTCACCCTTCTTTTTCCATTCAGCCTTGTCCCAAATTTACATGGGAATAAATAAAAAACAAAGCAAAGATTGCCTGTGGGGGTGGGGCTGTCCCCCTCAATGGCATCTGCAGGTTGCTGGCTGTGTTTTGCAGCCCGAGGCCTATTTCTCAGTCCCAGCTCCTTGGGGCCAGAAGCCTGGAACAAACCCAAGGGCAGGCCTTAGGCACGGGGACCTGCCCTGACTCCTCCGTAGGGCCAGGTTGGCCATGCCTTCAGAGCTCCAAATCCCAAAGGAATGAGTATGCAAAACTAAGACCCACCTCACATTAATTTAGTGGGTGAACTGTGTGTCTCCCCCTCCCCTGCAAATCTATATGGACTAAAAATACCTGCGCCCTCCATGGCGCCCAAGACTGCTGACAAAGGAATTTGCATTTGCAGTCAGAAACACCCTCGGATTATTTTTGAAATCACCTCCCTTACATTTTAAACAGGTTGGTGGATTCATCATTTAGGCTGCCACCAGGAGGCAGCTATTAAGAGATGTGACTGGGAATGGCATTTTTCTTAAAAAAAAGTGGCGATTTCACTACAATGTCGTGATTTTTTTTGGCTTAAAAATAAAATCTGTTTGAACCTAGGATTCTTTAGACAAACTGATATCTTCAGGGAAAGTAGATTAATAGGAAATGTTTTTGGAGGAACCAGGTGTCTTCCCAGTTCCCGTGGAATGACAGCAAGGACAGTGCGCGGCAGCCAAGATGGAGAACAGGGAGGAGGTGGGGGAAGGGGGCACTCCCTTTCCTTCTGGGCCTCTTGGACTAGGGGAGGGGAGGACAGGGTGCAATCGCAGGATCAATTAGCAGCCCAAAAGTAAATTAGCCAGGAAATTAGCTTTTCAGGTGTCCAACTGTGTGTCTTCTCAAAGACTGCAGTCCTACCCATCTGCTATTTACGCTTTGTGCAGGGCTCGGGAAAGAATGTGGTCCCACTTACACATCCAGCCTGCCAGAGAGCAGGTCTCAGGGATGCCTAAACGCAGTGGGGAAGTTGGAAGGATCCGCAAAGGCTGGAGTGGAGAGGTTGCAGCAAGGAGGAAAACGCTGTGTGCGTGCGGATGGAGAGGTCTGCCTGTATGTTTGTCTGTGTGTCTGGGGGTGTGTGTGTGACCGTGTGTGTCTGTATGTGTGTTTACGTCTGTGTGTATCAGTGTGAATAACCATATGTGTATGTGTGTGTGTGTCTGTGTGTGTCTGAGTGTGTGTCTACCTGTTTATCTGTGAGCGTGTGTACACGTGTGTATTGTGTAAGTGTATCTGTGTGTGTGCGTGTTTGGGTGTCTGTGTGTGTCTGCCTGTGTGTATGTGTGTGTACACATACCTGTGTGTGTATGTATGCATGTGTGTGTCTGTGTTTATGTCTGTGTATCTGTATGTATAACCATGTGTGCATTTCTTCATATGTATGTCTGTGTGTCTGTAGGAGTCTAGGTCTGGGTGTCTGTGTGTGTAAATGTGTCTGTGTGTATGTATATGCCTGTGTGTATGATGCGGGCATGAGATTTGCAGAGAGGGTGTTGGGGCACAAAATGAGGACTTGGTTTACACACAAGCACAGGCCACGGAACCCCACCACCAGCAGATGGAGCTGAAGGTACAGTTTTGCGGGAGGCCAGGCTGAACTGCCAGCTGTTTTGGTTTGCTGGAGACCTCAGAAAGAATGACCATGTTGAGTGGAAGAGCTATCTGCATGGAGAGAGAGGAAACCCCAAACACACCCTGGAGTCTTGCTTCTTCACTACGAAGCCAGTATTGTTTTGACTTGCTGATTGAATTGCAGGTGGAAACTAAATACATCGTACCTTGCTTTATTTCAGTGTGTGATTGGGAGATAAGGGTCCCCCTGTAGCCAGTTTAGAATTAGAATTTTAAAGTCTGGATAAACCTTAAAGAATCCAAGGCATCCTTTTGCTTTACAGATGAGAAAAAAAGGAGCTGAATTCTCTGGCGTTTTTGTTTCCTCGCCCTCACTCTGTCCAAGCCCCGCAGCCACCCACCCTTTTTTGTCCCAGTCTTTCGTATCAAAACCTCCCTCCTACCTCTTTTTCCTTCCTGTCCAGTACAGTCTTTGATCACCTCCCACCTGAGCTCATTCAATGGTCTCCTAACTGGCCTCCCTGCCTGTGGGCTTTCCGCACTCCGGCCCTCTCCACACCACCACAAGGTTAACCTTCCAGCCCAGCTCTGATTGTGTCGGGCTCTGTGCAGACCCTTCAGTGGGCCGCCACTGCCAGCAGCTGCAGAATCAAACCCGGCTGTAGCCTGGCTCCAATCTGGAAATGACACACCTTTCCAGCCTCACACTGGGTCACCTCTTTTGCCCTCCCTCTTCGAGAGCCAAACTGAGTTTCTTGCGATGTCCGTGCACACCCTGAGCTCTGTGTCACTCTACCTTTGTTATTGTTTTCTTTTTCAATTTGTCCTCGTCGTATTTTATTTCCAAATGACTCCTCAAATCTCCCCTTCACATGCTACCTTCCCTATAAGGCTGTCCTGATGACATCAGCAAGAAAGATCTATTTCCTGCTCTGATCTCTCCAGGCACTTCCTCTTGACCCCTCTGCTGTAACCTGGGCCTTTCACTGTGATTATCTGTATTCACATCCCATCCCTCTGTCTTGAAGAGACTCACCACTTTGTTTTCCCACTACTGTTGCATATAGGAACTCAATAAAGTTTTGTGGGCAAATGAATACAAGTATTTGACCTTACATACATTTTTCCCAGCTCAGCCTGCATTTGACGTGGTTTATGGTGGTTTCCTCAGCTCAGTCTTTCCCACTGACAGACAGCATGACCACGTGCAATCACCCCCCAGCCCCCCGCAATGTGCCTTCAGTATCCTCAACTCTCAATTGAGAACATGAGTAAAAATTAGTAGATTTCACTTTTTTTAATGTGTGTGCTATCCCCTAGCGTCAGGCAAGTTTATCTCCCGGGCCCTCTCCCTTCCTTGATGACTGGAAGAGGGAACAGGCGCAAACTCATAGCTGCTTCTCCCCGCCTACGCGCTATGACTTGTTGGAAAACCATTGTTTCAGAGGAGGAGTCCTTTCCGGCCCTGCCAGTCATTGTGTGATTTACAACAACTCCTTCTACCTTTCGTAGCTTGAAGACTTCCCCACTCTCCTTCGGGGTAGATGTGGAAGCAATATAAGAGTGAAGAAGTTCTACTGTCTCCGGCATCTGTTAACATTTCACTGGCTTCCCGAGAAATTGGCTCATCCTGTCCTTGCTCATCTTTTGTCCCAAGTAAAATTTAAAATTATTTCAGATGGCTTAGTCGATGCCAGCTTGTAGCCTTCCAACTGCTATTTCTAAAAATTTATGCTCTCATTTTATTTTATTCTTAGGAGGATGATAGACTTTTAGAAACAGAAGGAAACTTCAGTGATAATTCAGAAAATTTAATTTAATTGTAGATCTCAGGCCCAGGTGCCACTGTCCCATGCTTTCTTCCTTGTCCCTTGTCCTTCCTCATCTAAGATAGCTCCTGGAATTCCCATTGAAATGGAAGCAAATCTTAAGGTTAGAGCCTGGCCCATCCAGCTCTGAACAGTTACTGCTCTGTGAGCACGGCTCTCACTCACCTTTCCTATGCCTTAAGGACTTCACTGTTGGTACAGCTTTAAGTCAGCCGATATTTACTGATCACAGACCATGTGCTATGCAAAAGTCATCTTATTTCATTCACACCTCAGCTGTACAGAGCAGACGCTAATTTTACAAGATGGAAAACAGACACAGGAAGTTTAAGTAACTTGATGAATGGCCCTCACCTTCAGGAGGTGAAGCTGGGATAGAAGCCTGGGAATTCTGGCTCGAGTCTTTGCTTTTATCGAGTCCATTTTCATGCACTCTTGTGAAGGCAAAAGCTTAGGGGAAGGAAAAATAGTTCCATGCTGAAGTCACAGTAGAAAGAAAGTGGATGGGCTTTGGATTTAGAGACAGCTGAAATGAATCCTGGTTTTACCATTTACTTACATGATCTTGGGAAAGCTACTTTAATTTTCAGAGCAGTGGTTTCTTTATTAACAAAATGGGATAATAATACTATTGCAAATGAAATAGCACACTAACTGAAGTTGTATGTGTGCAATGCCTAGCAATGGCTCCTGGTTGAATATTGGGTGCTCTCTGAATGATGGTCTCTTTCCTCTGAGTAGAAAGCTTGGCAGCCCTTGTCCCGCCTGATGGGTGCCCCAGCCTGGTCATATGTCTGGAGCTTAGCCTAGCCTAAGGTTGGATTCCAGGCTGTGAGCCAGCGAGGGCCCTCCTCTTTAAGCAGTGCCCCTTTGTAGCTCTGAGCAGCTTCTCTCACCCCTCCCTACCTTTTCTGAGGTTCAAGGAATTCTATTCCCTTGAATCTTAAGGGGGAGAAAGTGCTGATAAAAAGACAACAACTTGCAAAATTTAGAAGCCAATTCTCAGAGAGAAAATGATTGAAATAAAACCCTTTTAGCACAGGACACAGCATTTCTCAATCAGAAATGAGCCTAAGAAATAACCCACATGTACTACCCAATACTTAATTTTCAAAAAAAGCTTATCTTCGGTCTCCCCACCTCCCCTAAAATGCAACATATTTGAGATGAAGACTCAAATGCGTCTTTTAAAAAATAGTCCTATTTCAGACCTGCTATAGTAGGTGTAGCAGAAAGAAGGTGGTAAGATTGGGTCTATTTAAGGACCTGACCTAACCTAAATACAGAATCTACAAGCTGCCATACAGAAGGAACAAATGTGAGAAAGCTCATCTGAAAGCACCATTACATTTTTATGAGACTGTAGCTGAATCTATTGTGAGTTTATTATCTGTTGCTGCACATGCAAAACACTACCAAGAAAGAGTTTGTGTGATCATGTGAGTGGGTATGCTTGTGTTTTAATCAGGGAGAACATGAAAACCAACATACGTTGTCCCTCTGAGTCTTGGCAGCTCAGAGTTAAATTTAGTGCTCAGTGGTGCTCAGTCGCCCAGCCCAGGTGGTGCTGGATACATTTCTTTCCTTGTTCATTTTAACTTTGTGTTCCTATTTTCATTTGTAGCTATTCTGCTTCATATATATTTTAACATCACAAGCTGTCTCAGACCCTTTTTCCAAGTAGGTGGAATATAAATCATGAGTAAATAAATAAAGCTACTGAGGCAATGAGTGACTTCTGAGGAAGTGGAGGTATCACAGGCAGGCAGACACAGCATGACTGAATGTTATTATAGTGTGGTTTATACTATGATGATACAACTATAGCTATTAGCGATCAAACATTGTTTATGCATTGTTGCCTCTTCTATGTTTATTAATTGATTTCTATAAGCTTACACAAATAGTTTATCAATATGAATACTTTGCATTTATGGGCTTGTTCTCTCCCTGTTAATCCAAGGAGATGCATGGAGAGAGGATTGCACCTGTTAGCTGCTCCTCTCTCCCTCCCCTCTAGAGACTCATCATGCTTTGTGGCTCCTGTAGGCCACCCTGCCCTGGGCTCCCTGGGGAAGTCTTTCTTCCTTTTCTTTCTGCATTTGCCACTGTTGGTCCCCTAGGTCTTTCCTTTGTCATCAGGTACTGTGTCTTCTCTTCCTTGTTTCCCTGCAGCTCCTGCAGTTTCTCCCTATGAAGAATAAAGAGCTTCAGCCAATTTCAGTCCTAAAATTTGGAGGAATGTGTCAGTATCTTCAAGGGATTTCCAAGCTCTTCCTGAAGACATGCTGTGTACACATGTCTTCATGTACACTCCCTTGCCACATTCAGGAGTTTCATTTATTCTTTCATGCTACTGGATTGTGTGTCAGTGCCTCTAAGACATCTTATTACCAAATCATTCTCCACTGGGTACAATTCCACCAAATTCCAGCCACCCTCAATCAAGAGTAAAGCAGGGTCACGCAGATCTGGCACAAACTATTCACAAACAGGTGAGGAAACAGAACTCAGGAGCTTGGGCCAGCCTTTAATTAACCTTGAGAAAGTCCTCCCTGGAGTTTTACTATGGCTCAGCAGCAACTGGCTTTTGGGTGGGAAGTGGCAGAATGGTTATGCACAAGGAGAAATAGATATTGACATACTGAGGAATACTTAGATTCGTCGATTTCTCAGTGTCCTTCGTTCTTGTTGTTTCATTTGTCTTGATTCCCCAAAAGGGCCAGTGGCTGCCTCACATATTGGCTTGTTCAGCCAGGATCTATGATCATGTTTTCCACTTCACAAAAGCCATCCTGCTCACATTACCAAACAGTTACCTATCATTTTCTGGCTCTCTGTCAAATTTTGGTAAATTTTGCAGAAGCCCAAAGGAGTTGGTATATCTCTCTGCATGTGTGCATGTATAGTTGAAAGAATATGAATGGTGTATTTATGAGTATAAAATGGAATTGTAGTATTTTAAGAGCCCGTCTAATTTGGTGATTCATATTTTTATATCATTTGATAGTGGCTAGATTGAAAGCTGGTACCATTAAGATTTTGTTAAAGAATTATAGTATCATACTGTGGGGTAATTAGACCAGATTTATAGGGGACAATGTTGACACTTAAAACCAGCAAGAGAATGATTTATAATCCTTTATGCATATACCCAGTAATGAGATTGCTGGGTCAAATGGTATTTCTGCTTCTAGATCCTTGAGGAATCACTACACTGTCTTCCACAATGGTTGAACTCATTTACACTCCCACCAACAATGTAAAAACGTTCCTATTTCTCCACATCCTCTCCAGCACCTGTTGTGTCCTGACTTTTTAATGATCGCCATTCTGACCGGTGTGAGACACATGCACATGTATGTTTATTGCAGCACCATTTACAATAGCAAAGACTTGGAACCAACCCAAATGCCCATCAATGATAGACTGGATAAAGAAAATGTGGCACATATACACCATGGAATACTATGCAGCCATAAAAATAATGAGTTCATGTCCTTTTCAGGAACATGGATGAAGCTGGAAACCATCATTCTCAGCAAACTAACACAGGAACAGAAAACCAAACACCGCATGTTCTCACTCATAAGTGGGAGCTGAACAATGAGAACACATGGACACAGGGTAGGGAACATCACACACCGGGGCCTGTTGGGGGATGGGGGGCAAGGGGAGATACAGCGTTAGGAGAAATACCTAATGCATGTGGGGCTTAAAACCTAGATGATGGGTTGATGGGTGCAGCAAATCACCAGGGCACATGTACAGCTATGTAGCAAACCTGCACGTTCTGCACATGTATCCCAGAACTTAAAGTGTGTGTGTGTGTGTGTATATATATACATATATATATACCGTATATATATACATATATATATACCGTATATATATACATATATATATACCGTATATATATACATATATATATACACATATATATATACACACATATATATACACATATATATATACACACATATATATACACACATATATATATATACACACACACACTTTTAATGTATATATATCAGCTGATACATATATATCAGAATGGCGATCATTAAAAAGTCAGGAAACAACAGGTGCTATCTCTCCCCTTGCCCCCATCCCCCAACAGGCCCCAGTGTGTGATATTCCCCACCCTGTGTCCATGTGTTCTCATTGTTCAGCTCCCACTTATGAGTGAGAACATGCAGTGTTTGGTTTTCTGCTCCTGTGTTAGTTTGCTGAGAATGATGGTTTCCAGCTTTTATATATATATTATATATTATATATTATATATATTATATTTACATATAATATATTTATATAATATAATATAATATATATATATATATATATATATATATATATATATATCAGCAACAGGGTGTTAGTCCCAAGCCTTGATGGTTGCTTCAATGTGAAAAGAAAATAAAAATAAAGGCCTTCTTGGTCTCACCTGGGCTCCCACAGTTCAAGGTCTGGAAAGAGGTAGGTTGGGGAAAATGTGGCCCATCACCTCTCCTGCACACAAATGGGATGAGTCATTTTGACTGACAGTCCAGCAAGATGTGGAACAAGAGCTATAAATCTAGGGCATGTGGCATGCTGTGTTTTATCATGCTTGTCATCCTGGTTTTAAGTCATTTCTTTGAAGAGGAATTGTGTTCATCATGATGGCTAATTTTTTTCAATTGTTTTTAAAAACAAAAAAACCAAGCAGCAGCAACAACAAAATAACAGTTAAGACATTCTCCACTAAAGAAATATTGTTGCACACCGTATGAAACACATTTTAAACCCAGAGTTTATATTTCAATTGACTAAGTTTCTTAATTGTAACATTCAAATCTTACAGGCCCCAGTTTTGAGGGTGGTAGTTAAACCTTTACTATTTTACTATTTCTTGTGCATTCTCAGCCAAGGACTAGCAATTAGTTTAATAAAAAATTTGTCTTTTGCGTAGATCTATCTCTATTCCTTCTAAAACTGCCTAAATTGTTCTCTAAACTAGTTCATCTAAATGTAAGGAATAATTAGGATCATTTTGATTTGGTTAATCCAAAGATTAATCAGGGCTGTATTATTGCCAAAGGTCTTATTCCAGCCCAGGAAAAGGATCATAATACCAATTCTCAACCCTTATCAGTTGGATTTTCTGTACGAGGGATAGGTCTGCAGTAATGAGAAACTTAGTTGTGATTTGTAATTGAAGAGAGTTTTTCTATTAACTAACTATGTAAAGAACAAACTCAGGAAGGCGAGGGCTGAGGTCCCCTTCTTGGTGCCTATTTGTATGACGGGGCCTGATGGGGCAGCAGCCGGCCAAAGGCAAGAATAGAGACTTAAGCTGAGACAGAACTGGGGCCTTGTCCTGGATTCTCCACTTGTTCACTGCGCCTTGGAAAAGCTACTTAAACCCCATGAGCCTTATTTCATCACATATAGAATGGGTTTAATACTTTCTCCTTAAAATGTTTCCCCTCACTGTCTATCCTTCCTCACTTAATCAAAAAATTCTGGTTTATTGGTTTTATACATTGGGCTTCCTGGAAACATTTTACGTAGAGAAAGTTTCCCTACACTTTAAAAGAAAAAAAGAGATTGAACATCACTGCTTATAATATTTGGTGAGTTCCTTGAAGGCAGGATCTGTGAATTGTTTACACCTCTGTCTTGACAGCCTGGTTGAGGACCTGGTATTTAATATGGTAGGCTCTGAATTTTTGGAATGTTGAATGAATCAGTGAATGAGTGGATGAATCTATAATAATGCAGAAAATTTATGTTTTCATGTCCTTCAGCCAAGCACTGTTGTGCACTGTGGTGCTGTTATATTAGACGAAGAATAGAAAGTTAAAAAGAAAAAAGAAAGCTATACCCAAGGAAATCAGAGACGCCTTTTGTAGCATTGTGAAATGTCATGGATTTTAAGTCACAAGAAAGCAAAAGGATCCTTCAACAGTTTCTGTACACAGCCTTGCACAATGAATCGCATAAGAAAGGCTTTTGGTAATGACGACATTGAAAATGATGATGAGTCTCCCTTCTGTGGGCTTCATGGACACTGTCCTGGAGCTGGAAGTGGCCAGCTGGCAGGGAAAGAGCTCTTTCCCACTCATGTCTTTGTCCTTTGTTTATTCTCGATTACTCCCTTTAGTGGAAGGCTTTCCAAGAACTGTTTTTCAGTTCCTGGAGGCTGCAGCAGTGGCATCCTGAAGGGTGAGTGGTGGCAGAGGCAGCGAGGAGCCTCCCAGGCTGAGGAGGGGCCCAGTGCAAGGGAGAGTCGGGCCCAGGAGTGACACTCAACAATTTTGTTTTGAACTTCTCTGTTATTTCCAGCAAAGCGATTTCCGTGACATTTTCTTGTGGCATTTGAAGGGGGATAAAGTAGATTTTTTTTTCTTTATCATATTTTTTTCCTTTTCTCCCTCTCCAAAGCGATTTATCTGGTCTTTCTCCAAGAGTCAGCACTCCGCAGAGGCTAATCAACAGTGTGCATGTTGCAGAAGGAGGCATATGTGTGCTTCTCCAGCTGTGTGGGTGCCTGTGTACACACACTTGTGTGCGTGCAGTGAGGCAGCAGCTGTGGGCACATCAGGAGAAATCCTGTCACATAAAGCTTGTGATGAAGATGCCAGTGATAAACAAGCTGCCGGAGGCCCACTGGGTCTCCTCCACTCATCTCCCACCACATTCAGACTCTCTGGCTAGTGGATTATCCATAACCAATCTTTAATCCCTGGCTTGGTCTCAGGTGCCTGGTCCTATTACTCTCCTGATGTGTGATCATGAAAAGACCAATTAATTTTAATCTTAGCCCAAGCAAAATATAATTAGACAAATCTGCTAGAAGAATATCATATGAGGCATTTCAAAGCCAAAAGCAGGTCAAATTCTGCCATTGGAAGGCCAGAAGACAACGTTTTGTTTTCTCTTTGTGCAGTAGAACCACCATTGAAGAGATATCACTTATGCTACTCTCCACAGCAACCAGAGCTGAGAGAGGCCAGGTTATATGAGTGAGACAACCTCATTTTTTTCTGTCTGTGAATAAAAATAACAATGGCTATGCTAGAACCGTAGTGCAAAATGTAATGAAATAACACCTGTAAACTGTAAAGTACTATATGAGGAGAAGGCATAGTTTTATGAACACAAAGCATAACTTTTTTTTTTTTTTTTGAGACAGAGTCTCACTCTGTCACCCAGGCTGGAGAGCAGTGGTGCCATCTTGGCTCACTGCAACCTCTGCCTCCTGTGTTCAAGCAATTCTTGTGCCACAGCCTCCCAAGTAACTGGGATTACAGGCATGAGCCACCGTATCCAAGTAATTTTTGTGTTTTTAGTAGAGATGGGGTTTCTCCATGCTGTCCAGGCTGGTCTTGAACTCCCTGCCTCAAGTGATCCACCCACCTCGGCCTCCCAAAGTGCTGGGATTGCAGGCGTGAGGCACTGCGCCAGGCCCCAAGGCATACTTTTTACTGAATGAACACTTGCTGTGCTGGGATTGTGCCCAGCTCCCTGATCTGCAGCAGCCACTCTTTGGGACAGTTCATCTCCTCCCTCCTGTTAAGGATCTGCATTGTTCAGTGCCACCTGCCAGGACCTATGGAGTCTCCCCACGTTGGCTTTTCTCGCCTGGCCTCTTGTTTAAGTTGGTTTTGGGATTTGAAGGAGTAGGCTATCTTCAAGAGTGTGTCCACCAGGAACCTGGCCAGAATTCCTGACTTCAAAAGAATTCTTAGGAAGAGTCTCACATGACAATGAATGCACTCACAGAGCCGCAGAAACCCAGCAATTCATTCTTCCTGGCCCTGAGAGGGCCCTTTTGTATCTCCCCCACCCCTATTCCACCCAGGATGCAGCAGTCACAAAGCAATCATGAAATATACCCATCTCGGGCAGGCTTAAATCTCTGTTGGGTCTCCATTTTTCTTTCTTTAAACACTTATGGAATAAATGGAATTTATAATCAGAAACCATAAAATGTCTGATTTATTACTCATCTTGATGACAATATTTAATAACTCGTATATGTTTCATTGCATCTTTCTACTGCCCTGTTGTGGAATTTTACTTTAAGGGAGCCCGCCCTCTACGTCTGATACCACAGGAGAAGAGTCTCCTTTGGAGTCAGGGGCTCAGAGTTGCTGTGAGGGTGCTCAGCTCCCTCCAGGTGGGGTGGGAATCTCAGCTTCTCAGGGCAGGGCTGGCCTCGTCCCACTGGACGGTGTTCTCACGACACCTGCGATGGGGGTATGCCAGGGCTTTGTCACTGACTTCCATGCTGGAAATTCCATATTTGTAGATGAATTCCTTTGGTCCTTGAAAGCATTTTCTTTTCATGTGTTCTTTGTTACCATTCTGCTGTTCTCGGGAGGAAAACGTGTCCTCATTGAGTTTGGGGATTCTGTAATAAAGAGACATCCTGTGAGAAGGGGGTTGTGCCTAGAGTTGGGGACAGGAAGAAAGCTCGGGAGGGAAGAAACCGAAGTGGGATTCAAAGCGAGGCCAGCATGCTTGATCATTTTGCTTGGAAGGATGGACTTACCCTGTTAAGCTCCTGATCTTTTCTTTAATAAAAAATATGTCTTGGCCTGGCATGGTGGCTGGCGCCTGTAATCCCAGCACTTTGGGAGGCTGAGGCAGATGGATCACCTGAGGTCAGGAGTTCGAGACCAGCCTGGCCAACATGGTGAAACACCGTCTGTATTTACTAAAACTACAAAAATTTGCTAGGCATGGTGGCGCATGCCTCCCAGCTATTCAGGAGGCTGAGGCAGGAGAATTGCTTGAAACCAGGAGGCAGAGGTTGCAGTGACCCGAGATGGCACCGCTGCACTCCAGCCTAGGTGACAGAGGGAGACTCCATCTCAAAAAAAAAAAAAAAAAAAAAAAAAATATATATATATATATATATATATATATATATATATATATATATATAATGTCTTATGTTCATACAGCACTTTACAGCCTACAGATATTATTTCATTAAATCTTGCACTACCTCTCTGTCATAGCCATTGCCATTTTTATTCTTTAGACAGGAAAAATAGGGATGTCTCACTCTCATATAAGCTGGTCTTTCTCAGTGCTGGCTGATGCTGCACTCATGAGTAATATCTCTTTAACGATGACTCTCTCTTAAAATAAAGTGAGAGGGGAAGATCTTTGCCTAAGAGGAGTTCCCACCACCCCTAAATACTCCAGTGTTCACCTCCCCGGAGTAACGGCTCTCACTTCCTTGCCACTATGTACGCTGCCAATCAGGAAATTGACACTGATGTCAATACCACCTCCAATCCACGGAACTCACTCAGCTTTTGTCATCCATCCTGACAATGGCTCTTTTTCCTTTCTGGGCCAGAATCCTTCCCAGGAACACACTGAATTCAGTTATCATAACCTACAGTCTCCTTCAATCCAGAGCAGTTCCTTGGTCTCCTCCTACCTCTCAGCAAACTTCATGTGTATTCAGGCTTCTCATTCTGTAAAATGACCTCGAACCTGGATCTTTCCACCTTTTACTATGGCCCATCCCAGGGGTGCATCTGGGTGGAAACATCACAGAAGTGATGCTGTGCTTTCTTGGGGGCCTTCACATCAGGAAGCACAGCGTCCACCCGTCCCGCAGTGATGTTAAACCTGATTCCTGGGTCAAGTTAGAGACTGCCAGATTTTTCCACTGTATGGACAACTTTTTCTGGAAACAACATAAAAACATTGAAATTTTGGGTCATCTTAATGATGACAGCCCCACTCCCAACCACCAATCTTCAACACTCTTACTTTTAAACTGAAGTAAACTTATTAGGTGAATTCAAGAATATAAAGCAAAATCGAGGGTTTCAGAAAGGTGGAATGGAAAATAGTCCTGCTCGTCAGCTTTGTAGCACTATAATGTCTTGGGAAAAACATGACTGGCTTCAAAATCAAAACATATTAATTTTTTGAAAAAAATACTTATTTGAAAAATATTGATTTTTTTGTCACCTTTGAATCAGAAAGATTGGAATCTAGCTCCTGAGGTCTTGTGGATAAACTTCCAAAAAATCCTTGGCTCAAGCTGTGGCTCTTCTCTTGCAGTCTTAAATAGTTGTCCCAAATTCCTTTCCTCTTCCTAGATTCCATATATAGTCTTCTTTATGTTTCAATGGTCTGTGGCCTTAGAATCTTGAAGAGTTGAAATAATTATCTGTTATAAAAAGTGGGGTGTTAGAAGTTTTGTGTTTGTCTGTGTAGTGTTTGCAATTGTTGGTTTGCTTTTTGCTTTTACCACCTTCAAGGATTACAATAGATTTTACTGCATAGAGCCATAGTGGACAGGAGATAAGAGGCTGGAGACATCGAAACATCAACTTTCTTCTTTCTATTCCGCCTCCCTACCCTCTCCCACATGCACAAACACACATGTGCACACAGCCATCTTGGCAAATGGCTAAATCTCTTCCGACCCAGCAGATAAGTCATAAAACTCTCAATAAATCGAACCAAGAAGACTAGTTTTGAGATTGACTTTTTTCTCCTTTTTTGAACCACTGCTGAAGCCTTAAGGAGGCTGCAGCCCTTGCTGGTGCTGGCTCTGGCAGCAGAACTCCTAGTCATGCTCAGTTCCACAGCAAACAGACCTGGATCTAATGCTGAATTATAGGCTAGAGAAGGAGAGGACTCAAGGGGCAGATAATCACAGGCTATAAATACCTTCAAGGTAACAATGCAAATGAGGGAAGGGAATTGTTCATTTGCTCAGCAGGTGCTAGGACAAGGAGCACTAGCTTAAAGCTGAGGAAGAGAAAGTTTAAGCTGGGGATTAGCAGAGAAGCTCCTCACACAGAGAGTTTCCTGCCCAGGGCTCTGGACTTGGGAGTCCAGTGCCAGGTACCAGGGACAGAAGCATGATAAAGGCATTGGAAAGAATTCCTGCTCGATTCAAGGGTCACAGGGCTAACCCACAGCTTTCTGGTTGTTATCTATATTCTTAGGATGACATATACACACTCTCATTTGCCTCCGGCGTTCAATTTATAGCCTGGCTGTTCAGGAAACAAATTCCTCTGGTTCAGTTCCTTGTGGCACCTGGAAGGATAAATTCCAAATCTCACTCTTTTTTTTTTTCTTTTGCCCCCAAAGCTGGGGTTAGCTGAATTCATGATAACTAATTCTAAACTCTGATAGGTGCTAATCCCATATGCAAAGATATAGGGCTCCTGAACTACATTTGGCAGGTAGGGAACAGTCAGATGCTTAAAAGATATTAGCCACCACTGAAACAACATTCCAGTGGTAACCATTACTGCTTAAATTATTGTCTACTTTCTGAATGTGTGTCTTCATGGAACTTGCCAGAACCTTCCTATGGAGAGGAATCAGTGTATTCCCCCATGGTCTGCTTTCCTACACAAATGTCCATAGTTTCCACCCTGGTTTCATGGCTCATTTCCTAAGGAGGCCTTCGCTCAGCTGTGTCCAACCAAGTCTGGGCTCTATTGTTTGTGATTTGTCTTCCATTCCATTGCCCTCATTCACACGCGTTGAGTGCTTAATATGAGAAATTAAGACAATAAGGACATAGGCAAATAGAACTTTTCCTTACCACCCTCCTCTCAACGGTTTGAGGGAGCACTTCAGTAGTGAAAGGTACATGGATTTGAAATCAGAAACACCGAGTTCCAGTCCCGGATTGGTCAGTTTTTAATGATCGGGGTCATTGACTTGACCCTACAGAATTTCAGATTGGGGATAATAAAATCTACCTAAAATGTAATTGTGAGCTCTCAGTTACACACACACACACACACACACACACACACACCCCCCAAAGCTTTGACGCAGAGGAGCAGCCAATACTTTGTGGACACCAGCATGCAAAACACAGCGGAAAAAGTGCACAGACAGAAAGAGTGTGAGGCAGCATTTTACTCCTCCACTAAGAAAAGCTGAAAAATGCAGTAAGGGCATTTAGAAGAGAGAAAGATATCCCCACTTAGGAAGTACCAAAAAGGCTATAGGGTTGTCATATTTTCAGCCTACAATTTGTTTCTCTCCAATTATTGAGTACCTTGTCTACCTACTCTTCACTACTGAGGAGTAATGGGGGAACAGGACAGGTGAAGATGAGAAGTGACCTGCATTCTTGAAGAGACAGGGCTGTGGATGCAAATTGCTATTCCAAGTACAGGCACAGCACTTGCAGGACAGAAGGTTGCGGGGCTGACCAAAGGGTGTGCTGTGCCCATCTCCCTCTCCAGTAGAGAACAATGTCACACAACTTTCTTCTCTTTGCCTAACATCAATTAATTGCGATTTAGAAAATAGGGTGAAATCCAGGAAGAGCTTCACAGAGGAAGGATATATTCCAACAAAGGGCCCAAGTGAGTGTCTTGCCTGTAGGAAAAGGATAACAGCAGAATACATATGTACATTAGTCAGAATTATCTAGAGAATCAGAGTTGGTAATCAATAGGGTGTATGTGTGTATGTGTATGTATGTGTGTGTGTCTTTCTATCTATCTATGTGAAAGAGCGAGATTTGAACAACTAGTTAATGGAATTACAGAGACCGGCAAGTTCAAAATCTACAAGATGGGCCAACGGGGAAGAGCTGGTGTCCCAGCTCAGGTCCTCTGGCTGGCAGAATTCCCTCATCTTCAAGGCAGGTTAGTCATTTTCTATTAGAACCTTCAACTGATTGGATGAGGCTCACCCCTGTTATGGAGAGTAATCTGCTTTACTGACAGTTCATGGATTTAAATGTTAATCTCATTTAAAAACACCTGCCCATGACATCTGGAATAATATTTAATCCAATATCTGGATGCTGTGGCCCAGATATGTGGACACATAAAATTAACCGTCACAACATGATAGAGAAGTTACTTCATCACACTGGTGCTAAATACTGCTCTCTTTACATTCGGAGTATCTCGTGAAGAGAGTGGGGTTTGGACTGAGCCTTCCATGATGGGAGAAGTTGAGGGAAAATTCAATTCACAATTCCGGTGAGGAATGATGTATCTGCTGGATAGAAAAAGAAAGGGAACAAATATTCTCTGCTTATTTGTGATGGGTTCTGAGGCAGGCAACTCTTAGCTTAATTCAAGAGATCTTATTTACCATATTTAAACATTTAGGCTTGCTGCAATGAGCAATTGATAAAAGGTAGGAGTTTCTACTTCACTGTTTTTTTTTCTTTTCCTGAGAAAATAGGGAATAGGTCAAAAAAGTTCAGGAAAATAACGAATGAATGGGTTGAGGAGAAAGATCAGGCTGTGCAAAAAGCACAAGCAGTCACACTCCCCATGACATAAAGTTGATGACATATCCTGAGTGCACATTTCTACTGAGGAAGGAAAAGATGGCAGCACCTGCCAAAAGGACTTCTGTGCTCCGTAGCCTCACACCCAGAATATGACTCAAACCGTCCCCATGAATGAGAAAATCAAAGATTTTTTTCTTGGGCTGTTTGCTACTTGTCAAGACTTACACATCAGGACATAACCTTTTCATGCCAATTATAGTGCATCTTCTAATAATTAAAAAGGAAAAGTCAAAACACGAATATTTCATATTCAAAGGTCACGCTATCTCCAGTCTCCTTCCCAAAGCTGGAGACGGGGAACTGGTGGGCTTCTCCATCATGATGCCACAAAATCCAAACGGAAATCATGGCCACTTGTCTACAAGTAGGTCACCTCTTCTCTCTCAAGGCATCCAGAGCCAGAGCCTGTCCAGATCACAGAGAGATTCTCAGACACCTTTGAGTTATGGCCATAGTCACAGAGCCTCTAAATTAACAGAGAGGGAGAGAGAAAAAACAGCACCAGGTATATAGCGCCATCACTGTTCAAATGAAGAAACTGAAGTCTAGAGAGGAGTGATTTTCTTTTTGCGACACAACTAATTTGTGGCAGAATCAAGGCTCAGACTCAGTTGGTTTGACCCCCATACCGTGCACATTCTCTTTGGCTTAGTTTACGAACTCGGTGTCTGAAATATTAAAGCAAAAGGTGGTAGAGGGAAGATGACAAGCCAGCACCAAAACCAGGCGTGGTTTCCCTACTCCTTCAAAGGCAGGAGGCTGTAGTTGATTTTCAAGGTAAACTTCACTCCCCTACCACCCCCTAAAAGTAGAAAGGGCAGCATCATATCTTTGTACGTGGACAAGCCCTGCTTTTCATGGCCAGATGGCATTGAATGGGAGTGGGTCTTGACTTTTCTTTTATTAAAGGGATGCATGTTTGTGTGCACTGGGGGAGGAAGTGGCCATATGATAGCTACAAATAATAATATTTAATAGTTACTGAATCCTTAATAGGTGACAGGAGCTATTCTAAGCCCTTCACAGGGATAAACTCATTTAATCTGTACAGCAACCCTACAGACTAGATGCTAGTAGAGTCCCCATGTTATGGATAAAAACACTAAAAAGTTGGCTGGGCATGGTGACTCATGCCTGTAATCCCAGCACTTTGGGAGGCTGAGGCGGGCAGATCACCTGAGGTCGGGAGTTTGAGACCATCCTGACCAACATGGAGAAACCCTATCTCTACTAAAAATACAAAATTAGCCGGACATGGTGGTGCATGCCTGTAATCCCAGCTACTCGGGAGGCTGAGGCAGGAGAATCATTTGAACCCGGGAGGCAGAAGTTGCAGTGAGCAGAGATCGCGCTATTGCACTCCAGCCTGAGCAACAAGAGCAAAACTCCATCTCAAAAAGAAAAAAAAAGAAAGAAAAAAGAAACAGCAACACTAAAAAGTTAGAAGGTTTTAATATTCCCAGGTCTCATAGCTAGAATAGGGCAGAGCTGAGGTTTGTGGCTCCAGAAACAGTGTTCTGAACTCCCACACCACAGCGGCCATGTAGCTTTGGGCATCTGGAGGAAGTACCGCCTGTAACCACTATGACATTCCACAAATAAACAATCCTTGGGTCTAGCACAGGGAAACACGGGTCCCAGGGGAAACACCAAGAAGAGCACACAGTGATCGGAAATCATGGAAAGGGGGCCATTCGGGAAGAGGCTCGCCATCCTATCTTGAGCTGGTGATTGACAAATCCCATAGGAACTATGTCACCTGTGGGTTCCTGGGACAAAACACTTCTGTACGGGGAAAGAAGACAAAGGCTCTTTTGTAGAATACAATGGTTAATAATTCTTGAGTGCTTCCTGTGTGTCAGGGCTACTCTTAGCCCTTTAGGTGCATTCAACCTTCACAGCATACCATGAGGCAGGGGCAGTTAGTGGCTCTATTAGCTGAGGCACAGAACTTTGCAGAGCAAGAGCCCAGCATTACAGCTGGGTAACAGCTGATGCTGAGACCCACGGTTTGGGTCAAGCAGTGTAATCCCTCATCCTAATGTAAAGAAGAGCCTCAGAGTAGAGCAGGGTTGACAGAGGCCACGGCTCTGAGGAGTGAGTAGGTCTGCAGGTCTGTGAAGACTGGACACCACACCTCACCCGGGAAGCAGAGAGGGTAGGGTTTATTCATTCATCCAAGCTGAGCACCTAATGCATTCCAGGCACTGGGTATACAACAGCAAACAGGCAAAGACTCCTGCCCTCACAGGGCTTCCAGCTGGAGAGGAAAAGGTGATAAAGGGAAGAGAGATCCGGCATATCTGTGAGAACCAATCTAGCATGGTGGAGCCCTTCCCTCAAGCCTGCACTGGCTACACAACTGCGGGCAGGTGGGGGCCCCGTGGAGAGCCAGCTGACACATAAAAATGGCCTTTTGCATTTCTGCTGACATGTCGTCTGTATCTGATGGAGCAACGTCTTCATTATGAAATTAGATGAAAATCCCGATGCACAGGCTAATAGCATCCCACGCTCTTCCTCAGGGGCTGAGCAGCAGAAACTGCAAGAGCAAGGAGCAGAGCCAGAGCCTGCCCCCACCCCATCCAATTCCATTTTCATACCCACCTGTCATCTCCCCACAAACGTCATTAGTTCACAGAGGGGAAGGAGTCTCATTGCATTATCAGCCACCACAACAAAGGAGCTTTTTGTACTGAGGCCGCGGTTGAATTATGGAATAACTAGATACATTTGATACAAGAGGCTCCCTGATGGGACAGGGCTCCCTGGGGCCCAGGTTCCTTATCTCCAGTGCAAGTGTGAGCAGACTTTCTGCTTAGGAAGGCTGCACATGGTGGCCACTGAAGACCAGAGAGGTGTAGTTGATGAGACAGCAAGGTACGAGAAAGTGGGGTACGTCACTCTGATTTCTGCCTTGGAAGGCTCTTGGGTTCATTCTTTTCCACCCAGGGAGAAAGAAAGTGGATTAATACCTGGAAGATTAAGCACCTGACTCCCTGCCTTTCCTTCAATCTCCTAGTTTTCCCAAGAGACCCCTCTCTTCCCCACCAGCCCTGCCAACCAGTACAGTTTCAACCTTGCCGTTCTCTGAGGGCAAGCCAGGCACAAGCAAGGCTCAGTGAAGCCAGTGCCTGAGTTTGATTTAATCCTGTCCAGTTCACTCTGTCCTGGTTAAATGCTTTCTAGCCATCCTTCCCTGCCATGCATCTGTTTGTAATGGTTCACGCCATGAAAACCACCAGCTTCTATTTAATAAAACCAAGCCCCCACACTCCCACTGGCAATGGAAGGGCCTTGGACCTCCTGGCTGTCTCTAATTCCTGTGGCTTCATCCTCCTCAATGAAATTCTCTGCCCAGGCAGGCTGTGGAGGAGACTGCCTTGGCTTGGGAGCCTCTTCCCCGTTCCCCACCTGGGGATGCAATGGTTTTGCTGGGGCAGCAGTTCATTATCCAGTCCTGAGTTGAGTCACTTTTGCTCATATTTGCACTCTACCTCTAAAAAGATCCCTTCTAACTGGGTCTGAGGCACGCCTCTTGTGTTTATAGAGTAAACTGTCCATTTGGTGGCTGCTGTCTTGCTAACTCGGCAGGGATTGCTGTTTGCTTGTGTCTCCTTCTGTTTCCCAGGTGCAGGGCTACACTAGAGATTCAGGTGAGATCCCTGCAGAGGCCAGGGAGCTTGAGGGAGCTTTCCTACAAAGCTCTGACCATTACCCTGGTAAGATGACAGAGCCAAGCTTTGCTAACGATGTTTCTGTGCTTTTTAGCAGGGAGGAAGGGACGCTGTGTCTCCATACATCCCTGAGGAAGGGCTTGCTGGTCTTTATCTGTCCCGCTGGGATGATACTAAGACCTCTCATTGATAGAGTGCCTACTGTGCGTTAGGCACTGTTCTGTGCATTGTCTCATTTAATCCTCATAGTAGCTCCGCAAGCGAGCACTACCATTCTCATTTTACACCTTGTCTAAGGTCAAATAGGCAGCTGGTAAAACCCCCATCAGTATAGCTCTAAAGCCCCTGATGAATAAGTTCTGGAGAAGTAACGTACAGCATGATGACTACAGTTGATAACAATGTATTGTACACTTGAAATGTTCTAACAGATTAGATTGTAAGTATTTTTGTCACACACACCAAAAAGAGGTAACTATGTGATGTGATGGATATGTTAATTAGCTTAATTGTGGCAATCACTTCACAATGCATACTTACATCAAAACATCATGTTGTACACCTTGAATATATACAGTTTTATTTGTCAATTATATCTCAATAAAGCTGAAGAAAATGAAAAGACTGAGTGCCTGGGAACAAAAACAAAAACAAAACAGGAAATTCAGTGAATCCTGATTTCTAACACAATGAAACCCAAACTGTCTAGCGAGCCTTGTGGGCTTCTTTCTGGCTTCTTCTCCTGCCATTCTTCAGGCACAAGTCACTTTTCACTGTGTCTTACCAAACAGGCCAAGATGCCTTAAACCTCAGCTTCTTTGTTCTTTCTGTTGTGTGCTACAAATTATCTGATTCCGCTCTCCAATTGGTAACTTCCTACCAATTCTAAAAAAACTACAGATCCATCTCTTCTGCTAAGTGTTCCCAAATCCTTTGATCCTTAGATGGACTCATCTTCAAAATTTCAGACTTGTTAGATGCCACTCTCTTTGCTCCCATCGCACTGTAGGTAATGTGTATACACATCTATCTTCCCCATTAAGTTATGAGCCACCAGAATGCAAGCACAGGACCTCCTACTGCACTGTTGTCCTTGTATCTAGTTCAGTATTTGCTATATTGTGGTGGCTTATCAGATGATTATGATAGCACTGTTCTAGGCACTTTATATGAAGAAGGTACTATTATTGTCATCTTCAGTTTACAGATGAGAAAACCAAGGCAAGAAGAGAGTAACTTGCCACATTAATCCCTTTAGTAAGTGAAGGAGCCATGATTGAAATCTCAGCTTCTGGCTTCAGTGCCTATACTTTGAGTTGCTACTCAAAACTGCTTTCCAGTAAAATATTTGGTTAAAGAATATTTTACGAGGCCAAGCTGGGTGGATAACCTGAAATTAGGACTTCGAGACCAGCCTGATTAATATGGTGAAACCCTGTCTCTACTAAAAATACAAAACTTAGCCAAGCATGGTGGCGTGCGCCTGTGGTTTCAGCTACTCGGGAGGCTGAGGCAGGAGAATCGCTTGAACCCGGGAGGTGGAGGTTGCAGTGAGCTGAGATTGCACCACTACACTCCAGCCTCGGCGACAGAGTGAGACTCGATCTCAAAAAAACAAAAAAAGAATGAATGAGACCATGGATACCACCCGGCCTGTTTTGGAGAGGGCATTTCACACTGCGGAGAAATGCGTCGTTCATTCCCCTCCAGCTCATGACTCATTTTGACCCATCTGCCAGCCCGGATCTCCTGCCTTAGGAAGTGAGCTTGGCACAGGTGAGGGCTGTTCTCCTTTCGGTTCAGCCCCAGGTTTGGTTCCTTCAGGTCAAAGGTCACTGCAGCATCCCGAGACAGGTCTCTTGTGGTACCTGCCTTCCCACTCTTTCTCCCTCCTCCTTCCACTTCCTTGTCGCAGATGTAAAATCCTCACAGCCATCTCTGACGCTGCTAACCACAGGCATTCAGGAACAGTCTTGCTCCAAATCCTGCCTCCTATTTTCATATTTCCTGTGGCGTCTTATAGAAATAGCAGAACAATTGCTCATCCACAGGGGGTAAAGGGAGCAGGATTTTATATAATTAAATTTTAAAGTGACAAGTTTTTCCAGCCTGTGGGGTAGGTAGAGGGAAGGGGAGATGAGATGAAGACCTCCTGCATTTAAAGAGGAGCCTGGTCTCGGCATCGGCGACATAGAATCTAGCTTTATTCCTCTTTATTTTTTTTTTTTTTATTTTACCAGTGACAAGGACCGTGGACATAATTTGTACCTTCGGTGCAGCCTCTCTTTTCATTGAGCTGCAGCAGCATTGAGTGCTAAATGAGTCCCTTGTCAAAGGCTGCTTGGAGTCACCCACTTCCAAAGGGAGCGTCCGGATTTTAGGAAGTGTTGGTAATTTATTTCCATCTCCTGCACCAGTGCAAGAGAAAATAAAATGATGGTTCATCTCCCAAAAGGAACATTCTTAACATGATAAGGGACAGAGATCAGAAACATCTGTCTGTAGCAAGCAGGCCTGGAGTTTCCCCATAAACACAGGTTTCCATGCAAACCAAACAAAGGAGCATAAGATACAGGCCAGGCAGATTCCACTTCAGCTCCCAGATTGAAGTAAGTCTCACAGCCTCCTTCCTTTTAAGGTAGGGGACCAGAGGGCCAGCCTGGGCTCTGATGGCCACACCCCAGCCCATACCCCCAGCCAGGCTGGCCTCACACATCACGCCTGAGTGCACAGCACACACCACTCTCCAGCCATTTGTTCCTTTGATGTGTGCTAAGCAAAACATAATTACCCACTTTGTCATATTGCATGTGACTTTGACGGCCCAGTGTGTGGGCCTTTAAAAAAAAATACATTAGAAGGTCCTCAAGGGAAAACAGTGCTCCTTTTAGGGTTTGTTTCAGGACTTCCACAAGGTTCTAAACAACAGACTCAGTGGAGCCTGTTTGCCTAGTAAGGAGTAGGGACTTTGTCCTCACCGCCTGTCACTTACAAATAGAGAGAAAGGAGAGAATACGAACAACAGAGTGGGAAGTGCAAAGAGAGGCACATCTGAGGTTTTCATGAAGAAACTGGGGGAAGGAAAGTACAGGAACCCAAGAGGCATGGAGCACTGTAGCGCCCCTCTTTTGCATGAGGGATCAGTAGCATCCCTCTTTTGCATGATAAATTGTTTCCAAAACCAAAGATGGATGTCTCTGCAGGAACCCTCTCCCTCCACCTTCAGAAACTTCCTACTTAGGCATGCATTTAGCTCCTTTCCCAAATCCCTTGTATTCAAAGTCTCATTTCTCTTGTTCACAGAGACTCCTCCTTCTCAGCCCACCCAAAGCTCATCTCTCCAGCAGTGCACTCCTCCCTGACCCAATTCTCTGCTCCAAAGGAAGGCACCTGGCTACTTTAAGATAGCAGAAATATGCACAGCACACACAGGCCCTCTCTCTCCCTCTCTCTCTCTCTCTCTGTCTCTCTCTCTCTCTCTCTCTGTCTCTCTCTCTCTCTCACACACACACACACATATCCACCTCACCCCTGACCCTCAGAGACTTCCCCTCTTTGTAGAGACACACACCATACCCCCTGGAAACAGAGCTTTCTAAACACATTCTGAATCTACAAATGCTGCTAGGGCTCAGGCTGTGAGGTTCCTTAAATGTGAAGTCTGCTCATGACTGCAATTAATTGGCATTGCTGTGCTAATGGTAAGGCAGCCTCCTGTAATAACCACCAGCAGCCTGCTGAGTGCAGGGGGAGACAGTGGTAGGAGCTGAGCCCTGTGCGTTGTTTACAGTAGAGGAGACGAGGAAACTCATGAGCGCTCTCCTTTTTTGTAAGGCAAAGTTTCACAATTGGTTGGTATTAGCAATTTTCAATCATCTTTTATTAGTGCTAGATTGATTTTCTGGGTTTTTTTTCTAATGTATGAAAGCAGAATTCTCTGAACAACTTTCATCCCTGGTCAGCTGATTAAAAATAGCACCACTACCCAGTTGCTTATCAAGAAGCTCAGAACGAGCTCCTCGTGAAAAGCTCTTTGGATGGGAACAGATACTGTGTGCTGCTGATGGTGCCACCCGGACGCATGCTAAGTGAGATGGTTATCTCTGGGATGAGGTTGACTTGAGGATCCCCTACTCATTGTCTGTGTCTCTGGCAGAACCACTTTTGACAGTGGGATGGCAGGTCTAGGGGATTTGTCAGAATCATTCATTCCTTCAACCTTTTCTGTCCTCATTCTGGGCAAGCACGTCCCTGATTTCAGGGTGCAAATGAATTCCAGCTCTCCTCTAGCCTAGCGAGAGGAGAATGTGCGAATTTGTTTAGACTATGTCAGCTCTCTAGGGCTCATTTCCTCATCTACAACATGGGCACATTGATTTAGATGACTTCTATGAGTCTTTTCATCTATCAAGTAAATTGGTCTAATAAAAAGACTAAGGTCTTAGAAACAAGCTAATCCCTTGTAGGGAGGATACCATATGTTGACACCCAACTATATCAGAAGGCAGTGTGTTCAATGTGCTATAGGAGACACAAAACATTACAGGCATTCAGAAGAGAGAGATCCCTTCTCACTGGGACGACCAAAAGACAGGACTCCATGGAAGGGTTGCGGGGGCAGTCAGTCGAAGCGTGTCTTGAGGGGTGAATAGTGTTGATTGACAGAGATCGAGATGAGGTATAAGACAGGGTTGACCACAAGTTGGGGAAAGCACTTGGGAAGATGCTGTCCAGAAGTATGGGGAATCTAAATGGTGTGGTGACTTGACTTCCAAAAAAAGAGGCCTTTTCAAAAAGAAGAAGCACATTTCACGGGGCCACACGCTGCCAAGAGATCAAGGAGTTTAGCCATGACATCCTGAGCAAGCAGCTCTCCAGATGCATAGCAGGCCTCTGGTTCCCCGAGGACTCTGCCCACTCCACCAGTGGCCACTGGAAAGCACCCCACAGGGCTCTCTGCGGTGGGAGTTGTGTCACTGGTCCTTGAGCCTGGCAGTGTCTATAAATCCCATGTATTTTTCTGTGGACAACAAATGCTGCCTTTTCTGATATTCAGAAGTGAGATAAATGGCAGGCCTGTTACATTGCTCAGACATTTTGGACTTTCTTTCTCTCTCTTTTACATGTCCCATTTTTTCACTGGGCCTAATTCTTGACAATGGTTCTGATTCTCATTCGTCTGCTCCTGAATCATAGTCTTCCTTTTGCCCTTTGTAAATTATCTCTGTTATCCTATCTAAACACTTCTTACTCTCTAAAATGAGCCACAGCCTAGGGAGTATTTCTCAAGGAGAGAGGGTAGCTTCTTGTATTTATTAAGCTACAGCCCAGTAAAATACACTGATTTGGAGTTAGACGACTAAATTTGAAACCAAGGTCTTCCACATTCCACTATGGGAACTTTGTCAGCTGCTCCTCTTCTTCCTCCTCCCCTTCTCCTCTTCCTCCTCCTCTTTCTTCTTCTTCTTTCCTCCTCCTTCTCCTCCGCCTTCTTCTTCTTCCCATTTAAGGCTTGGTTCACTCATCTGTCAAATGGGACATGGTTCTGCTAGACAGGGTAGCTGGGTGAGAATTACATTACATGATAAAGTATAATTTATTCCGCAAATCTAACATTTTGATATCAATTATGGTTATTGTAACCGTGCAAAGAGAGAGAATCTTTCTCATTCTCAAAAGTTTATCAACCATTTCATGAACAAAGTAATGCGTGTGAATTACAATTGTGTGCACATAGTGCATCACTCCTCTCAGCTGTGTGTAATTTCCTTTGTTGTCAGGAAGCCCTGGCTGATTTCTAATTTAAAAGTAAGGCATGCAGTGCTTTGCCCCCTACTTTTCTCTGTGTATTTTCTACTAGATGTGGGGTGCCCCCAGTGCCTCTAATGAGCATTTGACTGCATTGTCGGCATGGTGCGGGATGGCCACATGCTGCCCTCTTGTTAACAGACTTGAGGGTGGAGGAAATTTAAAGACGCTGCTGCCTCCAAGCTCATCAGGTTCTCCTGTCAAGGAGCAGGTGACACTGTGGACTGGGCAAGAGGGGTAGCCATAGCTTTGACCTTGCCCAGGCCAGCCCGGCATCCCCAAAGAGCCAGAGCTCCTCCTGACAAGAATCCACTGTGAAGCGGGGCATCTCATTGCAGAAGGCCCCACAGCAGGGCCACCTCAGCATTTCAGCTTCCAGACAGAAAACTCTTCTCCTGCAGCCTGCTGTTCTTCCCTGGGAACAGCCTTGGCATACCCTTTCTCTCCCTTACAGCAGAGCTCTGAGTGTCACTTATGGAGCTAAGAAGTCACTTTGGACTTTGAGCTCTTGTTGGGGGATTCTACCTTGTCTGGAAGGGCAGAAGGAGGCAGAAAAACCAAGAACTTTATAGGAGAACAGCATATTCAGCCCGAATGTAGGATGTGGACATTGTGGTCTGGATTATTGGTAGGGTTGGGTATTAGGGCTAGAATTTTAAAAATGTGCACTAGTGTATCAATTATTTTGGGTGCTCAATTGTTTAGGTGAAGTCCCTTTGAAATTGCAGCATTGCTGGCCTAAAATATATTTGAAAGTGAGAATGTAGGAGGAGCAGAGGGGGAGCCAGAAGCCCACTCATGCAAATACAGGTATATAAATGAGTCAGTTTCCTCCTTCGTAAAGAAGAAAATGATTCGGAGTTGCTTTGTTGGCAGGTTAGCTAATGAGGGGGTGTTGTGTTAATTAACGTTGCAAAGAATAGTGAAAGCATTAAACTTTAGAAGTACCCTAGTGCTTCTAGGAGTATTATTCTTGGTGCATTAACAGGCTGGGTCTGCCAATGTCTATGAGAGTGAGGGAATAAACGAAAGCTGGAGCAGAAGGCAGAAGACGTGTGGACACAGCAGCACCAGCTCGGGGCTGAGTGAAGGAATCTCAAAGTACCATCTTCAGAGCTTTAAAATATCTTTCTCCCAAGGAAATGGAAATGGAATACTTTGGATGTTTTTGGTTGCAAGTAATCAAGCCCCTTACAGCAGATGCTTAAAAAGTGAGGGCATCAAGGAAGCCTGGAGGTGGGGTGTGTCCATGCTCAGCAATGGCCTCCAGGACCCAGGACCTCAGAGTTGGTCTCCATCATGCTCGGCATGTGAGATCTGCGTGTCATGAGTGAAAGGTGGCCACCTTTCTTCATCTCTCACACCATCACCTAACCATGATCAAAGATAGTAATCAAGTGGGCCTGGAAGAGGGCGCATGTTTCTTTTTGATGAGGAGGAATATCTAGTCCTTCTACTGTGTAAAGTGACCTGCATAGCTGCAAAAGAGAGAGAAAGGTGAATATCTGGCATTTTTAGCTTCTTTTGTGGGAGGCAGGCTTTGCCAGTAGGAAAGAAGGAAGGAGAGGGAAAGGCATTTTATATAGAAGTCAGCACCGAACACCTCTGTGAACAATGGACTTCTGGATAACAATCTGGTGTTTGTTGGGAAATACTCTGTGAGCACTGGGGGCAATTGTGCGGCTTCTCTTCAACCGCCAGCCACATGCTTGCCTAATTAGGAGACACGAGCCAGTTACTCTGCTGTCCCCACCTCTCCATGTGTTCAGGCTTGGTCTATAAAGTATTGGCCTAAAGGCACTTTCACCCATACATGGGTCATCCCCACCAACAGATTCACCCTGGATGTGCATATGGGATCCGCACTGTGGCCCTTCCACATAAGAAAGTAAGGGAGTGAAGACTTGGGAAGATTTATGAGCTCTGCAAAACTGGATGTGGTAAACTATGTGTATGGCAGCTCTGAAAAGCAGTACTGAGCCTCTGCTTGGGGCCTGACAGACATGGAGGCAGTTCTATTGAAACCCCAGGCAAAGGGCCTAATGAGAAATCAGTCAGATGTGCCGTGACACTGCCTAACCCACAGGCTTCCATCTGCTTGCACCCTTCGCTTCCAAACAGAGCACCAGTTGTGTTTGTTCAGTGACCAACTGGCTGTCCATCGCCTCACCTCCTCCAGATTGCAAACCACCAGCAGCAGCCCGGGCTCCTCCCTATCAAACCAGAGCAGCCCAGGGAGGTTGTTCATCCTCCTCCCTCTTTCCTGATGCATTTTTCATCATTAAAGGGAAAATGTCATTTTGGTGACAGATACTAGTATGATTGGTGTCAGGAATGAATCTTCCTTTCTCTGTCAGCCTTGCTTCACACAATCCTAAGACAATGTTCTGTTGAAAGGCCACTTCCATTTCCAACGCCAGCAGTGTGGGAGAAGAGCAGGCTTTGCTGTGACGGATGGGTCTGCCAAGGCTGGCGCTGTGCCAAGGGGTGTAACTGAAGCTCGACCCTTGCACACCGGGCAAGCCTGAAGAAGCTTCTGGGAAGCTCAAGTCTTATTTCTGGAGGGATTCTGCTGAGAACATATCTTAAAAAGAGAAAACCTGCAGCTCTATTCGGTGATTAGGTTTTAAGAGGTGGAAGAGTTGCCATCATCACTGATATATAGAGTCCCATAAATCCAAACCCGTGTATTGGAAAGCTGATCTGGAAATGAAGATTTTTATTTTCTGGCAGCAGAAATGTAGGTCAGCCTCTCTAGATCTTTTCCAGGTGCAGGCCTGGACCTGGCATGGGCTGGAAGTAACCATACATTTCACCCATACAGTGTGCCTCATCTGACACTCTGCATACCACAACCTGTTAGGACTCATTTACAGCTTCGTTTTCTCATGCATGAAATAAAGGTAATAGTACCTAGACTACCTTTCTCAATCACTGAGAGGTCATTTTATTTCAATGGATATTTGTTGAACTCACACTCAGGGTCATATACTTTGCTCAGTGTTGGGCAGGTACAAAAATGAACAAGAAATGGCAACTGCCTTCAGAGAGCTTACAACCTAGTTGGTAAGATCAGACAAATCTACAGTCCATTACAATGTAGATACACATACACACATTTACAGAGTTCTAGATTGTGAAATATATATATATATTATTTCACATTATATATGTGAAATATACATATATATGTGTGTGTGTGTATATATATACATTTCCTTTAAAATAATTGATTTCAACTAATAGAAAAGAGAGGCATGGGAAGCATTGGTTAAACTAATGTTTCATGGAGGAAGTAGAATCTGAACTGGTTCTTGAAACCTGAATAGGATTTAGAAAGCTGTGGATGGTAGGAGGGCATCTTGGCAGAGCAAAAGTCTGAGCATCTACACAGTTTGTGATATGCAGGGCAACTTTCCAAGAAGAACGTCTAGTCCAGGTTGATTGGGTCCTAGGATGTTACATGAGTGCAAAAATGAGGCCACAACAAAGACTAACACTATTTAATTAACTTGGGATACTTCTTGATTGTCAGTCTTAAGAGTTGGGTCTTTATGTCATAGGCAGGGGGAGCCACTGAAACTTCCTACATAAGTAAAGGACATCATCTGATCCCTGCCTGAGAAAGATAAAGCTGGCTTCTGCATGTGAAATGCCGTACATCTGCTATTCTTAACTTTTTCTAACATAAAAATCATTGAAAATATTTTATAATACCCTCATTACTGTGCAGAAAATAAGTTCACAGATAACATATAACACCTATCACATACTTCAAAAAATGACCTATATAAAGTCTGACTGAATCTGAAGGAGAAATAAATAGAAAATGATTGATAATAATATAAATGTAAAATAAATATTTGGATACAACTACCCCATAGGATATAATGAAGTATGGAAGCGTCTATATGCAGAATCACCATGAATGTGACAGCTAAGCAACAGTAGAGACCTGCTACAAGGATGTAGAATTAATTGATGACTCAATATTATGAGAAACATTCCCACTGAGTACGTGATTTTTCAAACTAGTGAACACTTCTTGGTAAAGATGTGAACAAATCAAACACAGTCTTTCTTTGACTTGCAGGATAGTTGCATTCCTGGAGAATTAGCGAATATTAAAACCTGGCAAGAATATCTGTGTTTACATGCCAAATGGAGTACATTTTAGGCTTTTTTTTTTTTTTTTTTTTTTTCTCTGAGACGGAGTCTGGCTCTGTCGCCCAGGCTGGAGTGCGGTGGTGTGATCTCAGCTCACTGCAAGCTCCGCCTCCCGGGTTCACGCCATTCTCCTGCCTCAGCCTCCGGAGTAGCTGGGACTACAGGCGCCCGCCACCAAGCCGGGCTAATTTTTTGTATTTTTATTGGAGATGGGCTTTCACTGTGTTAGCCAGGATGGTCTCGATCTCCTGACCTCGTGATCCGCCCACCTGGGTCTCCCAAAGTGCTGGGATTACAGGTGTGAGCCACCGCGCCCGGCCTAGGCTTAGATTTTTGAAAGAAAAAGGTTTCACTCACCTAAATGTCTGGCAGGCATTTGACGTCCGTGGCTGAATAGCCATGCGTTGCTGCGTCTCTAACCTCTGCGGCCTCTGTACACTAAACGGCAGCAGTACCTCTCCAATTATGGTGGTGACCAATATCCAATCAATTTTCCACTCCCACAATCCAAGGAGTGTGCCCTGCCCCTGTTAAGAAGCACTGACTAATGCAGAGGCAGGGTTGGAAGCAGAGAGATGAGTTAGGATTTAATTAAAAGAGTAGAGAGAGAGGGGAAAGAAAAAAAGCAAGAGAGCCTTGGTGGTAGCATTGGAGACTGGCAAGAAGGAAAAAAATTAAGAGGCACTGATCTACCAGTGAGCAAAGGGTTGGCAATGCCCTTGGTAAAGTTTACATCACTGTGCAAATATTGTTGCAGTTGGAGTTAAATGTCATCACACTCACTGTACAGAGATGGTATCTGAAGCACTGAAAAGGTGCAATGACTTTTGCAAAGACACAGCACAGGTCAGGAATTGTGTTAGACACCCAGTGCCTTAGAACTACACTTTTACTGTAATTACTAATGCAAAGGAGCTTCTACTCAGCATGGGAAATTATAAGCAGAAAACTCGAGTAGAGCAAATATAAAGGTAGAAATAACTTCTGAAAATAGTCAAATTCCAAGTATTCTATTTATCACCTCTTGATGGAACACCTGGGAAACTCTAGGATTCCAAACAAAGACCAATATTCCACAATCCATCCACTTTTTTTGTTTGCTCATACCTCTAAATATTCATCAGTAACATTTGAGACAAAGGAAAGAGATAATTATGAGGGGAGAGTTTTTAAAAGATATTAAAGGTTAACAGAATTCTTGGCATTTGTGTCGTGTCAATTTCCATGTAATTATGCTCAATTCCCAGAATTCAGTGTCAGTTGTGCCTGTTAATGCTTAAAGATGATATCCTTGGAAAATAATTTATAAGATCATTTCTCAAATATTTCGGATTCAAACCAAGCACCCTGGCTAATAGGCTGATTATTATTAATGTTATTCTTGGATGGAGAGTGCTAGGAGGTCGTAAGTGGGATGTTGGGATCAAAGTGGATTTGTTATGAGAGTGTGGTTAGCTATCTCTCCTAAGAGCAGAATGACTGTGCTCGAAATGTTTATATAACCTGATTTACAAACCTCTTCTATTTTTGTTTGATAAATAATAAGAATGTGGGAAAGCACGCCAGTTCTCTGGAATATGACTGCCTTTTAGAAGAAGGAAAGGGAACCAGTGCTGATGTCTGCCTGTGGGGAAGTATGACCAACTGGCTTTGTGGAAAAACATTGAGACGCACAGGCCTAGATATTTTTTACATGTTTATTCATTCGTTCATTAATTCTTCTCCCATTTATCATTGAATGTGTTTTACCTGTTCTTTGCTGAGATCGAGTGATTATAAATAAGACACTCTCCCCTTTTCTGTTCTTTTGAAATTGTGTACATTCCCTTTGTAGTATTGACTCCAATTGTGATTCATTGATTATCTGTGCAATTATTTCTAACATTCATCTCTTCCAGCAGTCTGTAGCCATGGAGGTTGGATACCAAGGATATGACAGTCCCTGATGTAACACGCCACCTACCCTAGGATATGCTTGTTGAATAAATGTGAGAAGGGTGTTCTCATCCCTACTGGGCAATCAAAAATAATCTTTTCAACTAACTTACTCTGATCTTGATTTGGGAGAACATTTTCTAAAGCCAGTCTAATCTTGGCCTACCATGTTTTTCAATCTCTTGGGCTCTGTGCATTTACACATCTGTGTCTTCAGGAAATGAAATTGAAAAATAATCTAGTTTCCCCCACCTTCTGTTGAGGCCAACGCTGTGGAGCACAAAGTCGAGAACTCAGGCTCATGCATGATCTATTGCTTGGGATGATTGCTGTCACCATTCTCTTCCACTAGAGCGAAAAATGAAAAATTCTATGGAAAACAAATTGCTTCCCATCACGCTCTAAAATGTAGGCTGACACGGGGATGCATTGAGGTGGCTAGAAAGAGCTAAGACAGAGTTTAGAGACGTATGTCGTAATCCAGCTCTTCTGGTTGCTAGAAGTCAAACTTTTGGAACGAGGCAGCCAAGTGAAGTGAAGTATGTGTCCAAGGTAAATTCAGAGGCAGTGTACAAAAAACAAGTGAGTGCACAGAGGAGCAGGGGTCCCCAGCCCAGTGAAGAGTGAAAGTTGGAGGTCATACATGGAGGAAACAGCCAAGCATGTGAAGGATTGGAAAGCAAGGCGGGCCAACTAACCCTGCCTAAAGGGAACTGTTCTCCTCCTCAGGGGGCATTTCCACATAAATCATGCACACACTTTTCATAGTATTTTTAAAAATGCCTTTACCAAGTGTACATAAACCTTCTACAAGAAGTTGTAACATAATGTAGGGGTGAGAGAAGGGCGAGATAAGCATAATTGAAGTATCCCCAGCCAGGCAGAAAATGGAATTACTGGGTAGATGGGACCATGACATTAGAAAGGTCACACTGGGTCACATAAATTCAGATGTCCGAGTTACCTGCTTTGGACAGTGGCAATTTTACATGAGTCATACTTCAAAGGTTACAGATATATAGCAGATGCCTCTAACCTAACAAACAGTGTGGGTATATCACACGTTAATTTATTCAAACCTTTTCATATCTTATTTAGAGATTATTTTTGTCTGTATAAGTTTTATTCAGACATACTTGTTTTTATCCTTTAACTACTGTCTTGATTTCTTAAGAGTTTTTTTATTTTATTTTAGCTAGAGTTTGGTCATTAAGTATGTGTTCACTCTATCCTTATACATCGTGAATACCAAATGTCATCATCAATTTCATGTTCCTCGTTTGTAGAGATTTGGAAGTCCCTACAAAACAAATTATTTCAATTTTTGAATTTTCCTCAGCTGTGCTGGTCACTTAAATACAACAAATATTTATCAAAACCAATTATGTTCCAGGCATTGTGTTAGGTTTCAGGAATGTAACAGAGAAAAAGACAGAAATTAGACCATTACATGTATTCTGAGTGTTATGCGAGGCACTGATGCAGAGGGCATGTGCCAAGTCCAGTGGACTAGCACAGTGAGGCCTTCATGAGCCAGTCAGAACCGAGAAGGGTGACGACAACTCAGCCCGAGACCATGGGGACTGCATCCTAGGCAGGAAGTGGAACATGCAAAGTCCCTCAATTGAGAAAGAAGAACCTCTGAGGAATTAGAAGTGTAATACAATAAAACAAAATCTGACATGGCTCCAAAAGGGAAGAAGAAGTAGTTGCTAAAGCTGAAAATACACAGATGCCACGTCCTGAGGGCTCAGAAACCACAGGAAGGATTTGGAGCTTTATTCAAATTGCAGTGTGGAGCCACCAAAGATTTAATCAGGACAGTGACAAGGTCAGATTTCAGGAAATCTTCCTTTCAATGTGGAGATTGAAACAGAGCTGGCAAGAGCAGAAGGAGGACATCCACGTAAGATGAATTTCAGGAATCCAGATAAGAAAATGAGGAGATCTTGGCTTGGGCCAGGCAAGGCAGTGGAGGTTGAGAAAGGTGGATGGATGTAAAATATATTTTGGAGGAAGAACACAGGAAAAAGACTGAGAGAGAGAAAGAGGGAGAGAGAGAGAGAAAGAGAGAGAGAGAGATTGGGTAATGAGGGGCAGTGATAAGAGGGAAGAGATTAAAAGTGACTCGATTTCTGATTTCAGCAGTTGGTTGCATGAAGTTTATTATTTGTGAGCTACAGTGATAACTACTATAAGCAATACTAGGAGAATTTTTATGGAACAATTTTGAGTAAAAATAACATTTCTTTCTCGTTCCTATTTTTTCTAATACCCTTTTTAGTGTTTTCCATAAAAATGTTTGGGCCAACACTTGTTTTTTGGCAAAAATTCCTGATACCTGCAGAAAGCAATCTATAGTATCATGCTCCAATATGTGTTGTAAGGATCATAGCTTGGGAACTGCTAGCCATCACTGATTCCAAGATTACTTTCCTGGGTTGTAAAAGAATAATCAGTAGCAACCATTTGTGGAGTTGGTACTACAGGCCAGGTACTTCACTGGTACTTTACATAAATTATTTCATTTAACCCTCACAGCAAATATAAGAGGTAGGTATTATTCCTTTTTAATAGAAGAGGAAAAGGAGACTCTGAGAGGTGAGAACATTTTCCAAGGTCAAGCTGGTAATTTGTGGAACTTGGACATAAAGTCAAAGCCATTAACTCCAGCATTCATGCCCAATCCCTTCCACATCACTGTCTCTTCATCGACTGCCTAGATGCCAGCAACTTACATGCATACTTTATTTTTTCTAAAGTATCTTCCATTATATTTGGCCACTTTTCCACATATCCAAATAACTTTCTGGATTATTTGCAGCTCATCCATGTGAGCTAAAGTTTTAATTACTTAAGGGAACCTAATGTCTTCTGCAAACTTGGGAGAGTTCTCTATGAATTCCCTTTGACAGATCATTGGTAAAAATATTAAATTTGATTTGTCCTAGCAACTGTCCCTTGGGGAATCTAGTATTAATACTTGGCCATATAGAAACATGTCAATCTACCCTTGATTTATATCTTAGCTTTAAGCAGCTCTCTGCCTTTGAAAAAAAAAAAGATAGTCTTCTCATTACTCACTTTTCTAAAAGGTATCTGTGATCCTGACACCTTGTCAAAACTGTTGTGAAAGCCAGGGTAGATTATTTCATGTGTTGTGGTTTATTCACATGCACGTTGACAACATTTTCCAAATTCTGCCTCCTCCAGGTTCAAAGCTACCTGAACAGCACATAAGTTCATTTTCCTAAGACACTCACAAGTTGCTCCTTCTTTCTCACGACCTGCAGTACCACTGGTAGTTTTGTGCTAAGCTAGTGAAGGAAAGCATACCAAAGCTTTAGGGAAATCATTTCTTTCTGGGAGGTGCTGCCCATGTCAACCCCAGGTTGGGAAAGAAGCACAAGGCTGTGATGCCCCAAGGGCAACCTCAATTACTTTATTTAGAAAGGCCCTGAACTCACGATGGTAATGCATACAGGTGGACCAACAAGGTGAAAGTCACAGAGATTCACAAGCATACAGAAATGCATTTTATTATTTCTTTGTAAGAGTCAATAAGTTTGTCAGAGTCAATAGATACTTTAAATTGAAGTAAAGAATTAAAAAAGGAAGTGGATAGTTTGGGTATTAGTTTAGCTAGAAATACAAAGAAACTTGACTTCTAGGGCAGTACAAATTCAAGCCTTCCACAAACAAACAGTTGAGAGTATGTTTATCTTCTTAAAATGTGTGGGTGCCTTCCCACCACTTCACCTGCTCCTCACTGGTGCTTTGTCCCCTCCCTACTACCATTCCTGTCCCGGGGCCTGCAAAGCAAACAGTGAACATTTACAAATCAAACTTGGTGAACTAAACATTTAGAACCTTAGAGTGAACGATTTTAGTCTCATCCAGTTCCTGCTTCCCCAAGGAAAGTTCAGATTCTGTGCAGCCTTGATGCATTGGTTTAAAGTTAACTCAGTTTGAACACTAACCCCTCTAATTAGGTGTTTGTTTGAAATCCATGTCTCAGTAGTCAACTGATCTGATGAAACTGGTATGGTGTGTCTGTATATGTTTGGTGTGGAAATGTAAATGGGTTACAATCCCAGCAAAATAACATCACAGCAGTTCATCCAGGTCCACATTTCTAATAAAGAATATTGATTGATTTCAGGGATAGCAAATATCAGTTCTACCCAATTACACTCTTGCTGCCCCTTCTAAAGCAGCATGACTCAGGAATTATTTCACGGCACTTAGCCTTTTATATACAACTGCTATTATAAAATGTTCTCTGTGACACATAAAATTATATGTATGTATATGTATCCGTGTGTGTACAGAATATGCTATGAACATATGCCTAAATGGCTTATCTGAGAAACTCAGCAGAGATTGAGATAAAACACAGCAGGATGAGTCTAAACCATGAAGTCCAGAAGAAACAAACACTAACAGAAAGGAGAGAGAATCCAAATAAAAAGAAAAGGTGGGAAGAGGTAGATACAGGAAACACAGAAAAAATCCCTTACTGAAGAGAAGAAAAAAAAAAATAGGGCCGCGGAAAGTTAAAGGACAGACAGTGTGCAACCAGTCCAATAGATCTCTAAAACTCTTCTAACCCGGATATTCCAATAGTCTAGTCATGGAAGGAGTGTGTAAATATTCTCTTTATGGCTGGATGCCTAGCATAGACTGTATCTAGATAGCCATGTCCCAGCTAGGCTTTAGGGGAAGATTCCCAAATGGGCAATTAATTTAGATTTAATAGGACCGTTACTGTAAGTTTAAATAAATGCCAGTTAAATATTAACAGCGTATTTATTGAAGATTAACATTGCTGGTTGCATTGTGGGATTTTCTTTTCCTTAAAGAAACCCTTTATCAGAAGACTTTTAATCATCTTGACTCTTCCGTCGCTTGCCTCAGATCCAGGGCAGCTCATTAATTACTTTGTACAACAGTTTTCAACATTCTGAAGTGGTTACCTAGACGAATGGGAAGAATGGAAGGCCATATAAGAAGGGCTATTTCTGTGCAGGAAGGATTGATGAGTGAATTTGATAAGAGTGTTGAGAAGCATTATAATCCTAGACTATTAGAGTTGGAAATGTCCTGGGAAGCCATCTCATCCAAACTCCTCATTTAGAAGGCAAGAGGAAGAGAGCAGAGCTATTCCAGTGAGCTGGTAAGGGGCAGACTTAGGGCTGGAATTCCAGACCCTGGATCCCAGCCCTTTACTGAGCTGTCACCGTACTCTGAAATTGTTCCTTTAATTCTGCAAAAGTGCATTAACCCATTTGAGTGAATTAGTCATTAGACCTTCTCAGTGACACACAGATCATGAAGATTTTTTTTTGTTTTTTGACAAACAAAGGAGCTAAAAATTCAAACACAAGCAGTGACTTATCTAAGGTGACAAAATGATGGGCTGAGTTGAAACTAGAACTCAGGTCTTCTGGTTTACAAAATATATTTGCACAAATGTCACCTCCAATACAAAGTACAGTTGGACCCATATGTTATTATGCAAATTCTTATGTCATTAAAATTTATTTTGTCTGCTGTTGTTTTTGGATGGGGAACAAGGAATAAAACCTCTAAAGAAAATGAGGGGAAAAGATCAAACAGAGACAAAAGTTCTAGGTGATTGTTTAGGGAGAATGGAGCACAGGGGTAGAAGTAATCCAAGTTCCTCTGAGAGTTTAAAACCCCAAGTTAAAACCTGGGGTTTTAAACTCCAAATTTGTACTTGATAAAATTGCCATTCCTAGGGCTCTTTCTGTTTGAGAAGGCACTTCCCTACTCTGGCTGGGCTCAGAAACATTAGAACTGGTGTATGTGTGTGCCTGTAGATGAATGTCTCCAGGTGACTCTTTCACAGAGGTTACAAGGCCAATCCCTGAATGTAGAAATTAGGAGAGATGAGGCAGGCCCAAGATGTTCTTATCCAGTGATTTGTTTAAGATGGAGACCTGAGCGTGTTGGGCCTTGCATGGTCGAAGAAGCTTTGGATTCAGCCATCAGGCACCTTGGAGCAATGAAGGGCTTAAAGGCTTATGGTAGGAGGTCAGACATTGTGGCTCACTTTACAATGGGATGGAGGTGTCCTGTCTTTTTGTCAGGTGGATTGGCTACTTTTCTGTTGTACTTTCAAAGTTTCCCAGGCTGGTACTGAAAGAGAAAGCTGCCTCCTCTTTTGCAAGCACAGGCTGTTTCCCACAGGCCTAGAGAACAGAGGCCTGACAGTGGGGTGGGAGCTGGGGGGCCACGGCTCTTCCTGCTGTGGGTGGTCTAGAGGCTGTGCTACTTCCTCTCTGACTACATCTCAGCATGACGTTCCTGCTCTGTCCGCCTTATGCTGTGAACTCTAAGAGCATTCCCAGGGCCTGCACTCAGCAGTCTGCTCCTGGGTTCTCTGCATGAATGTTACCTGTAGGCTGACTCAGAATGAAGGAAGCACAGCCAATGGCAGCTCCTTCCAGTCCCAGCATGAGAAGCCTGGGAGCAGCCAGGCCTGTGCTAAACTCTTTGCAGCTACTCCCTCATCTCATCCTCACAGCAGTACTGAGCAGTAGGTACCATGAGGACCACTATTTTACAGATTAGATTAGGGCATGTCCCCAAGGTCCCACAGCTAGTAATGGAGAGGGTGAATATTTGACTTCTGGTCTGAGTCTAAAACCCAAGGTCACGGTCCTTCTTATTGGATAAATATGTACTGAATGAATCCATGACTGCATGAACACACAATGTCGATGGCATTAGAGGTTTTCAGTGAGACACAGAGCACTCCCGAGGTGCCCATCCTTAGTTTGTATGAGCACCGTCTGAGGCTGTCAAAGAAGTTTCTGCTCATGCTCCTTTCCGTCTTGGGTCGTGTAGCGTCTGTGCTGTCTTCTGCCATCCACGAGATTCCTGCCCATGCTTGCCCATCCCTTCATCTCCAGCTCACTTTTAAGTCCAGTTTAATGTCACTTCCTTAGGGAAGTTTCCTGATCTTCCAGGCACGATGAGAATCTCCCATCCTGTCTTTTCCATTTTTTTTTTCTCACAGCATTCATCACAGTTGTATCCACTATTTCATAAAATTCTTTGTTAAATGTCTGTCTCCCCTGCTGGAAGTGCACTTCATGCAGGGGAGGCCCACGTTACTTTTGCCTATGTCTCTCCCATTCATTGCTTTCCCTGGCCCTGTTGAGTTGATGAAGGGCTTCCCAATATTCAGAAGTCCTTCAGAGCACCCCACCCCTCCTAATACCCCTTCCAGTGAAGCTAGAGAACCAAGATTGTGCCTGGGAATCTGGATAAGTGTAATGAGACAAATCACTTCCCACAGGCTAGGCAGACCTCAGCTTTTTTGTCTCAGCAATGAGAAAGTTCTCAAGGGCCTATAGGGGAGTGCAGGGTGGAGTTCATTTAATTTTCATGAACGTTAATGGAAATAAAACCACTGACAAACCCAATAGCACTAGACGACACGCAACTCAAGGGCAGGGGCATGTCTTTATTTTTGTTCCTCTCAACACAGTTCCTGGTACACACAAGGAACTCAAAATCTGCTTGCTGGTTGATTAACTAATTTGAGTTCAACCAAATAATGTGACACCCAAAGTGATTCTGGGCAATCATGGTAACCTGTCCTCTGGGGGTCTCTCTCTCGGCCACAGATGATGCAGCAGCAGGAGTTACTGAGTGGTCAGCTCTTAAATATTGTTCTTATCTGACAGGTAGAGTAGAAAGAACCCTGCTGTAGGAGTCAGGAGTTCTGACTTCTAGTCTGGATTGGCCAGTTTATAAACTTTATGCTCCTACGATCAACTCCTCCTCCTTCCTGGGGCTCAATCCTTCACTTAAGAAATGAATGGATTATACTAAAGATCTTCCAAGGTCCCTTCTGAATGTATCATTCTGTGATGTTACGAGTCCAGGGTCTTATTATGACCCAAAACTTAGATAAAAAGGAAAGACTCTGCCCCAAAGACCCCTGGCTCTCAGGCTGTCCCCTTTGGGCACCTGCCTTTCGCTGCGTCGGCACTTTGATTTTGGCTTGTTCATCCTGCTCCCCCTGACTTTTCTGTCTACCTCCGATTGTTCTATCCACCATCGCTCTGCTTTATGCATCTCTTATAAAGTTTTATGGGTTTAAAGTCCATAGATAGCCTCACCTTTGCCATTCCTTCATATCCTCCTTCTCAGTTCTCTCTATTTGTGACCTCTTTTCTCTCCCTGGAGCCCTCTTCCCCTTTTCAAGTTGCACCTTTGCTCTTTCTGCTGAAATCCTAACATGTTGGACTATAGCCCAGATGAACCACGATTTTATTTTGATCCTGTATTCATAGAGGAGCAAAAAATAGCATATATTTTTCCAGTTCCCAGCCCTTCCCTACTGCCCTAGAGGCATCTCTTTATCCAGATTTACACATCCTTTTCTGATTAAATCTTCCAATATCTATTTGATGTCACACCACTCTCTAATGGCCCTGCATTTCCCATCTTCTCGCCTGCACTCCTATGTGAGATCTCCACCAGGAGAGGGGAGCCTTTAGCCTTTTTCGACGAGGAGAAGCAGAGCTGGCATTTGTTAAGCTAGTGCTCCTCTTTTCGTCTCTTGTGTGTGTGGAATAGTGATAGCTCTTTAGCTGGCCCCAGCTTGCTCTGGGTAACATGGAGTAAAACAAAAACAACAGCTAATTTCTCTTTCATTGGGAGTTCTTCTCTGTTCCAGCCCTGCTTCAGTGTACAGATGCCAGGGTTGCCTGAAGTCTCCATCTACTGCTTCCTCACCTGCCTGCCAACCATCCAGAGTACACATGGCAGGCTCTTCTCTCCTCCCTCCTTTGCAGTCCCAGGATTATTAAAGGGAATATGATTGTTTCCTTTTGCTCAGGGAGTGTGTATGTGTGTACATGTTTGTGAGCTTGAAAGGCATTGTCCTATAGATATTTTTTATAACCTGAAGCAATTACAGCTGTCAGCACAGAGACAAGCTGTGACAAGTTGATTTATGTGTACAGTATATGTGTATGCACGAAGGAAGGGAAGAAGGAGACGGAGATGGTGGGAAAGAGGGTGGAGGTGGGCGCTCGTTAGGAATCGGCTTTCAAGGAGGCAGAAAGGAAGTTGTTTCTATAAAGAACACAAATAATGAAATTGCTTTGAATGTCATCCCTTTTCATTAACTCGGATATGCTGGGAAAAATAAAATAAATCCAGCAGTTTTTATGAAGCAGGAGACAGGATATAAGATAAGCCACTAAGTGTTGGTCATATTTAGGGATTAAGGGCTGGGAAGTGAGTTGACATATGATTTTGATCTTCATCTTTTCAAACCACTTCAATAGCCGGTTTGAATAAAATGGATTTTGTCTTGTTAATTATGTGGGCATCTCTGACCTTTCACCACTTTCTAAACTTCTATGTTTGAATAAAGTTTGGATCCCTGCGCCCACGAAGCAGGTATGAGGTTGCAAGTGCCTTTTCTTTGCCCTCCCTGTGAGTTACCTGAGCTTGGCTGGGTTTTCTGCTGCAACTGCTGGATTGCTAAGCTTAGTGCTTTCCCTTCACGGGCAGAGACAAAGATGGTTTGATTGTCTTAGATCAACTGCATGCAGACTGGTAGAAACCAAACATCTCAAAGAGCCTGTAAGAAGAATTATTTTCTTGCCCAGACATACTAATGAAGCAATGGCAGGCAAATGTATTAATAAAGCATCTTCCATCTTAAATGGATTTCTAAGTATTTTCCTGTAGAGTTAATCATATATGTAGGCCCCTCGGGAAAGCCTGTTGTTGTCATTATCCATATCCCTAGATGCAAAAACTAATGCTCCTTTGTACCTACCTGAAAATTAGATGCAAGAGCCAGGATTAGCATTTATCATGAATCATCCCTGCCATTCTCAGGCCTCTAGGGAAATGACTGCAAAGCTCAGAATGAGCCCCTCTCCTTTCCCCATGACTAGCATTTGTTTCCACTTGTTGTAGTGAGGATGTGTTTAAGAAGAGGGGTTGAGAGGGAGGAGCATAAGGGATGGTTGAAATGAATGGATGAATTATTAGAGGTGACCCCTTGACTTGTGGAGACGAAGCCCAAATTCAGCAGACTGAAAGTCAGCAAACATATCTCACAGCTTTAGTATATCATCATATTTATCTTAACGTGGTGAAGTTTTTCAATTTCCTGTTTCCACAATTGCCCGTTGGAAAATGGAGACACAATAGAATCTTCCAAGAATGGACTAGTGCTAAAGTAGGTTAATTTTCCTCCTTTCCTTTCAAAAATACAAACAAAGATCTTCTGCTCCCCGCAGATGTAATTGTTTATTCCTGATAGTAAAGTCATTTGTTGCAGCCATAAGTTGACGATTGATAGTTTTGGTGTTATATATCAAATGATCCCCAGTGGCCAAAAGTAGCAGATGAGTTTCCCTGAGAATTTAATATCAGAAAAGTCACCGGAGGAGAGGAGGGAACAATTGGCCCAATGATGAGTTAATGCAAAGTATTTTGAGATATTCACTGTAAAGTCGCTTCACTCTTGCTGGCTAAGCACGTCCTAGTCAACTATGACAATGGAAAGGCAAGCCGTCTTAGTCTTTCTTTGTTACCCAGGAGTGTGGTTTCCACTTCTCCAAAGCCTACTTCTGTCCTATCTCTATAGTTAGTGTGAGGGAGATTTGATTGGTGAAATGTTTGTGTCCTCTCCAACGTGGTATCTACATGTAAGTGATTGGTACTGCTCGAAGGTTGCCAGAATGAGTATTGTACCGAAGCCCTTATGGTTATATGACTCAGTTATAATGGTTCAGTCTCTTTGATACCGGATGGCTTTTTGGAAGACCATTTTTCTGTTATTTAACAGTTGTTAACAACAACAACAACAAAAAGCTTCCTGGTTGTGTTTGATAGAGTCTAGGGGAAAAACAAAGCCACTGTTGCCTCCTCTCCATCCCCAAGGAGAATGTGGGTCAGGGCTGGAGGCCGGCTCTGGGAATCCCTGAGAAGGGAGCATTATTAATGTCACCACCACTGTGCCTGCTGAGCTGCTCTGTGCTTCCCCCTTGCACAAGAACCAGGCCCAGCCAGGGAAAGGAAACGCAGGCCATTCCCTCAGAGCCGAAGTTAAGGGAGAAATAATAATACAGGCACAGGAGGACCAGCAGCAGCCAGAGAGGAGAAGTGACAGGGACCGAGGCAAATCCAGTCTCTCCCCGGGTTTCAAGAATTTGAGAAACACACCTCTTAAAGATGAAATCAGCTGTGCGAGAGTGTGAGGCCCAGGAAACCTGGGAGTCTGCTGTATAAATACAGCAAGTGGCTCACACTCATCCACCCAAGTGAGCACTTTTGCAGGCCCAGCATCTTTTAATGGCGACAAAACAAGAATAAAGAATGTAAGTGGGTGTCTGAACTTGACCAACATTTTGATGATGCGATTTTTCCAGTTTCGCACACTAAGAGGCTTCTGTGATTTTGGATTTGTTTTATATATGGCAGATCTCTAGAATGGTAGTGTTGAGTCTCTGGGGTTTTGAGCAGCTTTGTGGGGGGCTGCTGGGCGGGTGCTGTACTACTGAATAACTATGAGGTTCTTCTAAAACATCCTCCGAACACTCTGAGTTTACTCTGAATGCTAATGGGATTAATCTGATCATTTTAAAGGTGCATGTATGCATGCTGCAGGGTGTTCCTTTCCCAGTTAATTAGTTTGTGACCCTTATTAAGATGTCTCAAGTCTGAGGCTGATTAAGGCTGCATGGTAACTTTGTCTTTTTTCCTAATTTGGAAGCGCGTAAATGGTTAAACTCCTGGCCTGGGCTGGGCTGGTGCACAGCCTGGGCCCGGCGCGGCGGGGGTTAAGGTGGGCGCCCGCGCCCCGCGCCCCGCGCCCTCCCGCCGGGATGAGAGCGCAGTCCGCGCCGCCAGCCCGCCCGCTCGCTCCGAGGCGGCACCGGGAGAAAGTGGCGGTCAGGGATGGAGCTGCTGCCATGACAACCCCGGCGGTCGGGGCCCGCGCGCGTCGGGGCTGCTCCCGGGAGGAAGGCGGCGCGGAGGCCGGGGGCGGCCGCTGAGCTTGGCGTCCGCGCGGCTCCGGTGCGGGCTGCGCCGCGCCTTCCCCAGCGAGCTACCGAGCTTGGGGCCGCCGCGGTCCGCTCCCGCCGCCCGGCCTCTCCCTCCTCGGCCACCGCCGCAGCCCCTGCCCCGCCGAGCCCCGCCGGACAGCGGCGGCCGCAGCGCGCATTTGGGCTCCGAGGAAGTTGACCGAGGCGGCTGCCGCAGGATCCCGGGCCCGGATCGCACGAAGCCCGCGCGGCCGTCTCCTCCGCGCGCCACCCCTGCGCCTCCCGCGAGCTCCACTTCCCATCTGCTATTGTTTCCGATTGTTTTCCGGTGGCGAGCCCGGCTCCGAAACTTACAAAGTGTTGGATGTCCCCCGTTCGAACTGAGGGACTGCAGACCGCCTCTGGGTAGCTGGATGAAGCCCACCCCGTCCCCTTCTGGTACCAAAGTGCTTACTCCTCTCCAAAGTGCCGTGTCTGAACTGCCGCTGGGAAGAAGCGGCTCCTGAGACGCGCCCACACCTTTCACCTGCCGCGCGCTTCCCCCTCCTCGGCCACCTTCCCGGCGGAAGCAGCGAGGAGGGAGCCCCCTTTGGCCGTCCTCCGTGGAACCGGTTTTCCGAGGCTGGCAAAAGCCGAGGCTGGATTTGGGGGAGGAATATTAGACTCGGAGGAGTCTGCGCGCTTTTCTCCTCCCCGCGCCTCCCGGTCGCCGCGGGTTCACCGCTCAGTCCCCGCGCTCGCTCCGCACCCCACCCACTTCCTGTGCTCGCCCGGGGGGCGTGTGCCGTGCGGCTGCCGGAGTTCGGGGAAGTTGTGGCTGTCGAGAATGGGGGTCTGTGGGTACCTGTTCCTGCCCTGGAAGTGCCTCGTGGTCGTGTCTCTCAGGCTGCTGTTCCTTGTACCCACAGGAGTGCCCGTGCGCAGCGGAGATGCCACCTTCCCCAAAGCTATGGACAACGTGACGGTCCGGCAGGGGGAGAGCGCCACCCTCAGGTAGGGAGCTGACATTGTTCTGCGAACTGATGGTTTGTATGGGGTCGGGGTAAGGGGCAGGGGTGCAGGTGTGTGCACTGAGGCGTGCCTGGGTTGGCGGAGAGGTCGCTGGTTCCCTGGGCTGCACAATTTATGGCTGCGCTGGGGGCTCTGCCCGGGAATGTGGCAGTCGTAGGGAAAGGCTCAGAGGTTCTGGCGGTGAGCTTTTTCCCAAAAACTGGCCTCTGCGGCTCAGGCACTTGTTAAAGGTGAGGGGTGGCTGGACCAGGTGGTCGCCGAGATTGAGGGACTTGTGCCTGGCACTGTCTGTGCCTGAGCCTGGTGGCCGTGGTGACAGGGGGCTTGGAGGGGCTCCCCGCGAGCAGTCTTCTCTGAAGTTAATGAGCCCCAAAGGAGGGGTCTGGCTTGGAGTGAATGCCCCCACTCGCCCATGCCATAGGGCTTTGCCAGCCCTGGCTCCTGCACTCTGGGAGAGCCGCTGCTTTGTCCTGGGCCTGACTGTGCCCGGGCTTTCCTGGGGTGCCTTCATGCCGTGAGCTGGTGGGCAGACAGAGATGCTTTCTCCTGTCTGAACGTGGCTTTCTGAGGCCCAAGTCATGGAGTCTGATTTGTCCGTGGAAAATGGCATTTACTGTAGTGAACTGTGTTCTGTTCCTGCTCTCCACCAAAACGGTACATGCAAAACTCGTCTACTGAAGAGAAACTAGGTTTCAGTGTTGGGTTGGGTCCTGATTGGCTTCTGGGGTTAAGGCTTACAGGCACTGGGGGAGGAGAAGAAGAAGAATCTTGGTTATGCTTTGTGTAAGGTAGAATGATTCTATCTCCCTGATTACCTTGCCTGCAGAAACGCTAACTGAATTTCCAGTGTTGATAAACCACACCTCTCATATGCGGGCAAAACACTTAATGATTGCGATGGGAAATTTTATTCTCTGGGATTTTATAAGAGAATAAGCATGAGGTGGACGTTAAGAAGGTTCATGGGAACGATTTCCCTGCCTCTCCTTGGTTTAGTCTGCCCTCCTAAATAAAGTTTTCCAAACTAAGCGACAGAACTAACCACAAGGCAACATGGCAATATTCCTGTCCTTTGCACATGAAGATTTCTGGAAAGATAACCCTGGTGCTGGTGTCTACTGTTTTGCCCCTCTGATGACTTCTTCTAGGATTGGGTTGTTTTGGACTGTATACTTAAGGCAATATCTATAGGATAGAAAATGGTGAAGAGGAGGCAATGTCAATACAGAGCTGAGTTATCAGGACATTGCCAAAGGAAGTGTGTAATTTAGGGACCCGTGCAGGGCTACAAGCATCCAGTGATCCTTTGTCTAGGCAAAGCTTAACCTCATGGCTCTGGTGAACTCCTAGTTATTTGTTGGCTCACGAGACCCACCTCTTCCACTCTTCTGAGCAAAAATAAAGCAACTTCCTTCCCCCACTCAGAAATGATTGTGTATCTGCTTTAAAAATGGATTTCAGGGGAGTTACAAATATGCAGTGATTTCAGACTACTTAAATAAAAAACCAAAAATAAATGTCTAGAGCAGTAATAATCAAGGAAATTTTCTTGTTCAAGAAATGCTTGTTCTCTGGATGCCCTCTTTGTCCCTAGTCCTTGGCTGCAAGGAGGGCCTCCCAGGGACAGAGACATTCTGAATGGGGAACATTTTAGATATAAATGGGATTTTTTTTTTCAAGGAAAAGGTGTAAGGTAGCTCTGTAGAGACTTGAAGATAAATAAACAGGAAGTGGGTCCTGGCAGACAGAGACCAGGCCAGAATCTGGTCTCCAGAAGGTAGTCTTCAAGGCTTATCAAAGTCAGGACTGTCCAGAGGGTGGCTGCATTCAGCAGAGGCTGAATCACGGGACAGGCCTGATTTAGGAGGAGCTTCTTTTTGAAATCGCGTTATCATGTACTGGCTGACTTATCTTTCTTTGTCTTCCCTTTCATGGTTCTTTTTTCTCATTCTGCCGGTCCCCCTCTCTCTTTCAGCACTAATGTTTGTTTGCATTTTCACATGTGTTCTCAACCCAGTGGTATTGTTTGGGTGTGGATGGAGATGGGAACATGGTGGAGCTTCCTTTCTAGACCCTTGAATTGACCCCAACCCAGCCAAGTTCCTTCTGGAACATCTCCTGCCATTCTGTGCCAGCCTCAGGGGCTGAATGTCTTCCTGACACTCAAGAGAAAGGCCCTGACAGTGGATGGAGCACTACAGGGCAGGGATTAGATGAGCTAGGGTCTGAGCGACACCAGCCCTTGACCACAGGCCTGACTTAGGATGTGAATCAGGCACCAGGTGTAACAAGCAACCAGTATGGAGGATGCTCAGGCCTCTCAGGATTGCCCTCCTTCTCAGACTCTGATGCGCTAGAACAAGGAAGGGCTGCCCTGCTGGGATGGACTTTGGTGGGGTGGAAGCCCCTGAACTCTCAAACATAGGTCCTGCATTTTCTTGTTCTGTGTACAGAGAGGCAAGTAGGAATTTCAGAACGTATTTTGTTTGCATAAAAATTGCTGCATTTTCACGTAACCTGACTGTAGGTTGCAACCATCTAGTAGTTCAGAGTTCTGAGTTATTTTCTTTTTGCTTTGTATTGTGTGTGTGTAGGGGGACAGAGGACCCTTCCTTCCTTCCTTCCATCTATCTTTCTTTCTTCTTCCGTTTGTTTTTTTCTGTTTTGACTAATCATATAACCAAGCTGTAAGGAACCACAACTAGGGGAGACCAGAGCACCCGTGCTCTGGCCTGGAGGGCCGCCATATCCATCTTCCTATGGGTGATTGGGTGATGATGGTGATACATGTAGTTTTCTTCATAACCAGCAGAGGACTTTTTGCTCTAATTTCATTTTATTCTGCTTTGTTCTCACCAACATCATATTTTGAGGATCTTTTGCAGTCCCTAAAGAATAAATGCTCAGCAGAAGATTCTAATTTGAGGAAACTTTAAAAAATGTTTTATCTTATCCAAGTAGCTCTAACAATCCTTGTGGAGGTATTGGGAAATGTTTCAATTAGCATAGCACTGACAGCCTGAAAAGAATTACAATTTGCAGTCTCCCACTCTTTCTGCCCTCCCGCTGGCATTCTGTAGGCATATTTCTTAAAAGGGTGAGGTAAAACAGAATCTGCATTAATAATACTATTAGCCAATGTTAATTGAGTGCTCACTATGTGTTGGGGAGTATCTAAGTGTTTTAATAATATCTCACCTATCATTCAGCCTCATGACATTAACACTTTAATAACAGCCCTATGGTGTAGGAGTTACTATTATCCCTATTTTACAGACGAGGAAACTGAGGTGTGGAGAGTTTACATGCTTTGATGAAGGTGGCACAGCTAGGAAGCTTTGAAGCCAGGCTATGAAGCACTGGTAACAATCACGTTAATAAGATACATAGTACTATCATTGGTCTGTTACTGTGTGAACATTTTATGTAAACAGTAACATTTACTCCTCACACCTCTCTGAAATAGACAATTATTCCCGGTTAAGGCCTAGAGAGGGGGAACTTACCTGAAATCACATAAGCAGCCAGTGGCAGACCAGTATGCTAGCTCAGGACTCCATTCCTTGACTTTGTACACCAAGCTTCCCAGGACTATTCAGGACCCTTTGGATTCGTGTTCCTCTCATTCCTCTGTGGCACTTAATGTCTTCCCTATTCATTTTGGCTTAGACCCTGTTTTCCAGTGTTATCTCTCTGTCTTCTTTCTTCCCTTGGGCTGCAGAGCACCTCTTGGAAAGCAAGAATCATGCCTTGTCATGGCATGAGCACTGTGTGCTGGCAGATGCTTACTCAAACAAAATGAATGAAAGCCAAACAACGATATCCCCCAGCTATATTCAGTTTATCTCCTTACCACATTTCTCTATCATTTTATTTTAAATTTCAACTACGGTCAATCAGAAATGTATTGAGTGGTTCTTTCAAGAAGGGGACTGTATTAGTCCGTTAGGCAGTGCTGACAAAGACATACCCAAGACTGGGTAATTTATAGAGAAAAAGAGGTTTAATGGACTCACAGTTCCACGTGGCTGGGGAGGCCTCACAATCATGGCAGAAGGCAAAAGGCACATTTTACACGGCGGCAGATGAGACAATGAAAGCCAAGAGAAAGGGGAAACCCCTTATAAAATCATCAGATCCTGTGAGACTGATTCACTACCACCAGAGCAGTATGGGGAAAACTGCCCCGATGATTCAATTATCTCCCACTGGGTCCCTCCCACAACACATAGGAATTATGGGAGCTACAATTCAAGATGAGATTTGGGTGGGGACACAGCCAGACCATATCAGGCACTGAGCTGGGTGTTTGGGTGTGGAAAGGCGTACGGCCTGGACTTGGCTTTTGGGGGCTTGGGTCCAACTGGAAAAGCTGGCTGTGGACAAAGAGGTCATGGACCTTGTGAGGCAGAGTACACCATGAAAACGTGGGCGATCACGCTGTCCGTGGCTGGAGCAGAGCCCCTCTGTTGGAGTGAAGGCTTTCTGTGGGTTGGCAGGACTGCACTAGCTCCTAGCTCCTGGGTGGAAGTGAGCAGACATCAGTGAGGAATCAGAGAGCCCCAGAAGCCCCAATGCATGGGTGTCATTCACTTAGAGACCTTCACTAAGCATCAACACACCTGTCACTTGGCAGTTTCAATGAATGCTTTCCACATTTCAGAGATTCCCCAATTAAGGCAGCAGCTAGTAAAGTGCATTCTTTCCTGGGGATCACTTGGCAGGTGGGTATCAGAGGCTGAACGCTGCATTCCATCGCGCCTCTAGACCATAGGCTTAGCGATTGGATGATGTTGTTTTTCCCGGGTGAGTTAGGAATTGAAGGTCTGAGAAATGTATGTAATTTTGGTTGAGTTTTGATATGGGACTCCATGGAATCACACAGACTAAATGTGGTTTTGATACTTGAGAGGACGCGGGAGTCACCCTCTAGATGAAGGAAGCTGCGGCACTTTGCTCATGTCATGTAAGGTGCTTGGAGTTTCATTTGATAAGCAGATGGATTCTCTGGTAGTCCCTCCAGCTACTCCACAGCCTCTTAAGGGCGGAACTAGGCCTCCTCCAGGCTTGCCTCCTAATCCGCAGCACATGGCTTGGCCTGTGGAATTTGCCAATAAAATCCGAAGGACTCTCATCCTGCCTTTCCTTTCACTCACTCTGTTGTGGACACCCATAAACACAGCTTATTCCAGCTGCAAAGCGTTTCCTCTTGTGGTCCGCCCTGCTGGGAACACCCCTACCCTGATCTTCCCATGGACAGCTGTTTCTTGTCATTTTGGCCTAAGCTCACAGAGAATTCCCTCCCTGATGCCTTTCCTGATACCAAATCAAAATAATCCTCTACCACTACCACCAGTCTTACTCTGGCATATCATCCTGGAGTTTTTCTTCAGAACAATCATCTCCATCTGAAGTTATCCCATTCATTATTTGGTTATCTGTGTATGGGTTGTCTTCCCCAAAGGGACTAAAAATTCCTTGAGAAGAGATATGCTCTGTCTTGTTAGCAGTGTCTGGCGGATAGAAGGTGTTCAATAAATTTGTTGCATGAATGACTGCAGGAATGAAGGCCTGAGATCACGTCTTCTTCTCCTTGGAGTCTGTGTCCTTTTTCCTGAATTGTCTTGTGTTGTCCTTGCCTTGGGCATGTTACTTCCTCAGTGTCATTTCTGACTGGGCAGCTGTGTGAGGCTGCTCCTGTGGAGGTGCTGGAGACAGGTTACAAATACATAGAAGTCATTGAACTTGTGTCTGTCTGTCCAGGCCACAGATGAGGTGTGTTGGTTGTCCATTATTTCATATTTGCACCCATGACACTTACCTTCCTTCTGCTGGGTCACCTCCCCACCCAGTCCTTAAGTCTTTGAAGGAACAATGATAGTCAACTCCAGGGAAATTAGCATTTTCAAGGTAAGGAGGGACACAGAAAAGCACTCTGCTCATCCTTTCTCTCTGTTTGTGGAGTCTGCTGGCAGTGGTTGTGGTGGTATAACTATTGATCCGTTGTTTATGAGTTCACCCGTTCAGAATAGCAATGCTACTCAGGAGGCCTGTGCTGCTCCCACTGCCCTGCCCCCTCTCAGGACCCGCCACTGGGCACTCACCTCTGGGCTTGCCAGGCATCCGGCTGGTGTCCTGTGGCTCTGAGGAGCAGGCACAGATGGGACCAAGGAGGGAGGCTCCTGGAAGCACATTCAGCTGTTGAGGAGCCAAAAACTAAAATGGGAAAACTAAAAACTCAACCAAACATAGGGCAGAAGGGGTAGGAGTATGCCAGTTGTCACTGAAAGCTAGAGGAGGCTACAGGGGGCCAGCTCAGTTCTCTAACACCCCTCATCTAAACCGTAAGTGCTTTGCAGAAAAACGTCTCCTTTCTCCCTCTTTTAAATGCATTGCGTTCTTGAATTTGAAAGGTTTGCAGAGAGCTGGGAGGTCAACCACCTGGTTTTACAGATAGTGGAAGTAGTGATAATCAGTCTTGCGTAAGGAGGCCTTCCAGAAGGGTGAGAGGGCCGGCAGCCAGTACACTTTCCATCCCCAGGCTGTGAGCCCTCACTTGGGGCTATGCATGCTGAAGGAAAGGCCATGTTTCCCTAAGTGCAAAAGCATCCTCCTGACCATGAATGCTTTCAATGCATTTAGCTGACATTTATCACCGTATTCTCTCCTGACTGCTGGTTTAGTCCGTACCACACCTTGCGTTCTTATGCTTTGACTCTCATTCCATGTGGGACAGCTGTTTGCTGTGGGTCAGGTCCTGTGCTGAGCAGTTTACCAGAAGAACCTCATTTAATCCTCACAGATACTCCATCAGGTGGACACAATGATTACTCTGATTTTACAGAGCAGGAAACCAAAGCGCTGAGAGGCACAGTGAAGGTATTTTCCCAGCTCACATACTCAGGTGGGTGCTGAGCCTGGGACTCAAGATGGGTGGTGTCTGACTCCTAGGCAATCCCCCTCGGTTCCATAGTACTGGTCTTGTTCTGTCCCTTGTATTCTTCATTGCCAAGTTCCTCTCCCACTAGAGACCCAGTGAGTTTGGTTGTCCCTCCTTGTCGTGGTGCACAGGAATCCCCTCTCCTGAAGCATGAGGAACAGGGCCTGGGAGTGTTTAAGGTTTCATGTCATCCATGGCGTGGAGACACAGGGACCCAACCGACCTCTAGAGGTCCCTTCTACTCACAGAATCCTGCAATTTCTATAGTTTGTTCAGAGGAAGACTCTTATTCCAGGTTCTTCCATTGATCTTTGGCTTTAGGTATCAGCAATCTTGGACTTTCTCACCTGGAGTTAGTAATACCATGAACATTTCCACGTACTTCTCTGGAATGCAGTATTGAACCAGTCAAGGCAGACACCAATTCTAGGAGGATTCTACAGGCCAGTCAGTGGATCTGGATGCCATAGCACCAGGGGAACAAGAGGGACCAGCTCCAAAACGCTTCCTTTTTTTTTTTTTAAATTAGTAATAGGCATCTCTCCTGGGGAATCTTGTAAAAAAAGATAATTAATGGTAATGGCATGTTTGTTCTCTTAGGTTGAAAGTCTCCACTGATGAGTAAAATAGAACATCGTCCTTGTGTTATTTAAGGTCATTTTGCTTCCTCAGGAGTAAGTTGATGGGTTCCCACTGTGTAATAGATAACTAATACTAAATAAATAATAAGCAATACTACCAACATCATTATAGATGGTCAAATATTTTTAGGAAACCAAGGACTTATTGGGTTTAGGATGCAATTTCAAATTGCATGTGTGAGCTGAAGGGAGAAGGAAGCAACGGGGAAGTTTACTAGGAGTACAATCATTGGAGACAAACATCTCCAACACACAAGACCTTACTGACTCGTAGGTACCAGGAGGGGTAGGCTAGAAAGAAGATAGAGTGGGAGACAGGAATCTACAAACTCTGGCTCAGGCAGTTTGTTTGATTGCAGGCAAAATTTGTAATCTCTCCACCCTGCATTTAAACAGGACCGTTATTACCCATCTCACAGTGTTGTTTTAGGTTAAAATGAGATGACACACACAAAACATAGTATATAGTTATAACTTTCTTTCTCTATATATGAATATATATGTACATATGCATGTGTGCATATATGTGTATATAATATACACACATATACCAATTTTCATTATAAACTATTGTAGCTTAAACACTTTGGCAGATATACCATGTCTTGCTTCTGAAAGATCCAATTATAGGTGGACAAATCCCCCTTTGTCCACCTATAATTGTGAGTTTTTTTGTGGTGCCTCTCCTACACATCTGTTTAGAGATTCTTCAGTTTCAAATCATTTCTTGAGATGTTTGATTTCTGAGAGGGAGCGAGAAGAAAGATATTTCTTTGTTTTTCGTAAAAAGATTGTTGCATAGCAGGTTGTGACAGTTCATGGCTCTGAAGATGCATTTCCCATCAGAAAAATTCATCCAGAAGGTTCTGTGGAGCAGGTTTTCTGTGAATTCATGCATAGATTTCGGAGTGCCAGACCCCTTTTCCTTGGAGAAATGATTTTTCCATGATAATTCCAGTGGAGTCAAATGGTAAAAAACAGGGTCTGGGATAACATGTGTTGGGGAAGAGGTAGTTTAAGACTCTCGCAGCTGTAATGTTCTCTAATTGTAAGTCTTCTCTTCATTCATATCTCCTGATGATTGGGAGGCAGGCTCAGGGCTTGAGTGGTGATGGTGAAAATAGAGAAGGAGGCTTCTTTGCATTTGGGAATTTTACTTTTGGTCAGGTCTAGGGCAACACCAGTGCATCTGGCATTAGAAACTGATCTCAGCATTCACTGATGGGATCACAGGAAGAGTCCTGTCCATTTTAACCCAATGTCAAAGGGCTTAAATTAGTTTAAATGTAGTGAACTATGAATAGCCGTCTTGATCTTTCATGATCTGTTTTTCTTAAATCTCATTTATTCACATTGTTGAATTATTTGGTTTTATTTGGGTGTATTTGGGCAACTTGCTGTCCTATCAGTGTGAAATGTTTTGGCTTAGAAAGCTTTTGGGGGGTTAGATTTGTCTTATAAAATGAACGTATGAACTAATCTTACAATCTTGCTGATGGATTTCTTAAAATAATAGAATTTTTAATGAAAACAGCATCAACCAACAGACTGATGGAAAATTAAAAAAACTAAAATTGACCTTCAAACAAGCTTTGTTGGGTTCATGGAGTCAAAGGAAGATGTATCTGTGTGAAAATAGTTTCTTAATCTTCTGTGCTTTCAAACGGCCTCTAATGTGCTGGATGAGTGAAAAAAATGCTCTCACATTCAGAATAATCATCTTTGGACAAATTTACCTGTCAGGAGGGCTCAATCCAAAATTCTAACCCTTCAGAAGCTATAAGTAAGAAAAAGAACGCATGCGAATTATTTTTAATTTAGTGCAGTTTTTATACAGAAAAGCTGGAAATAGCAATGCTGTGGTTTACGGGTTGAATTTTGTCCCATCTCCCCACCATAAAAAAATTATATTGATGTCCTAACCTCCAATAGCTTACAATGTGACTTTATTTGTAAATATGGTTGCTACAGATGTAATTAGCTAAGGTGAGGTCATACTAGAGTAGAGTGTGCCTCTAAACCAATATAACTGGTGTTCTGGTAAAAAGATGCCTATGTGGAGACACAGAAGACACGCAGAGAGTGACAACAAAGGCAGAGGCTGTAGTGATGCACCCACAAGCCAAGAAATGCCACAGATTGCCAGCAAGCAGCCAGGAATTAGGAAGAGGCAATGAGGGAAACTTCCCTACAAGTTTCAAAGGGAGTATGGCCCTGCCAACACGGTGATCTCCATGATTTCAGACTTCTGGGCTCTAGAACTGTGAGACAACACATTTCCACTGTTTTCAGCCCCCAGTTTTGATACTATATTATGACAGCAGTAGGATACTGGAACATTTGCATATTAAAAAAATAATTTTGTTAAATAATAGTAACAATCTTGCAAAGGATCGTAGATAGGCCTGGTTAGATCACCCAGTTCCCAGCTGTGACACGAGCCACTGCAGTCCACAGAGGAAGTGCCAGAGTCCAGAATGCTTCTGGGTCTCAGTCGTGAGCCCAGCCTCTCCATTACAAATCCTAAAGAAGCCAATCAGGGTGGAAATGCTTGCCCTTTTATTCCTCAGAGGCCATCAGCACAAACCCTATTGTATCTTCTCAGTTATCTCGACCACCTGAGAAGTCACAGACCCCCAACCCCAGGGCCATGCATCGTTTTCTAGATTCATATCCCAACATCCAACAGCCCAACCCAGTTACAAACCTCTTCCTCATCCTCCAAACCTTTTTACTCTCTGGACTTAATGATCTGTCACCAGCAACATTTTTACATCTCCAGTCTCTGCTTTGAATGTTCCCCCCTTATTATTATTTTTTTCTTTTTTGCTTTAGTTGAAACTCGGCTGTTCCCTGGATTATTTCCACTCCTGGAGTCCTCAAAAGTGGCTGTTTTTCTCCCACACCTTGCTTACCCTGAGGCCTGAAAGTTGGATAAACGTCCTCCTTGCTACTCATTATGGCTGCTGGACATTTCTTTTTCACCTTTCTCGACATATCCAGTTAGGGTGCAGCAAATGCCACTTGGCTCTGTTGCCCTCTGCCCCTTCCTTGCCGTGATCATCTGCCATCAGTTCTGACCACGCTTCTTCACTCTGGTCCTCCAGACCGCACATCCTGCTGCTCATCTACAGAGCCTTTTAATGATGACATTCAAACTGGGTCCTCCCAGCCAGTACCCTTGACGCAAGGCCCACTGGACCACGGCCAGCTACTCCATCCTGCCCTTCCCTCAGTCTTTCTGATCTTAGGAACTGCAAACCTAGTACATCCTTTATTTTTTTCATTCTCTCCTGTGCTTCATCTAATTCACCACTAAATTCTGTTTGTCTTTTCTTTTAAGAGTTATCCTGAATCAGACCACTTTTTACCATCTCAAGCACTACCTCCGTGGGCAAAGCCACCACCGTCTCTCCTCGGCTCTTCTGGTGGCATCTTGCCTGGTCTCCTTGTTTCTACTCCTGTTCCCCTGGAGTTTATTATCTGCCTGGCAGCCCCAGCTACCATTTCACAAGAATTACCTGACTCTGTTCAAAACCTACAGTGGCTTCTGGCTAAACTTAGAATGAAATGCAAACACCTCCATGGAGTAGAGGCTTTTTAATCGCCTGGTGCCTATGTAAGCCTCATACCACTGCCCACGTCGCTGCTGCCTCGCTCGTGGGAATGCAGAACGCTGAACTTCTCTGCTGTTCCTGGAACTTACTAAGACTGTTCTTGACTTAAGAAATGTTCTTCCCTCTCTCAGGATCTGCTATAAACTTATGGGCCTAGACCTTCGTTGAATTCATGCATCTACTCCAGTACCCCGTTTAAAAAAAAAAGGCTTTACAGATCATCCTGTTTGAAATAGCCATGTCCTCAGCCCCCATCTTTCTATCCCTCTACCTAGCTTTAACTTTCTTCATGGCCTGTAACACCTAGAGAAGTCTGTTATTTATGTATGTCTTCTGTTATTTATGTATTTCTCATTTATTGCTACTCCCCCTAAAATGCAAGGTCCACCAAGCTGCTGAGTTTATTGCTCTCATTTATAGTGATTACATTACTGCCTGGGACATGGGATCTATTACAGGATATTTGTTGAGTGAATGAAACGTTTGTTAGGAATAATAGTAAGCTATTAATAGTGAAATTATTTATCTTTTACTAGAAAGAGGAAACTCAGGTCTGTCTCTGTATTGGCATGGGATTGGGTGTTATTAAACAGAGTTCAGATAGGGTGTGCGTGAGCTGGCGTGTTTGTTTTCTAGGTCAGAGAGTGGAATGAGACATTGAGGAGGAAATTGTCAGGCAATGTGACACACTTCATAAAATCTACACATGTGGAATCTAAAGGGCCTTTAAATATCCACTTTTGCAAGGGGTTTTATGGAAAATCTAATAAACACTGGAGAATAAGGATTATTCTGCTCAAGGCCTACAAACTTTGGGGGAAGGGAAGGAAGTGAAGTGGCAGCTAGAAATCAGGCTGTGAGCCTGAAGTTTCACGCGTCATTCAATGTCCAATCTTTCATGTTAACCTTTCTTTATTAAGAGAATTGTACCTTAGCGCTCTAGAGGATAATGATTAAGTGCAGGGTCTGGAGCCCGACCCTCCTCCCATCCCCAGTTTCAAATGCTGGCTCAGCCACTGGGTATATGACCTTTGGCACATGGATTAGCCTTGCTGTGCCTCAGTTTATCATCATTTGAAGGGACTAATAATAGGGGTTCCGGGCCAGTGTGAAGCGTGAAGTACTCAGAACAGTGCCTGGCACTCTGCTCATACTTGGTGTTAGCCTTACATAGCTGAGGAAGGACCTGGCCTGCAGTGGGCCCGTGGTGGGCAGAGGGCAGGGTGTACCTCTCGTGACCCTGGAGCTATGTGTGGAAATGCACAGTGCAGGGCACGGAGCTGGGGGCCGTGGCTGACACTGGTGCACACTCTACAGTTACACAGACATCTGGTGGTGGGGTGGTTTTTGAAAAGTATCAACGCAGTTCATTGCTTTTGGCATGTGACTTGTGGTCTCGGGGCCAAGGTGACCTGGCTTTTAGTCCTGGCTCTGTCCCAACGCATCATGTGGGGCTACTAAGAAAATGAGCATTCCCAGGCTTCAGGTTCACTCTGTGAAGTGAGAATACTGCTCTGTTTCGTTCTTGAGTTTTGAGGAAGAGATTACTAGCTGCTCAAATCATATATAAGTTTTTTTATTTTTCCCCTGAGCACAAACTCAGCTGCCTTTCCCAGCCTCTTTTGAATTTAGAGGTGACCATGTGACAGCTCTACCCAAAGGAATGTGAGCCGAAGCTCTGTGTAGGTTGGCCCAGAAAAACATCCCCTGTGAAATTCTTTATGTTCTTTCCTTTCTCCTTAGACCATCTGGATGTTGATGTCCAAAATTACCTTGGAAACCTGTGTCCTGTTTGGCGAGCTCCATCGGCCAAATTCTTGAATGACAGCACAGAGCAGGGCTCACACCCCCACCCACCAGCTGGCCAGGAACCTTGTTAAATTATTACCTAAAGAAAAAACAAACTTGTATTCAGGCTTCTGAGAGTTCAGAGATGATTTGTTACAATAGCTAGCATTATCCTATCTAATTCAATACTCAACCATTATAATTTATATTTTCTGATTTCAGCTGCATAGAAATATACAGATGTAGTTTCTGAATCCAGACCTAAGCACTTATTACAATTTCTTGGCAAGACTTTTGGTGATTTTTGCATGTGTCTGAAAGTGAGAACCATGGCCTTTTCAAACGGAAGTCTCAAATGTTTGATTTTCAGTTGCTTGACTGTTTACATCTGTGGTCCAAGTAACATGTCTGCTTTATTCTACAGGAATGTGAAAACCAGTGACAAGGAAAAGTTTTACCTTGAGGCAAATGAGCACATATCCATAATGGACTTAACTCAAGACATGCTATAATTGGTGAAAATACCTCTTAGATGATAAATTACTCATTAATGGCTGGAGGTCACTTATTTAGTTTAACCTTTTGTGCCAGAAGTATTCTAATATCCAGTGTTTTAATTGACACACACTAAAGAGATAGATAGGATGATTTGTAGGCTTGTTCTCAAAAATGTTAAAGAGAAAGAAGAGAAAACCACTATTAGAGTTCCTTTTTTTTTTCTTTCTTTTCTCTTTTTTTTTTTTTTTTTTTTTAACAGGGTCTCGCTCTGTCACCCAGGCTGGAGTGCAGAGATGCAGTCTCAGCTCACTGCAGCCTCAACCTCCCTGGGCTCAGGTTACCTTCCCACCTCAGCCTCCCAAATAGCTGGGACCACAGGTACATGCCACCATGCCCAGCTGATTTTTGTATTTTTTTGAGAGACAGGGTTTCACCATGTTGCCGAGGAGGTCTCAGACTCCTGGGATCAAGTGATCTGCCTGCCTTGGCCTGCCAAAGTGCTGGGATTACAGATAGATGTAAGCCACCACACCCAGCCAGAGTTCCAAGCCTTGAAGAGAAACCAGGTGGTGGAGAAATCGTGTATGGATTTGGGTAAAGGAGAAAGGAAGCTGTGGAAAGGGGAAGAGGCTGAGCCAGAGTTGTGGGTAGGAGACGTACAAGGAATGGAGGCAATGCAGAGACACGGGGCAAGATTCAGGTGCCTCGATTCCACCTTTTGTAATTCAGGGGTCAGGGATCTTGTCTTACTTTTGTTGTTGCTTTGGTATGCTGCACAGTGCCTGGCACATAATAGGAGCTGAATGTATCCTTGGAGAATAGATGCATGTGTTTTGCTGTGTTGCTTCAGTAGTGCCTACTGTACATCTCCTATGAGCCAGGAGCTGTTCTAGGTGCTAAGTTCCTCTCTTGCAGAGTGATGTTTAGTGAAGGAGATGAGGGTTGCAACTTGTATGGATTAGAAAAAAAAGGCATCTTCTCCTAGCATGCAACTTGCACAGACCAAGTAGGAGTAGGCATTCCTCGCTGACGATGTTGTTCACTAGAGTCCCTGGCTGAGTAAACAGAGTGCCAGCTGCATTATTTTGTTACCTTCTTCAGCCCTTGAGCAGCGCACAAGCTGCACAACTGTACTTAGCAGGAACCAGCTGTCGGAAAACAAATAAGTAAACAAACAAACAACGCATCACATGGTGGAAAGTATTGGGGCAGGAAGTAAACTGTAGGTTAGGGGACAGAGTAACCTGGTGTGCAGGGAGGGGTAGGGGCTTGCACGATGGTCAAGGTGGTGAACTGTGGGGAGAGCCATGCAGGGAATAGCGTGCTGGGCAGAGTATCGGCAAGTGGAATGACCTAGTCAAAGACGAGCAAGGCAAGGAGGAGGAAGGGTCAAAGCTGAATAAGGGGCAGGCAGTCAGCAAAGGGATCTGGGGGGTCCTCGGTGTCTGTAAGTGCTCTTTCCATGTCAAGATTAAGCTGTGAATGATGATAGGAGCACAGCTCTCAGGAGATGGGAATTAAATAAAAATCCCACATAAGCAAGTAGCCCCAACACCTGTGTGGATTCACTTGCTGCGCACAGAGGCCTGGTAGTTTCCGTGTGGACTTTGTGGATTTGTGGCAACCCATATTTGATGTGTCACCCCTGCAGCACACACATCCAGCCGCGAGGATCCGGGGTTTTCTAACTGAAATGTCATCCTTCTTGGGTCCACTCTTGTCATTTTCACTTATCACATCTGCAAGTTATAAACGTTTAAAATGTGCATGATATCCAATTTGACGTTTTACCTGTTGCCATTTCCAAGATATTACATTGTGAAATTAAGCTGGCATTTTACGATCATGTATGGATGTGTGTGTAAGTATAAGTAGGCACGTATTTGGAATTAATGGACTCATAGAAATCAGAGATGGATTAGGCCTAATGAGCTGTTCAGAAGAATTATTTAGCACATATTTCATCTCTCTATTCAGTAATCAAACCTACACAGTGTGTATGCTAAGGAAGTGAGATTTTTGCCTTTTTAAAAAATTTCTTGGATTATCTCCATTTGTGGCTGAAAATTTAACATTGCATCCTAGGGCATTTTGCACCAACTTTATTAAGCATTCAGTCTGACATTTCCCTGCACCTGGGGTTGCCTTTGTTATTTAAAAAGTAGTTGCTTTCCTAGTTACCATTAATATATAATTAGTAGTTGGTGCTGGGCTCCAAGCACCACACCAGGATCCTGGCCTGGCCTTGGAGCCATTGTCAAAAACAAAATCTTGCCCAAGTCTCTAGGAAGACTTGGAGAGTTAAGCCTAGATGGGAAGTGTATATATTTTGTTTGAATTTTTATCCACAGTAAATGGATGCAGCTTTGTCTTTTCACCTAAGGCCTATGGTCACCTTCCTCTGGAAGCCACATGCACTTGACTGTTGCCACTTTGGCTTCTGCTGATTCCTTTAAGCACACAGTTTCAACAGACTTTCAAAATACTATTCACAACATGGGGTTCCGTACTTACTAACAGGAAGAAGGAAAGCAAATGTGGGATACTTGATAGTGTAGAAGGACACTTGATACCCAGAGAAGGATTTCATTGACACTGTTACAGAGACATAAAATCACAGAGCCCTGTGGTAGCATCAGAGATGGGGTCACACATAGTCAGCTCCCAATAGCCAGGAGTCTACCCTATGAATTTTCTTTACAGCATGGCTAGATACAGTATATACATATTTATCCTAAACATATATACTCAACTTATAAGTCTGCATGAAACATGTGAATTGAGAATATGTTCTATATTGGGAACAAAGGATTCTGGTGTTGGGAAAAACTTAAGCTGGGACTTAATTTGAGCTGTAAAATTATTAACCTAATCTCTCTGAGCCTTTGTTTTTTTTTTAATCTGTGAAATGGGGCTAAATTATATCTTAATACCTACCTGACAGAGTTGTTACAAAAATCATCACCATAATATTAATAATAACAACAGAAACCAACATCGGTAGAAGCACTTAATGAGAACCTATGCTTACATGATAAATGCTTTACAAGGGTTACCCAATGGTCTACCCTGTGAATTTTCTTTACAGCATGGCTAGATACTTATAATACTTATCGTAAGTATTTTTAATAATTACATTAAGACAAGATATAAATTCTTAAGGATTGTACCTGGCATATATGAGGCACTAAACAAGTTATTTCATATTGTTAATACATTCCATTAGCAAAAACAAGTTAAAATGCTTAGGCATGTATAGAGGATGCTGGAAGACGTTCTGGCTGTTGCCAGAATCTCCAGACACAAACCTTTTCTGTGGTCTCCCGTCTGTGTTTTGTCCCACTACAAACTCTGTTTGTTTTCTGTGGTCTCCCGTCTGTGTTTTGTCCCACTGCAAACTGTTTGTTTTCTATGGTCTCCCGTCTGTGTTTTGTCCCACTGCAAACTCTGTTTGTTTTCTGTGGTCTCCCGTCTGTGTTTTGTCCCACTGCAAACTCTGTTTGTTTTCTGTGGTCTCCCGTCTGTGTTTTGTCCCACTGCAAACTCTGTTTGTTTTCTGTGGTCTCCCGTCTGTGTTTTGTCCCACTGCAAACTGTTTGTTTTCTGTGGTCTCCCGTCTGTGTTTTGTCCCACTGCAAACTCTGAACTCACCATTCCCCATGGCTTGCTTAGCCTGGTTGCATTTTCCACCTCCTTCTCCCTGACTCTTTCTCAACCACCCACCCCTCAGCAAGTCAGGTGAAAATCCTGCAAACAGCATCATTCTCACCCTTTCCTTCATTTTTTCAATCAGTACAAACCTCTTGTTTTCTCATGTTCCCATAGTGTGTAGTTTAGAATCATTCAATTATTTCTTCAGGAAAGAAAGTGTTCCACATCTGCTGAGTGCCTAACACCGTTCTAGACCCTGAGACTCGAGAAGACAATGAAGAAGTAAGTGGCCGCACAATGCAATGTCCGGTAGTGCTGAATGCTCTGAAGAGGAGAGCGGCAGCCAGGGAGGGAAAGGAGGAAGTGTGCGAGTTTAGACTCCCTGGTTAGGGGAAGGCCCTCCTACGCAGGCCTTGAGTGAGATCTGATGAATGAGGGCGTGAGCCTGCCCACATTTAGGAGAGAGGTTTCCGAGGCAGATACAAAGGTGCTGAGGAGGGATCATCCTTGGCCTGAACCAACGGGGGGGCACATGTGGGCGGGGCCTGGTCCAAGCCACAGGCCTTGGTGATGGCTTTGGATTTTATTCTTCGTCTTATGGGAAGCCCCTGGAGCAGTTTGACAGTTTGAGCTGCTGCATGTTAGCAGTTTTTTTTTTTTAATTTTTTATTTTTCTGTAACTTATTGCCCTTATAAAAACTTTCCGTTTTTTTTGTATACGGCAAAGGCTGTATTTTCTTTGCGTTTTTGTGTTAGAGACAGGACACAGCCCTCGTGTAGAACCTCCTCTGCACTCCCACAATTCCCTGTGCCACGTCCATTGTTTTAAGCACTTAACTGTGATACAGGACAAAGCTCATTTCTGCAGACTTCCTCTTTTTTTTTGGTTCACACTGATTCACAAAGTAAGACGCCACTTCCAATGGTCATATCGTGAAGGTTTCCTCGAAGGATCGTGAAATTCCACGAAGTCCGCTTGCTTTCCTGGGTGAATAAACACCAGGCCGCTCCCTGGACTTTCCTTGTCGTTTGTGATCAAAGGCTCAGCTACCTCGTGCTCATGGTCCTGCGATGGCTGAAATCCGTGAAATGTCCAGAAAGAATGATTTGTCATGAATGCATCAGCAAAGAGGCTATAAGCTTCTATTCTTATTTTCTTATCTACTTTTAAACACTTTTTCATTGCTTTAAAAAAGTATATAATTACTGTTCATTTGGTGTTGATGTTATTGCCTTGCTCGGTGTTGGGGGTTGTTTAACCATTCAGTGTACACCAGTGACTTTTTGGTCTGTATTTCCCAACAATTACACTGAGTTGCAGAGAAAATATTAATTAAACATACTTCTATTTTAAAAGGCAATAATAATATATAATTCCCATTAGAAATGCATTTGAAACTTTTCTATTAACTCTTTACTGTTGTCACCAAAGCCTTCCCTTCTAGACAGTGGAAGTGAGTGGGACAGGTGGCCATATATGGTTTGAGCAGGTGGGCAGAGGAAGAATGCAGGGTACTTGTTGCCCTCTGGTTGGTCCTCCTTCCTCCATGCTTATTTTCAACCTTCTGGCCCCTCACACTGGGCCCAACTCATGCCCTGCACTCGGCAAATGTTTAATGAAATGCTTCCTCGAGGAGCACAATATTTTATGTGTACAGGGAGCCGAATGCATATTATTGCATAGTATTTTCCTTTTGTTATGAAATATTTTATATACCAGCATGTGCATAATATATCTATGTATAAAAACATAATACATTGATCACCTGTGTTCTCTTGGCACAATCTAAGAAATAGAACCTTCTATTACCTGTGAAAGTTTCTGCACTCCCACCTATTCTCTACCCTTTCTTGCTTGAGGAGATCACCACTGGCCTGAATTTTTGTTTATTTCCTCCTTTCCTTTAGACTTTTACCAAATATATAATTATTCTCAAACAACATATTGTCTAGTTTTTCTTGTTCTTCCCTCCAAATAGAAAGAAATTTTATGTATTCTCCTTCAAATGTTTTTCATTTGATGTTATGCATTTTCTAATAATTTAAAATTAACGTAGTCCTGAATGTGAACAAAGGCAGAGCTCTAACTCAGTCATTTCAGGTAATTAACTGGTCTACAACCCATCAGTCAGAAGTGCTTTGATGCTCTTTGACTGTGTGTGTGTGAGTACACAAAACACCTGCTAAAATATTAAATAAAAGCAGAAAGGCTTTGACATCAACATAGTAGTGTTCATAACGTTTCTGCGTAGTGGAATTGCGAGTGACATAGATTTTTTGTGTTTTCTCTAATTATTAAATTAAAAAATTAAATTTTGGATTTTCATAACCAGATAGGATTAGTGTCATAAAAATAGGTTCCTAGGCCAGGTGTGGTGGCTTACATCTGTAATCCCAGCACTTTGGGAGGCTGAGGTGGGTGGATCACTTGAGCCTAGAGTTCAGGACCAGCCTGGGCAAAACCCTGTCTCTATACAAAATACAAAAATTAGCTGGGCATGGTGGTATGCGCTTGTGGTCCCAGCTACTGGAGAGGCTGAGACAGGAAGATTGCTTGAGCCCAGGAGGTCGAGGCTACAGTGAACCGAGATGGCGCCACTGCAGTCCAGCCTGGGCTACAGAACAAGACAGTGCCTCAAAAAAAAAAATAATAATAATAATATATACGTGTGTGTGTGTGTGTGTGTGTGTGTGTGTGTGTGTATGTGTGTGTGTTCCTTTTGACCACACACTGATTTGTTTAGGCCATGGGGCTTTTTGCACACACATCCCCATGTGTAGGGCGTTGCACTAGGTGATGTTTGGGCTACAGAAATAAATAAGACACAGTTCCTGTCTTCCACATGCCCATGACCTGGCTAGGAATGGGGAGCTTCAGAAGCAAGACCTCAGGAGGTGACTGAGAAGGAGCCACTGCTGGTCTAGAAGGCCACCTTGTAATCTGGCATGTGGTGGGGGGTGGTGCAGGAGCACAGAAGGGACACTGGCGGTTTTGGGGAGAAGTGGTGGCGGGAAGGGGCCTGCATCTATGAGGGCCAGGGCGGCTGTGCCATGGCAGCCAAAATACAATAGGGAACTGGAGCAGCAAGAGGCCACCAGCTACAGCTGACGCATTTCTGGCGGGAGAGAGGACCTCAGAGTTGTGCGTGGCCTTCACGAGTCTTTCCCACCACGGCGGTGCCTCGATCTGTTTCCAGCTAAGCCCAGAGCAGCCAGGGCTGTCAGAACCAGGAAGACTGATAAGCGTGTCTCTGGATGGCAACGTCAGGTTCAATTTTATTCAGCAAGTATCCACTCCATGCCAACCATGTGCCAGGCACTGTTCTAGGCTTTGTGGAATCCAGTAGTTGTCAAACATAATAAAATCCCTGTCCTCACAGCACTTCCCTCCTGGTGGAATGAGACAGTGAACAAAATACATACAAAACATAGAATAAATTAACTGGTGACACATGCTGTGGAGTGGGGCGGGTCGATGGGAAAGGAAGATGAAGCCTATGATTCCAAGTAGGATGTCTAGAACAAGAATAATCCCTTGCTTATCGGTATAGTTTAAATTGTCAACAAAAACATGCATTATTTTGACATAAGAAGAAACATCAGGAAAAAGGTAAAGACCACAGTTTATTGCAATATATGCTTTTTTCAACATTTGAGGAAAAGAGATTGTACATGCTGTATTGGAAATACGTTTTAGTGTCTAAAACGGTGCAGAGCCAGAATGTTGATCTTCATTTATCACCCCAATTCTTCCTGGATCTTAATTGCCCCTTCAGAAAGAATAAAAAATGGAAGCACTTCATCCAGCTTCTGCACAGAAAGCCTGTCTCTGATCAGCAGACAAGGAATAGGAGATGATGCTGATGGTGGTGATGATTTATACCTTAATGAGCAGGCGTTGGTCATCAGTATGTGCTGAAAAGGGATTCGCTCCCTGCCCACAGGGGACTTTCCAGATGCTGCTGAGCTGGGCCTGAGCTGCAGGAGGTACAGAGGCTGGTTGGAACAGCCGATCCTTGGGGCATCTTTTAGGCCAAGGGCCTTTGGAACCGAATTGAGTGGAGCAATTTAACTGCCCGGGACACACAAAGCCTCTTAAAAGCAATGGCCGGTGAATAAGCCAGAAGCCATAAATAGATAAAGTAACAAGCAAATAATGGGATTAATAAATAGACAGGGGAGCAGAGCCAGGGCTGTGAGCTGAGCGCCACTAGATCAAGAAATGTCAGCTTTTCTCTCAGCTTTTCCTCCACAGCGCCAACTGTCAGTAATTTAACTAACATTTTGTAAATAAATGTGGCACTCGGACAGCTGTCAACGTGCCTGCTATGAACACTCCTTTTGTCACTAAAAGCTGGCAGTGACGCTGTTTCTCCTGCAAGTGCAGCCAGCACTGCCAATTGGCTCCTGGTCCTGGGACTGTCAGGGAGTGCGTGGGGCCCTGGGGCAGGGAGGTGGGTGCCTGCCCTAGAGACCTCACTCCCCTACACCCGCAGGCATCACCTGGGCTCAGCTCTTTCTGGTGCACTTGGCCGGTTTGTAAGGTGCTTCCATCAAAAATGAGACTATTGTTTTCCAAACACCTTGTGTTTCAGCTGGGAGTTCCATGTGCCTGACCATCTAGTTTCCCCGCCAAGGATTTGCTCTTTCTAAATAAGACATTCATTTATCTAGGTTAAAGGTACGAAACGCACTGTTTTCCACTCTAGCTGCTGGGTGATTATTTAAGGTTATGCAGTCAGTTTCCTTGTGCTGTGGTTTGCTCCTGAACTTGAAACTAATGGCTCTGGACTGTGCCTTAGGTCTCCCAGGTTTAATCACAAAGTTTTATTAAGTTAGTGCTTTAGTGTCCTCTTCCTGGAAAGACTCTATCTCAAAGCTTCTTAACCTATACCCAAGCAGAATAAGGAGAGGAAGAATCTGTCTTAATATCAAAGTCCCGTGGGCGATGAATTTGGGTTATTGAAATAGATGAAATCTAGCTTGGTGAGGAAAAGCGTGAACTGGGTAATTAAGTAGTCAGAAATATATTTAATAATAATATAAATTCTAGTGGGCATTTACTGAACTCTTTTTTTCTGGGGGGGGATGTTGTTTTACAAAGTGCCCTACATATTACCTCCTTTAACACTCAGAGCCCCGTGACCATCCCAATTTTAAAAATGAGGGTCTGAGATGCAGAGACGTGGAGGAGTCTTTATGACCAGCGTGTGGCTGAATGGGGATTTGATCCCAGACAGTTTAGGCCCTTTGATCCCAAGGTCCTGTGTTCTAAACAACAGCACTGGTCTTTTTTATGTATAGTTACCATGTGCACGGGGTATACAATTACTGATTTTTAAGAAGCAAGAACACAATAAAATGAACTCCATACATAAATGAAGGAAGCATCTTTGACCTTTTTTTCCTGGTGAATGAGAAGGCTCTTTATTGTATTGTGGTAACCCATTGAGAACGTTATTCCCTAGAGCGTATCACAGAGTAATATATGGAGAATACAAATAAATGATTAAGTGAATGGGCTCTGCAGTCAGCTGAGAAGTTTACTTAGCTTCAGAGGCAGAATAGTAGAAGTAATTAATAGGAACTACCTTGTTGGGATGTTTTGAGGATTAATTATAATCATATAAAGTCTTTACAGTGCCTGACACAGGGTAAATATTCATTCATTCATTCATTCATTGAAATTTTTATTATGTGCATGTGATGTATCATGGATTCTGCAGTGAATGAGAGAGACATGATGTATTCTTGGAGCTTATGGTCTTGTGAGAGGAGATAGTAACAAACAAGGTAACATATACAAACATCCCAGGTAGGGGAAAGTGCTGTGACGGAGGCTGCCTGGGTGGCTGGTGGGCTAGTGGATGTCTCTCTGAGAGGAAGTGACATTTGAGCTGAGATGTCAATGGAGAGAAGGAGCTGGCCCAGCAAGGATCTGAGAGCAGGACACCGCAGGGAGCAAGTGTCCGGTGCTGGAGGGAGAGAAGAGAGACCCCTGTGTGTGCAGCAGCATAGACAATGGGGAGAGGTGGAGCAGACAGACCTGCAGGGTCTGTAAGCCAGGCCACAGGTAGGGATCTCTTTTCATTGTGCAAGAGGAGGTCATCAGAGTGTTTCCAATGGAGCAGTGACATGCTCCGAGCCTCTGGGTGACAACAGGACGCTGCTGCCTGGCCTCTTGGAGACTGGCTTATAAGCCTCAGAAGTGGACACTGCAGTATTCAGGTGAGGGATAGTGGAAGATTTGGCAATGATGGAGGCAGTAACAATTGAGAGATAGTCACAGATAGGTTTGCTGGTGAAGCAGACTAAGCTGATGGGGTTGATAAGTTAATATGGAGGGTGTTACTGACTGCAGTGCTTATATTCTCGGCTACCTTAAAGTAACAGAGTAACGGTGGTTTTGTTGTATTAGTGTTATTGGGGTATTTACATAATGAACTATTTACAGCTTGAGAAGTACTCAGAGATTTCTTTGCCACATTACTACTTTGAATTAAACATGGACAACCTATTTGGGAAAGCATCACTAGCCACCTGCCCTACTTAACACTGATTCAGAATGTCGGGCTTTTTGTTTTTACTTCCTTTTCCTACTTCACTTATGAGATCGGGATTGATTTCTTGTGTTTATTAGTCATAAATATTTGTCCTAAAAACCAGTTTTGGGCCACTTCCATGTCCAAAGTTCCCTGGTGGAGTTATGTTGGAATTGGAGGGTTACATGCATGAGTGTGCACGCATGTGTGCTGACCACAGATAATTAGGGTTAAGAGAAGGGTGTCATGAGGATAGGTGGGGGAGGGAAGGGGAGGGTTCCCTGGCCTGTTTTATCAGATTTCCTCTGCAGCTCTCCTTCTTACTGCAAGGGCCAGGTACAATTTATGTTGCCTGATTTCCTCATCCATAGAATGATATATTTTTAATTAGGACCTCTTTCACTAGTCTCCTTACCTGTAGAATTTTAGATCAAAATTACAGAAGAATCTGTCCTAGGTTCACACCCTGTCTCATGTAGAACAAAGAACAAGAACAGGCAGAGGAAGACAGTGGCAAATCTCACTTTTTAATAAAATAGTGGCATTCACCATCATTAATACTGATACTTTGTTCTTAGCTTAAATCAGCATTAAAGTACCAGCATTGTAATTTTGCTCAGTTATTGCAATAACTAAGAGTGATAAAAAGAGGGGAATCATGGAAATTTTATATATATATGCATAAAAATGGATTCTTAAATATCTCATCAACTCCTAAGAATATCAATATAAAAATTGGTGTTGAGAGTGATGGTCGAGAGACAGCAACATTTTAAAACATGCAAAATCACATTCAGCATTCTCAGTCTCTCAAGGTATTCAAGTGAGCCATATGTTTTAAGCAACTTGTCATTAACGTTGGTTAAAATTAAAATAATAAGTTTGAACATACAGGATTAAACTTCAGTTTATCTTGGAATTCATTTCTATCCTATATTGCATTCCTCTATATAATACCAGAAGATGGAGGTATTACTGTAAGACACATGTCTTTTGTCCGTCCTAAATTTTGAGAGCCTTCTGTGGAAGTGCTGTTTTCTCCCATGCCTTTTTATCAAGCCTTGGGCATCACTAAATTCTGGGTTACCAAACCACTGGCCAAAAGGAACTTGTTGCTGAGTGGTATAATGGACATTGGAGACTCAGAAGGAGGGTGGGTAGGAGGTGAGGGTTGGAAAACTACCTAATGGATACAATGTATACTACTTGAGTGATGGGTGCATGAAAATCCTAGACTTCATCACTATAAAATTCATCTGTGTAACCAAAAACAACTTGTACCTCCAAAGCTATTGAAATAAAAACAATTTTTTAAAAAACTACGCACATGCATACACACACAAACACACACAAACAAAGGGAACTGGTTTCCAAGATCAGCCACTGTTCTGGGGAAAAAATTCTCACTATGATACGTCAATGGATGGAACTGAGGCAGACACAGAACTTACTCTGTATTAACAGCAGGGTTATCAATCACTTACTATGTATCAGGCACTGCTCCAAGTGCTTATGTGCATCTCATAACAACTCTAGGAGGTAGATTCTGTTATTATTCTGTGACGGGTGATGTAACTGAGAACAGTTAAATAACATATTCAAGCAAACTGCTTAGCAAAGAGTCAAGCGCAGTTTTCTATTCAGTCCCAAAGGTAAGCTTTATCTTAGGTCCAAAGAAAAAGGTGCCACCCACCTACTATTTTAACTCTTTAGGTTTCAGCTATGAAAATGTGAAGAAAGGAAGCAGGAGGGAAATTATTCCCTGTCTGTATTGTGTATCAAAAACGTCTACTCTTTTATTTCTGCAGAAACAGAAGTTCTGCGTTTTCACTCAGGAGTAGAGTCAGCAGTTTATGTGTGTTTTCTTAATACCCTCTTAGCAGTTAATTATTCCTTTTAATAAATGCAATGAAAAAGAACTGTTATTGGAGTCATACTTTAGTTGAATTAGTAATTTATTCTAGCTCTTAATGTTTGTTAATATTCTGTGTATTGCTTCTTGTTCTATTAGACAGATATGACAGGGAGGTAAAACGTGAGCTCACACAGGAGTTGTGTGGGTGGAAGTCTCTGGGCGATGCATGGGCCACTGACAGGTATTGGTGGGTGGGGGTACATGTTGTAGAGAGAGGCCTGGAGATGCAGCGATGCCTTCTCATTACTGCAAAAGTGACTGAAGTCGTATGGACAATTTCTTGGTCAGAGGTGAATGAAATAGCAAAGTCTTTCATATACCACATAAAAATTTTCATCTGAAAGTGACTTCTGGAATCATTAAGCCTCTTCCCATTTCTCTAGTTACAGACTGATCTAAGCACAGGTGTATTCTACACTTAATGCCTCGGTAATCTGGTTCTGGGTCTAACTCTAGCGATAAATTATAATTTTTTACTTCTAGTAGAAATTTACATAGTTTTCCATTTAGAAAGCTGGCCCCATGTTAGAATTATAATAAAGGGCAGGAGGTATGGATTAATGTTATTTTGTAGGGCATGTTCAGCAAAGTGTCTCAAAGGGCGGGTAAAAAATGAGATTCTTTCTTTAGGTTGCACGTAGCAAGTCCTCTGAACTTGAGTGCCTTTTTGGTGAGATTACTGAGCCAAGCCTGAAAATAATGTCGTTTGCTATGTCTGGATCCTAATAGGCATGCTCTTAATTAATTTAACTATTACCCATCATTTGTTCATTCCTTCAGTCATTTCTCTAACACGTATCGGGTGCTTACTACGCACTGGACAGGATTGTAAGTGGTCAGGGTACACAGGTCACCCAGAAAAGGTCCTTGCCCTCATGGAAGTCACCTTTTAGTGGGAAAAGCAGATGATAAACATATAATTACACAAGGAAGCTTTTGACGACAAGGGTGGGAAGAAAAGGACAGGTGATGTGATGGAAAGTAACTGGAGTGTGTTGGTCAGGAAAGGACTGTGGAGACGGGAACAGTGGACCTGAGCCCCGGGGGATGGGCAGGAGGCAGCCATGCACAGAGCCTGAGAGGAAGCACAGAATTCTAATGAGAGGGAAAACAAGTATGAAGCTGTGTGGCTGAAACCGTCTTGGCAAGTTAGGGAAAGAAAACGGAAGTCACTGGGGCTGATCACAGTGCTAAGCATGAGAGCACTGCAAGATGAGGTCACGGAGGTGGGCAGGGACCGGCTTGTGCCAGGCCTTGCTGGCAGGGTGAAGAGTTTGCCTTTTCTCTGCGTACAATGGAAAGGAGAAGAGGTTTTAAGCAAGAGAATGGCTTGGTCATGTGTATGTCTTTGAGACACCCTGGCTAGTCTATGTATGATGCAAAAGGTGGGTGGGGCAGGGTGACAAGAAAATACTGTTCCGGAGCTTCCTGTGGCTGTGCCTATAAGAGGTGGTGGTGGTGGTGTGGAAGGAGGTGTGGCAGTGAATAAACAGAGATGTAGAAACAGCGTGTACATATATTTTAAGGAACACTGAGGACGTGATGCTGGAATTTGTGATGAGAGAGTGGAAAAAATCCAGGATGACTTCCAAGAGCTGACTCAAGCACCTGTTGGGTTATGATTCTTTTAACCCATGTAGAGAGACTGGTGGAGTAGGTGGGAAGGAGAGAAATGAGGGAGCAAGAGGACCCTTAGATACACTAAGTTTATGATGTTTGTTTAGCATCAAGAAGAGTTTGCAGATGGATTTATGATTGCAAAGCTCGGGAAAGAGATGAGACTTGGGGATTTAAGTATGGGAGAGATCAGCTTATATTTGTTCTTAAAATCTTGAAATTGGGTAAAATCACCAAGATAAGGAGAAATTGTAGCTAGAGAGGAGAATGGCGGATCGGAGTCCTGAGCTTTTGCAATATTTAAAGGTTGGAGGGAAAAGGAGCAGAGAATTGGCAGCCAATGAGGTAGGAAGCAACCCAGGGAGAGTTTGAGACCAAAAAATACAAGAGAATGAAATATTTTATGGAGACAGTGACCGATTTTGTGGAATGCTGCCACAACCAGGAGTTCTGGAAAAGGAGAAGTGAAAAGTATCCATGGGACTGGATAAGATGATAGCTTGAGGATTTTGGCAAGAGAGGTTTCAGGAGAATAGTAGAGAAGGGAAGAAAAAAAGATGGTAGTAATTGGAGAGGTAAATCAAGTCAAAATAATTGGTGTGTGTGTGCATACGTTCAGACCCACATTATCTAGTGCATGACTGCATACAGATGAGAAAGTTCCATCTCATCTGTGCAGATGGAGGGAGTATGGCGCTGGAGAGCAGAGGTGAGAGGTAGAGTACAAGCAGAGGGCTGGCACACCTTTGGTGTGAAGGGATTTCTGTTGCTTGTTTTGTAAATCTTTCTTCTCTTAATACTCCTGATTCTTGCAAGCTGCTCATCTGGAACAATCTGGTTACATATTTTTATGAATTTTCCAACAGGACAGTTGAGAGCATGAGGAATTTACCAAATGAAGAAGTGGATTTTCAAGATTCTTCTTTTACCCCCTTGAATGATGTTATGCTCTGTGTACAGAGGGGCAAATTAGGAGAGTAGCAAGGAGGGATGCCAAATTGGAGTAGGAGGGATATGAGGCAGTGACAGTGGATGTGTGAGGATAATAGAAAGTTTGATTTGAGGAAACCTCACCGTGGGCTACTTCATTACCCTTAAGACTTTTAGTTGTGTGTTCTCTCTTGTCTAAGTAGTTCTGCTCTAGAGGTTCAAGCTGAACCCAGAAGGAAAAGAAACCTATTTGAAACTGTGTAAAACACCTCCCTTCAGAGAGCTTTTCTCACTGTTTTTAGTCTCACTGAAGATGATCCCAGTATGGGATGACGATTCTGCAGAGATCTGGCTTGTCTTTACATTACATCTCTAACCTGGAGAGTCTTGCTGGATGTTTCCCCAGGATTGTGGTTTCTTATATTTACTCCTGATCTAATGCAAAGCACCACGTGCAACTTATGTACAGTTCCACGACTAAATAATACAATGGAATCACCACAAAATATTATCAGCTCCTCCCAGGCCTCTGGTTGTTGAGGAAGAAAAGTGGGTGGTGCTTGTTGGAGATAAAACAAGACGTTAGTGGGTATACATTGTGAGATAAATACATATGTATTTTAAAGTTTACTGGAGGGTATCTGTATTTACTTGGTTTTCCCCAGTGTTTTACAGATGGTGCAAAGTATACAAACATGCACAATGTACATATGACTGCCTGTCTTAGCAGACAATACCTTATAGACATATAGACATAGTCCAGTTAACCTGAGCTAGAGACTCTTACCTTACAAATGATTGTCCCAAAGCGTTCAGTAATGTTTTCTTATTTTATCTCTTTAAGCAATACTAAGTGACTTTTGGGATGAGACTGTCTTTTATCTGAATCTAGGTTTATGGAATATTTGAATATCTGATACCAGACATGGGGATCCACCTCTCTTTGTGCCCAGCCAATATTCAGTGCAGAAGGGGATTTGTCACTGAATCTGGCATGTTGCCCTAACATTACTACAAGCCTGAATTTTGATAATTATCGCAATTATTTAAGTAAATGGATTAACCTTGCTTTGACAACATAGTTTATGAGCTGATACAGTGTCTTTAAATAGCATTTCTTAATACGGGTGCAAATGATAAAATTTATCAAAGTAAACCCCTGCATGAAAGGTTTCCTCTTCGATGATTCTGCTGACTGGAAGAGCAGGTCCCCATGGCAGTGCGCATAGGGCACGTGGAGGGGTTAAAGGGGAGAGGGAAGATATTCTCGAGGGTAATGAGATGACAGGCACATTGTACAATTTCTCACACATCTAATTTATATCTACATAATTTTAAAAATGGGCAGTAACTTATAAGTCTGATTCAATGCCACTTATTAGCTGACATTTTTCAATATTGTGTTTGTGTGGCTCTATTTTCTAAGAGCAACAGAGTAGAAACCTGTTATCCTATATCATTTCTCTGAGTGGGAATTAAAAGCCTGGAGTTGCATCCTGGGCTTCTGTTCCCTTCTCTGCCATCCCTGCCCCAGCCACCACCCTTTTGGGGAGAGTTAGAATACCATCAGCAAAAGAGCCATGGGGATATGGATTCAAATCCTGTCCATAGCAGGGTGTGGCCATGTGACCTTGGGCAAGTTACTTAATTACTTAGCTCCTTACTTCTGTGTAGTGTCTTACAAGTGACAAAGCATTTCCTCATATTCTCTGTGCTTGTCTGTCTCTCCCCTGGAACTTTAAGCACCTGGAAGGCAGGGTGTATGTCTTTGATCTCTGTATCTCCAGTGCAGAACACTGTGGAACAAAAACAGGGTAAATGAACGATAGAACTTTGTTTGACTCCTACCACAAGCCCGTGAGGTGTCAGGAAGATTGGGATAACCTTGTAAAGCACCTAACACAGCTCAGTAAAAATGGACTCTTGTTATTATTGGGTAACAGATATTATTCACTTGGAGAGATAAAAACAAAACCAAAACACTAAATAATGGGCTTGGCTCTCAACCCAATTCTTCTGTTTCCACTCTACTTCATTGCCCTTTAGTCTAGGTGAGGTGTAGATCCATTCTAATGGGCAGGTGTTTTCTGCATAATCATCCATATTAAAGAACACACTTACAGTTATGGAACATCATCTCATATTATCTAACTCATTTTTCTTTCTTTGCTTGCTTCCTTTTCCTCTTTTCTTCTCCTCCCTTCTGGAGATATTTATTGATTATCCATTTAATGCCAGAGTTTTGTTAGGTGCTGGGGATTTAAAAAAATGAATAAAATGAAAGAAGTTGTCATATCACAGGAAGATGGGCATTTAAACAGCCAGCTGTAAAGTAAATGGAACATGATGTGGCAGAAGCAGGTAAAACTGCTATGCAAAAGCAGAGAGAGAGTGGATTAGTAGGGCCAGCTGCTGTAATAACAACCCCTAAATCCCTGCAAACTAACACAACACATATTAATTCTTACTTGTGCAATGTCCATGCATAGAGTGGTTCTCCTGCATGACTTCTTCCAGGGGATGATTTGGGGACTTGGACTCCCTTCTTCCTGTGATCCATATTGCAGTCCTTACTTTGATGCAAGTGGGCAGAGGAGAGTAGAGAGTGATGTAGTATCTTTTGGGGCCAGTCCTGGAAGCAGCACCTAGAACTGCCATGATTTCCCATCTGGAAGCAAGGGGGCTGGGAAAGGCACCCTTTCTCTGGGCCTGGAAGGGGAATGATGGTGGTTTGGTGGACACATAACATTGTCTCTGCACAGGGAACAGCTATTTCTATATGAAAAGTCTGTGGATCCAGGAAGATGATGCAGAAGGGGGGCCATTTGTCTCAGCTCTTCAAGAATGCATAGAGTTTAGGCTGGGTGTGGTGGCTTATGCTTGTAATCCCAAAATTTTGGGAGGCCGAGGTGGATGGATCGTTTGAGGTCAGGAGTTTGAGACCAGCCTGGCCCACATGGTGAAACCCCATCTCTACTAAAAACGCAAAAATTAGCTGGGCATGGTGACACGTGTCTGTAACCCCAGCTACTCGGGAGGCTGAGGCAGGAGAATCACTTGAGCCTGGAAGGTGGAGGTTGTGGTGGGCCGAGATCTGGCCACCGCACTCCAGTCGGGTCAAGAGAGTGAGACCCTGTCTCAAAAAAAAAAAAAAATGCGTAGAGTTTAGCCATGTGGGGCTACCGCAGGGCATTCCTGGCAGAGAGACTAAAAGCTAGGCATGCAACTCTGGGTTTTTGGAATCCAGTCAAGGTGTTGGAGTCGTCAAGTGGAAGAGGCATCTGCAGCAGCCTAGCATGTTCACTGTGGCCTTCTGGCCTCTTCTCACCTCCCCTTTCCACCATCTACTTGGTGTTGAGTTGCTTATCAGTTTGGTTTCTCAGTCTCCAGTCTCCTGTGCTTGCAGAGGCCGCATCTCCACTAAGGAAGCTCTCTTGCTACCATGCCCCTTCCCCTGGCTGGTGTGGACTCAATTTCCAGGCTCACTCACATGGAAACTGCACCCAAGTCATCAACTCTGGGCTGGTGACACAACAAAGAATGGGTGGCTAGAGGTCAGTCCCAGAGCCGGCTCTGCTGCCCTGCAGCACCCAGTTGGGAGGGCCCAGTAACCTGTGCTGCAACAAACCTTCGGATGGTTCTAATGCAGCTAGTTTACGAGTCACCACTTTTCCCTGTTTCTCTTTTCTGAGTCCACCCTCCAGGTGTCTGATTCCATCAGTCTGGGTTGGCGCCCTGCCAGAGTGAAAGAGACCAGTGGGGCAGGTGTACAGGCTGTCACTTCTACTTCTCCGGCTCGTTTTTTCCCTTCACTCTCTGAGCACCTACCCTCAGTTCCACCTATCACTTTTCCCAGCTAGTTGGCCCAAGCATGGATAAAGAATTTTAGAAATGCAACTTTCCTTTTTTTTGTCTCTCTCTGTAGGTGCCAGTTCTGTCATTAGAAATGTCTTGCCAAATTAGAACACAAATAAGCCAAGAATATTCTTCAAAATGCAGATAATCAAAAGCACAGCACTGGAATCTGATCATCCCCCACACATCCATGGTGACAGCCCGAGTTGCTCTCTTAGAGCCTGGCAGACATTCTAATTCCAACTCACATTTTTCTAAAAGGAAAAAAAAAAATACCTGTTAGGCTGATATTCCTTAAAGAAGAGTCTTTCTTAGAGAACTTTATAAAAGCCATATTTGGGCGTTATTTGTATGTGAAAATTGTGCTCTTTCTGCTCATAAACTTTTCTGAAACATTTTTTTTTTCTTTTCTGTGAGAGCTTAGAAAACGGCTAGTAATTTGAAGACAACCTATGTGACACTGATATGCTTTTGGTAGCAGATAAATGCCACTGGCTGGTGCAAAGACAATTTGCTTGGAAAATGTGAAGTGCTTTATATCTAGAAATACTAGGTACAGAGTAAAATTCTCCATTTGTTAAAATCAGACACTGACTTGCAGTAGTGAGTTATGTGCTGGGCTTTATTAATCCTTCTGCTCATATTGCTTTAGACATAGGAGACAGCGGCGCTGATTAGTGGTGAGCTCTTGATGAACTATATTTGGGAGGCCCCAGTTTTGCAGGAGGGGGCTCAGGCAGGTCACTGCTTCATGCACAAAACATAGGGAACACAAGCAGCAGTTTGGATGTCCACAGCTCATCTCAGCCTTGCTTCCACATGAGGAACAATGATATCAGCATGTAATCTCAGCATTTTGCCCTTGAAATAAAATTCTGCCCGCCATTGATATCCAGTAGCTCACTCCTCACTAATTCAAAATAGGTCCCAGTGGATTGGCATCCCCTCCATCTGAATTGCAACATGCACTTCATCTCCTCCTGTTTAAAATGAGGATGAGCATGCTTAGAGTGTTTAAGAGTTGGAAGCTGCTTCAGGGGTAGGTATTTGTAGTTTCATGAATTATTTATTTAAGCAAATGTGTACAGCACATTTATGTGTTGGAGTATATGCCTGATCACACTCAAAGGGGTGTCGTGGAAATGTATCATGCCACGGCATCACCATTTTGACATGTGTAGTGCGGAGAACCAAAACACTGCTCCTGGGATAGAACAGGATTAGTTCAGTTTGGAATCATTTGGCTCTCATGATGCAAGACTAAGTAAATGCGTTTTATCATCTTCCCTGTTGTGTAAGGATAAAACCCAGCCTGGATCTATTTGGGCTTCATGCCTGGAGTTTTGAACTAAACACAGTCCCATTGGTGTGTAGTCAGATTTCATTGTTTTTGGTTTTGTTTTATTTTCCCCTTTCACCAAGCACAAATCCGGAAAAAAAGCAGTATGTGCATTAAAGGTTTGCGGTATTTTCCTTATAGGGCGATTCACAAAATTGCATAAGTCAAGTCCAATTTTTAGCTATTTGTGTAAAACAAACAGAGGCTGTCTTTCCCTATTTCCTTAGCATCTCCTGTCTCACGCACACACACATAGCAAGAGGTCTGCTGTAGCACTTAACGGTGCATTCAGGGGTTTAATTTGAAGCAGTGCAGGAAGTGAGATGCCTGAACTCCACAGCGCTCTCATATCTGGGCATACACAGCCTTGCGTCAACCTGGAACCCTTTATCCCACTGGGTGTGGTTAGCAGCACCTTCTTGACTTGCTGGTGGGCACCTCCTTGACTTTTTTTCTGGTCCACTTGAGGTTAAAAGTTGAGGCGGGGTGAATCTAGAATGAGCCCCTAACACATGTAAGCCTATACCCTTCTCTGAAAATAGCAAAAAGTGAAATATCCAAACTAACAGGTTAACCAGGTTCAATATTTACCTAAAATTGCCAACATTTCAAAAATCATTTAAGAAAATAACCCAAATAACTCATCAGCCAGCCAGTATTTGTTAAGAAGAAAGGACAAATTGCATACTTGTTAATTTCCCTGTGGGGTAGTCTCAGAACTGTGCAGTGACCTCTCGCTGACATTCCTGCACCTTTACTGATATGCTCCCAAAGTCTCACTTAGAAGAGTGAATATAATTGCTCACTCTGATGGCTCCATTCAGGAATCTTCAGGAGACACAAGTATTAAAATGAATAGATGGCGTCTGGCAAATCTCTTCCTGCCAGCGATAAGCAATCTTGTCTATTAAATGTCTCCCAGTGCAGGCGGATAGTATATTCCATGCCTGGTCCGTAGCAGGGTGCAGGCTGATGGATTGAATGTATCTATACATTGTATACAGCTAATGAACTGGGGTTAGTTACATAAGAGGAAGATTGATAGAACCCAGAAGTTATAGCCAGATTCAGTCCAGAAGGAGAATGAGAAAGCGATCCCGGAAATCTGGGTAAAGGGGGAGATAAATCAGGTGGGTAGACGTTATAAACAGGCCTGGGAAGCTGGGTCATGCAGGCAGTGGGAGACTCGCGGGAGACTGGGAGATGGGGAGACGTGGGGGAATGGACTGCTGATGACTGCTTCCTGCCTTTCCTCCTTAGCACACTTGGGCTGGACAGACATATGTGCTTTTTAAACAAGAATCTTTCTGAAACCTGGAAGCATTAGTCTAAAAAGATGTCAGACACCTTCTGGTACCCTTATTTTAGAGAGGAGAATGCACCTAAGGCACATACATTGCCACAAGGTCAAATAGGCCATTTCCTGATCTTTGCCGCTCTCAAAATAAAAAGAAAATGTAAAACATATATGCAATTGTTAAGACAAAATAAAAAGGAGAGAAAGAGAAGGAACTGTGCCTGTTGCTAAAAGCTAGAGTTCAGTGTTTTAAGAAATAGAATGGAAAAGTTTCCTTGAAGAGAACTTTATCTTTCTTCTCCAGAGGAGTCCACAGGTTGTCATGGATTTTACATTCATCTCTAACCCTACACAATGCACACAATATGAATCTTCACAAATGAAATATGTTCCATATATTGATCTGTGATTTCTTTTCTCTACAGATAGTATATCAACAATATGCTCCCATGTCTGTATGTATAAATTAACCTTGTTTCTTTTACCTAGAAGAATAATACTCTATTTTGTAAGGTTCCATAACATATTTCACTAGTTCCTTATAAATTTATGTGCATATTATTTCTAATTCTTCTTCTCTGTCAAACAGGCTACCATGAGTATCTTCATGTATACAGGAAAGTGCCTCTGAAAGCAAATTCTTGGCTACAGAGTTACTAGGACTAATGGTATACAAATTAAAAGCTTATGAAATATTGAAAATTACCTAATATAAAGGTTATTGGAAGGTACAATGGAATGGAATGTACATGGATCTGTACAGACATTTCCAGAAAAGCTGGTGAGTAGTGGGGTGTTTCTAAAATGTGACATTTGCCACACTGGTAGTTAAAAAATGTCTAATTTATATATATTTAATTATGAAGTTTAGCATCTTTTCATATAGGTTCCATGCAGCTGGCCAGAAAAAGGCCCCCTTCCTTTGCATGATGGTGGTCTTGACTTGTTTACCATGATGCCTTCTTACATTGTGTTCTCCGTACCTGGTATTGAGGGACTGGGTTTATCTTCCCACCTGATGCTACTTATCCTCTGCATTATGTGTGAGATAACTTCTGGACCGCTTCAGGAACCCTCCCTGCCTGTGGAGTCATCTACTCTAATTGTCCGGGAGTTCTGCACCCCTGCCAGACCCTCCCCTCCCCGGGACTGTCTTCCTGTCTTTATGAAATCCCAGCACCTACAGAGAACCAGGCACATAGAAACACTCAGAAAGTGGTTGGTGTAAGAAGGAAGAAAGGAAGGCAGGGAGGTGGGTGCAGGGATGATACACGCTGGTATGAAACATTCACAGTGAATAGAACATCTGTAAGACACAGGGCCCTGGGGTCTGTCCATGGAATTCATTTTTTTCAATTTATTTAGTGCCTTAGCCCTCAGGGGCCTTGTTTCCTCACATGGAAGCCAGTCAGTTACGTATATGGGGGTGGCTAACATCCCAGTTAATAACAGTGATGTTGGCTTCAGTCAGATCTGAATGTGAGTGATGGTGTTCTCTCCTAGGGTTTTGTGATTAGTTTAATTTACTTAAGCCTGAATGTTTCCTCCTGAGATTAGTATGAGGTTTAGATGATACAATATATTGAAAGCACTTGATGCAGAGCCTAATGTAAGTAAGCACACAATAACCATTGGCTGCTATGAGTAGTACTTATTATTAGTAGTAGTAGTATGATTATTTTTATTATCAAATGGTAAGATGGTCCATGCAATGCTATCTTTGTCCATAAGGCCATTGGTGCCCATGATGAGCAAGTTATTGTAATAGAAATTAAGCTCAATTGGCCGGGTGCAGTGGCTCACGCCTGTAATCCCAGCACTTTGGGAGGCCGAGGTGGGCTGATCACGAGGTCAGGAGATCGATACTATCCTGGCTAACACAGTGAAACCCCGTCTCTACTAAAAATATAAAAAAAAAATTAGCCAGGCGTGGTGGTGGGTGCCTGTAGTCCCCGCTACTTGGGAGGCTGAGGCAGGAGAATGGTGTGAACCTGGGAGGCGGAGCTTGCAGTGAGCCGAGATCACGCCACTGCACTCCAGCCTGGGTGACACAGTGAGACTCCATCTCAAAAAAAACAAAAAAACAAAAAAACAAAAAAAAGAAGTGAAGCCCAATCATTATCACATCCAAAGGCTTATTTTGGGGGAACTGCCAACACTTAGCCCTTCTCATTTACTGAATCGGTGGTGCTCCTCTGGTGATAGAGGCTTGTTCACAGAGGGGAGAGTGTTCCTCAAAGCTGACCTGCTTTGCTTCTAGGAGGAGTGATTGCTTGTCCTAAAATCAGTGTGTCCGGTTCAGCCCTTTAGCCACAGGGCTTTTGTACTTGCTGTTCTCTCTGCCTGGAAAGGCCATCCTCATGGTATCTCAAGGGCTTCTTTTCTTACTTCTTTCAAGATGGCAACATAGCAGAGGCGTCCATGCTGGCAACTGATATAAAATGGCCCCACCGCCCCAGTGCTAGGCAATCTTTAGCACTCAATGCCCTGAGAAATGTCCATATATTTTTAGGTTTGTAAAACTTTATTTTATTGTGGTCAGATTACCTAACATGAGATCTGCCTTCTTAAAACATTTTAAAGTCTACAATACAGTACCGTTAATTCTAGGAACATTGTTGTGTAGCTGCTCTGTAGAGTGTATCTTGCATAATTGAGACTTTATGCCCATTTGACAGCAACTCCACGTTTCTCCCTCCCTCCAGCCTCCGGGAGACACCATTCTACGGTGACTCTACGTGTTTGAGTATTTGGGATACAGCGTGTAAGTGGAATCGTGCAGTGTTTTCCCTTCTGTGACTGACTTATTTCACCTAGTGTGATGTCCTCCAGGTTCATCCGTGTCGTCACATATGGCAGATTTCTTTCTCAGTTAAGACTGAATTGTGTGTATATTGCATACTGTTACATGCATTAGTGTATATTACTGCGTTTTCTTTAATCATTCATCTATTGATTGACATTTAGGTTGTTTACACATCTTGGCTATTGTGACTAGTGGTGCAATGAGCATGGGCGTGCTAATATGTTATGTACATTTATTGTTTACCTATTGATTTCCAATTGTTCCTCACTAAAACCTAAGCTCATAAAGGTGGAAGCTTTGTTTTGTTCACTGATCCTGTGTCTTCAGAATCTAGAACAGCACACTGACCTAGACTCTAATCCCAGTACCTGTTTCTTTGTTCTTATTTACTAGAATAAAAAGCAATCTCAGTTGAGTTTTAGGCGTTGCACAAAGAGAAACTTCCAGCATGATTGGAGACATCATTGTCTCTGGCACCCTTGGGGATTCGGGGTCTTGTGTTGGGTCCACCTTGAGTACTGGCCCTATACCTAGAACAGTGACCCACATTCCCAGGGTCTCCAAGGTCCATCCTCCTGAGTCACGAAAAATGTCCTGTATGGCCAAAGTCACTTGTAAGCCTGTTTTTATTTGAATGTCCCGGCCCACTCCAGCTAGTGCTGTCAGCTTTTCAGGTCCTTTTCAGAAGTCCTGGGAGGGTAGAAAGCTCTGTGCTGATGTTGGATGGACATTTCCTCTTCCTTCTAATGCCCCAAACTCCTATCCATTCATCCTATTGAGACTCTCCTAGCTACTCACACTTTTCTCTTCTGACACTTTGCACACTTACTAGTATTTACTATTTATAATTATTCTGTTATTGTTTTCCTTACCAAAATGAAGGATGCTTCTCTGTTTTGTTTCCTTCCCTATCTTGACTACCTTGGTGCTTGACCATATTCAGTGAATATTTCTTGAACATTATTGGTGGATTGACTTTGTTTCCTCTCCCCTTCCACACCACATCCCAGTAGTGGTACAATGGGAATCCCAGACTTTAAATCTGTCTTCAGTGCCACTTGCCTGGGTTGCCCTAGAGGCCTCCTGTTTTTCATTTTTCCTTTGCCCTGCAATGTATGGCAGGTGACCCAGAAGGGTCCCAGAAGGATGCTCCTGAAGTTTGGCCCACAACACCTTCCTGCTTTTCCACTGCACACAGGTCTTTGCAGACTAATAACACGTGGATTCCCTTGCCTGGTTTTCTGGGCATCCAGCATACTGGCTTCAACTTTTCTTTCCATCTTACCTCCACTATCTCTGTCCTCTTGCTTCTGCCAAGCCAGGCAGTTCACCTGCCTCACCTATACCCTGGCTTTTCTCTCGTACACTTTGTTCACTCAGTACTCTCTGTCTCGGAAGCCCACTCACTCCCCTTTCACCCTCATCCTTCCTTTGCACGTTTAGGTCCTACATAAGCTGAAAAAGAACAGAGTCTGGTCAAATCTTGACTCCGCTTGGCCAATGGATGGTACTTCTCTTAGCCTCCGTTTACTAAAATGTTAAGGGGGAGGAGATAATGGCACCTACCTTATCAGGATACTGTGAGAGTTACATTAGATACTGTATATAGACTGCCTGGCATACATGCTCCGTAACTATAGACTATTATTTCTCTTCAAAGCCCAACTCAAAAAATGAAATTCTTCTCTATGAACCCTTCTCTAATCCTCCCACGCATGGCCTCTCTTCTTCCTCCACTTCCTTCTGGTTCTCTTGGAGTTGCTGAGCACGTTGCCATGTCTTAGAACTCATCAGGAACCTGTTCTGTCTTCCCCTGTATCCAAGGTGGGAGGCAAGTTGAAGTCAGGAATTATTCTTGTGTTCTGCACAGTGCCCTGGACATTGCTGTTGTTTGGTAATTGTTTTTTTTTAATGGACTGAATCATTTTGCTGCTGCCCAGGCTGCTTTCTACTACAATAGCCTGTAGCCTTAAGCAAGGATGAGCTATTTTCCCTTTAGTAATGGGCCAGCATCTAGGCCTTGATTTTGAGTTCTTAGTATGGTACCGTGAAAATCACTAGTGTTGAAAGGAATAGGATCAGAGGGGGAATAAAAAGGCATTTGATGAGGCTCTTAGTGTAACAGTATGTCTCACTCATCTTTTTTTTTCCTTAGCCTTTGAAATAGACAATGGCCTTGAGCCTTCTCGGCAGATGGACCATGTTTGTGCCTTAGCCACTTAACAGCCATTAGCCTAATTCCATCCTCTACAGCCAAATTAAATAATAAGTAAAGGCCTATGAAAAGCTGGTTTGGAGGCAGTGTTACTGCCTTTCACTTGACAGCCTTCTCTGAAGCAGATGCTCCCTCTCCACCCTATTAACCTGCTCCTCTGAATAAGGAGCTGTCCACACAGAAGCAAAGATAGAGGCCTGCAGGAGAGTGGTCTGGATTCTGGAGATAGGGGGAAAATCCTGATGATGAAAGTCCAGCTTCTTTGGAAGGCTGAGGCGGGAGGATCATGAGGTCAGGAGTTCAAGACCAGCCTGACCAATATGGTGAAACCCCGTTTCTACTAAAAATACAAAAATTAGCCAGGTGTGGTGGTGTGTGCCTGTATTCCCAGCTACTCAGGAGGCTGAGGCAGGAGAAATGCTTGAAACTGGGAGGCACAGGTTGCAGTGAGCTGAGATTGTGCCACTGTACTCCAGCCTGGGTGACAGAGCAAGACTCCGTCTCAAAAAAAAAAAAAAAAAAAAAAGCCCAACGTCCATCCACTACTCCCACCTCATAGGCCACAGAAGATGAGAGCTTTAACCCAAAGTCATGATAATGCGATTTCTGCTTTGATTGGTCAAAGCTGCTATTTGTTAGTAGATAGTATATGACCTATAAAAGTTCACAACAAGAAAGTAATACCCTGGTCTTACTCCTAACAAGTCTGATAATACATTCTCTTTTATCACACTTTTTTTTCCTCTGTGTCCTTGCTTATAGACTCCTCCTCCTGAAATACTTCCTTCTATTCCGAAATCCTGGATACCCCTCAAGGACAGCCTAAATGTCCCTATCCTCATAAAACACATCTCCGATTCTCAATCTCATTCTCTGACTCAAGTACCTCCTCCTCCTCTGAGCACCCTTCACCCTTAATCTGAACATAATTTCTAACTGTATTACTATTTTCAAACTTGAATTATAGATGTATGCATATGACCCTTACTACCAGGATCTATGTTCCTTCAGGGCAGGAACTCTATAGTCATCTAAATACTTCCTACAAGTTTAAACTTATTTGTATTGTGTTTGTGTGTGCACACATATATGTACATGCACGTATGTATATATTTATATACATACACATATACTCAGTAAACATTTTTTGCATCAATGCATACATACTTATGGGCATTTTAATTTTTTATTTACACACTCTCTCTCTCAGCTATCCCTTAGTGGCCTCAGATTTTTTCTGCATGTAGTCAAATAGGTCTCTGTGCTTGTGAAAATGTTTCTATCAACTGTGGATACGCATAACCTGATTGTTAAGGTGTTACTTTGAGAGATCTAGACAGTGTGACTGCATTTTTTTCAACTTAAAGACTGGCAGAAATCTAAAGCATTCAACTCAATTAATTTTCTCTAAAAAAGAAGAAATTTATTACTCCAACACAAAGATACCTATTACAATGGTTATGCTTTATAAATAAGCAAACATGGATGTCAGGTTGGGATAGCTCTGACTGGTGACCAATGCATTATCTCTATTTCTCTCTTCTTGCCCTTGCTATCTATCATGATAGGCCTTGATGCCCCAGAGAACAGAAAGGAAAGGCACCTTAGAGACATTTTGCTGTTGTTATTCTGATCTTGTGGTGGCATATAGACTTAAAGTCTCTGATATAAGAAATACACACTAACTTGTTTGTTTGGTGCCAGTTTTAAGAATTTTGAAAATTCAGAAGGTAGCCATTCATCATGACTCTTAGGTAGAAAGCGCCGTGTTCAAGTTCCTCCAGCTGCTAGCAAGGACAAGCATGGGGTAGGTAAGGCAGACCCTGGTTGGCTTTCAGGCATCAGGGAAAGACCGGACCATCTGTTGCCATGGCAACATTCATTGGTTTTACAATAAACATGAACAATGAGGTGCTAAGCCTTCTAAAAATAGAGGCACGCTCTATTTTTTTCCATATTTTTATAAGATAGTTTCACGATATATCTTAGGACTAAAATTGAGATCTATCCTCCTGGTTACAAGGGGCGAGTGTAGTATCCATAGCTTTTTGAATGGCAGACTCCAAGTTTGTGTGACTTGAGTATGCGTGTGTGTCTATGTGTATACACACAGTTAATATTGAGAACAGACCCTTGAAGACCACTATACCTACCTATGGAGCATGACATAAAGTGAAATGTAGCATTAAAATTATATTAAAATATTTGGGAAAAAATAGACAATTTTACCACCTGATCCAAAGGAGGGAGCTTTTTCTAGGCAAGTAATTTCACTGAAGTGATGGCTTTCTGTGTCAGTTTTCTTTGCTATTACTGGCCTGGGCAACATTAAATCTGGCTGAGGCTCAGCACTGGACAAAATACAAAATGATCACAGGCACTCAGGCTTCTGTAGAGCATCAATTCACTTTCTAATGAAAAAGAAGGAGTAAAGAGAGTGAGGGAAAAAAGAAATTGTTGGCAAGCTAAAAAGAGTTTAAGAAATGAAGAGGAGAAAAGGTAAAGTGATCAGAGGTGAGAAAAATGAGGAGAAGAGAGATAAATGGTTTGCCATGAGGAGAATGTAGACCTTTAACGTGAATCTGATGAACCAAGCCACTCCGTGGAGATGGAGAAAGCCAGCCTTTCTTTCCCTCCTTAGCCACTATTTCTGGTAATATCAAGTCCATCTGTAAGGCAGGCAAGGTGAATTTATTGTATTTAATAGCTTCCAATTTAACAAGTCGAATCGGAGGGATCCCCAAACTCTACTCCCCATGGCTATATGCTCACAGTGCTGTGATTTATGGTAAGCCCTCCTTTTTCCTAAAACAACCACCTGAGAGGATGTCTCCTGGCACGCGATGTCCTCTGAAAACCAGAGGCCAGTGGTTTTGGGAGCCAGACACAGGCATTGTAAGTAGCACAGGACGCTTCACTCAGCAGACAGGGCAGGAGGCCTCGGTAGATGTGCAGAAGTCGGGGAGAGGCAGGGCTAGCCTGCTGCTCTGACCAGACCTAGTGAGGCAGGAGGGTGACTGTCGCTGCTTGGTGTCCTTCCCATCACAGCAGTGAGGCTGCAGGCCAAGCCTTCACCTGGACACGATCAGGGACTCTGGCTCTCTGAAGGGAGGTGGTGATCTCTTTTCTAATGCACTTCACTGGGTCCACATTAGGCCGACAAGTCAGGTTCCTCAGGGCTCCCGATGATACAGCAGGAGGATGTACATTCATCCCTGTCCATCAGCGCCTCCCAGGGAACCTGCGTGTCTGATTGAAGTAATTTCACCCATAGTGCACAAAGTGTACACTCAATCAAATTTTATAGAATACTTTTTTTTTAACGAAAACATTATGTTTGTTGTGCAAAGTTTTAGGGAGCAGTGATAAGCAAAAGCAAAACAGAACAATTAAAACCACCTGTAATTCCCCATCCACATTCGTCATTGTTAACACAGTAGTGTATATGCTTCTGTCGGTATTTTCTACAGTTATGTAGTTATATTTTTCATTTAAAAAAATGAATTCAATCTTTTGTTACCTACTCATATAACTTATGTATATACACATCTTTCTGTTTCATTAAATATTTTATGTTATATTTTATTGCTACACAATATTCTATTTTCTAAATGGACCATCATTTAAGTAGTAATGCTCAGTGGTGAGAGAGTTAGATTGTTTCCAGTGGTTTTGCTGTTGTAAATACTGTTCAGATGAACATCCTCATTGTCTTTATTCACAAGCATGATTACCTCCTTAGGATATATTCTTCCAGTGGTATTGTGGCAGAGAATATGCAAACAGCAGGGTTTTTGACACCTGCTGTCAAATTGCCCTTCAGGAAGGTACCCTGAGCACCTCCACCCTCAGCCTCAGCCTCAGCCCGCTTGGTTCTTCCTGCTGTCACCCCTCACCAATGCTACCTATTATCATTTTGTTTAGGTTTGCTGCTTGATAGGTGGAAATGCCATGCCTTTGTTTTAAACTGCGTTGCCTGGAATAGTAATGAGTTTGAAATTTTCCCCAGATGTTGAAGGGCTACTTGATCTTTTGTCCCTATTACCTAGACACATGGATCCTAGCTGGGCTCTGGGAAGTGGCACTATGGCAACTGCTAGGCCTTCCCTCTCCTTGGAGAGGAATTAGCGAGAAAATGATGCCTCTTCAAGTGTGTTTTTAAAAGAGTTTAAAATGTAAAGGGGAAAATGTAGATGGCCAGAGAGATAAATTATAAATGGAGGATAATTATCGTAGTTTTTAGGAAAGGTAAAACATCAAAAGATACATAAATGACAAAAGAACTAAATATCTTAGGAAGCCGACTTTCCTAAGGTAAGAATCGTGTGCTGAGTATGTGGCACCAAGACCTGGAAGGACCCATGTCCCTCCCACCCTCCCAGTGCCCCGACCTCCCACCTCTGGTGCTGTGCTGTGACTCCACAGGGAGATTTTGTGCCAGTGCCCCCACCAGGGACTCATCACCACTCTAGCCCAATGACTCCAAAATTGCCTTCTCCTAAATATAATGTCCGCGCTTTGACTTTTAAAAATAGCAGCAGAAAATGACCAGGGGGCACTCTGTGATGTCCAAGATTCCTGGGGCAAAGCAGCCCCTGGAGCCTGTTCTTAAGATAGCTCCATCCTTGTCTTGCTGAATTATTTACAGAACTTGTGAGGGCAGAGGCTGAGTAGAGGTACTTCCTTTCTGAACATGCTCAGGCACTCCCTGGGCCAGGCAGGGAAGCCAGTGTCTGGAGGATGTCTGCTACCCGGTGTCAGGGAGTCTGCCATTGATTTTCTTTAGGACAAACCTCTCTGCAAATGCCACAGATTTACATTAGCCGCACTATAGAGACCCAGTCAGGGCCAGGCGCAGAGACGTGGGGAATGCCACGTGCTGATTTCTTTTCTGCTCTGGGCAGTTGCTTCTTTTCACTTCCACGTCTGAATGGCAGGGAGAAGCTGGGTGCCCCCACATGTGAGTCAGAATGTGACCTCTAGCATTTGAAAGTCCTAGTTATTAAATATATGATCTGAGTTGTCCACATTAAAAAGGCATTTGGGAGTGCGGGGATATGGAGAAAGATGATGAGCTTGATGTTTGGATTGATTTATTCTCAGTAGAGGTGATTTCAGCAGGCTTTCCCAGGCAAGTTAGGATACTTTAGCATTACTCTGGGTATCTGGCCAGAGTTTTCAGGGGTGTTAAATAGTGAGGCTCTTAAGAATGCAGGAAGCTTGGGTCATCTCCTGCGTTCCTAGGGTACTGCCGAGACTGGGTTCCTTTCATCGGTGTCTCGGGGGGTTGGGGGTGGGGGAGCTGAGCCACAGTGGAGCGGAACTGTCTGCATGGACCCTTCCCTTTCTTCCAGCTCCGGTGTTTGCCCACAATTCCACTCACTTAAAATTTGCCTTTGTCTTCTAGCCAGGTAGCTTGCCAGGGGAAACTGGGTGTGAGTCAATGGCCTTCCTCTTCACTCTATGGTCAGCCTCTGTTTTTGTGGGACAGCATCAGCCTGAAGCCAGGCAAAAGGCCCAAGTCATGTAGTAAAAAGTGTGCAGGGCTCAGGACTGGAAGCAAAACTCTCCACCAACCAGCTTGGTGCTATTAATCAGATACTGTAACTGCCTGGAAAGATGAGCAAACAAGCTGTATTCCTCAGGCTCCTATTTTGTGCTGTCTACATTGTGTCCTCTGTGCTACCTCATTTAATCCTGTTAATCATGGTTTAGATGGGGGAATATCATCTCTAATATGCATATTTAGTAACTGAGGTTTATAGACCTCCAAGGTCATGTAAACTACGAGGTGGCCATGCTAGAATTTAAACAGCAGTTTTTATTTTTGTGAAAGTCTTGTTTTCTTTCCAAGATATTACAGCTGTCTTACTTCACAAAATTGTCCTGAGGACCAGATAATTGTAACATATATGAGAGGTAAAAGAAAAAAGTCTAACCAATGTTTGGTAGTGTGATTATTGCTTTTATATTCTAGTTAATTTTTCTGTGATGAAAAAGCAAGTTTCCAAAGGCCCTGGCTTTGAAGGGAAGTAATGCAACTTGGCCCAGTCTCTGGGTTTATCCCAGAAAGCCAGTTCCCCTCCAACTCCCTCCTGCAGGTGCAGTTTTCAGCTGGGCCCTCAGACACAGTCCACTTTGCATCCCACTTCTTGGGAAAATTTTTCTTAATGTTCACTAGCGCTAAGATCATTCTGAAACCTCTCCCTGCACCACTGCAAGACTAGTGCATTCTTAAACCCTGCAGCCCAACCGTTACCTGTGATTTATTTTATTGTCATTTATTCCCACAGACAATACACATAAAAATAAAGGTAGTAAGTGTAAGAGCATTTTAATTGCCATCCCACTAGTCTTAAATGTCCACTGTTTTTATATCTCCCCCTCCTACCCTAGAAAATTTCAGAATAGAGAAGATCAATTTATCATCTTATCCTCGTTTCCTGATCTCAAATTGGAAGATGGACAGTTTTTATGTTAATAGAGAGTCGTTTAGAGTCAGGGAATTTTTCGAAGGAAAGTCGAGATAGATGGATGAATAGGTGGTTGTGTGTGTGTGTGTATTATATATATTAATATTAATAGAGAGGCTTCCTTTGTGGCCTCATGCAGAATGCTTAAAGATCCTAGAAATGTTGCTGTAGGAATGGAAGCAGAAGAAGCCGCAGGCTTCATGGTTGATTGCTTTTCTGATTGGTGCCATAAAAAAAATGCATTAGCGAGAGAATGTTTGATTTAAAGAGCGCCTAGATGCCGACACCACCTCTGTTTGTTTTCCTTCCTTTAGCAGAAACCTTGTAAAATTTTTATGAAGTATTAATGGATCTGAGATTTTCTCCAGCAAATTTTATGAGGTGAGCTTAATCCCACACATCCGACCCAATTTAGCAGTCTTTAGAGACATAGAACGTAAAAGGCACTCAGAAAGTATCCTGGGTGCCTCAGTACCAGGGGAGTGATGGGGCAGGGGTAGGGTATTTCCTCCCTCTCAGTGCTTTGGTAGACTCTCAGGGGTTGTGGGAGAACAGAGTGAAGAGGTACCCCACCCACAGAGAAGACCGCACAGGTAAGCCAAAACTTCAGATAGTAAATCTTAATTCATAACTTAGCACTGACTTCAAGAACTTCCCTATATAACTGTAGTCTTTGATGAGAAAATCGTGTTTAGGGAAAACAAGAAATTATTTGTATTAACAGTTTCTGTGCTGTCAACCTGGAATCACTGGCTTTAATCTAAGAAAGAGACATGAACACCGTCCTTCCTCCACCCCAATTTGTTTTCTGTATTTGAAACAAAAGAGCCTTGAAGAAGATAAGTTACATTTTTGTGTATGTTGATGAGTGCAGCTACGTTTTGTAATGTGAAGTTTGGCCTCCCACAAACCAAGCAACTTGATGAGCCTCAGCACACTAGTGAGCATTTAGCAGTTCCCATCACTTACCTGTTTATGCTGATTCTGTACTACTCTCGCGAGTTCTTGCCCTGTAATGTGTGAATTCCATTAGATTTATGGTGACGAAATGAAGGAAGAGAAGTTTTTTGGAAGAGAAATAGGAGCCTTCGCCAACTAAGAAATCACTGTGGCCTATTCAAGAATGGTCAAGGGTTTGGGATTTTACCCTACTTTCAGGCAAACAAGTCCACATGCCACTGTTTCAGGGGTGCTGGCGGAAGAAACGAGACTCCAGGGTCAGAGATAAAAGACTTTGTTACTCGTGGCACAGCAGGCAGCATGAGCTCCATGTTCGTGTCAGTGCTTTTTGTTCCCCAGGTCTCAAGAGGGTGATGTGTATGGCCCAAGTGGATGTTCTGTGCTGAGGTGGTTTGCACCACAACCAAGTAACCCCTCATTTAGCAAACTCAAATCTTTTGTAATGGGCTGCCCGCAGATTTGCCCAATCTTTTCTCAGAAGAGAGGTGTTCTCTTTATTTTACTGGACATAAAAATCTGCCTTGTGCCATGGAGGGAGACACCATTTCTGTCTTAAAGTTCTTCGCTGTATTAACATCCTTGAAAAGATAGTCATGGCCAGGCATAGTTGCTCACACCTGTAATTCCAGCATTTTGGGAGGCCGAGGTGGGAGGATCACTTGAGCCTAGGGGCTTGAGACCAGCCTGGGCAACATAGAGAAACCCCATCTTTACAAAATAAAATAATTAAAAAAAATTAGCCAGGTGTAGTGGTGCATGCCTGTGGTCCCAGCTACTAGGGAGGTTGTGGTGGGAGGATCACTTGATCCCAGGAGTTCTGGGCTGCAGTGAGTTGTGGTCACACCACTGCACTCCAGCCTGAGTGACAGAGTGTCTAAAACAATACTTTACCTTGTTTTCCTGCGGGTGAATATTCTCATGAGTAAACCACCTCATCAACCACTCTGACTGATCAAGGTTGGTAGCAAATCCATTCAATTTGTCTAATACAGCATTTAATTAAAGCTACTATCAACAGGGTTTTGTGCAGCAGGATGAAGCTGTTCTACAGTATTGACCTCAACATTGTTCCCCAAGATCCCAGACCTAACCAGATGAAGAAATGCCACAGACAATCATGGTCCAGGTGAGAAACAAAAGGGAAAGTTTTCCTTACGTTTCTATATTAACTTTCTCACTTGTCTGAGGCATGAATGCAGGTACAACAGCATGTACTAGAGATTGCACAGACCTGAGTAGGCTTGCAAAGAGGCAGTGGAGGGTAGTTGTGTTATCCATAACAATCCTGGCCAGTGCATTGAAGCTGATTTGAATTCCTTCCAGGGCAAGGGTGTTATCTCCTTAAATACTTGAGGTTCTCTGTGAGCACCTCTGAGCGTAAAAGTCACAGGGTGTTCAGAAGGGGCAAGTTAAGGCCTACTTCCACACAAGAAGTACAAGCTCGAGGGTGTTCATGGTGCCCCTGGATGGAAAGTCTTGTTTACAGTTGTTGGGACCCTCCCAGGTAAGACCTCCGTCCATCCAGAATCACAACTTGACATTGCCTCCAGTGTCATCTCCTACATGATCGTTAGGACTTAGGGGCTTCAGTTCTGCTAGAATAATTGAGTCTAACCCCTGTTTTTGAGGGACTTCCTGCCCTGTATATCCATGTCACCGGCTGGATGCCATTCATCTGGCCTGTGGAACCATGGAGCAGTCAGTGACTCTAGGAAGGGAATCGGGGAGACAATGGCAGATGTTGACATATGTTTTGTGATGATGTTCCAGGAGCTGGCCCCATCCCCTAATGTTCATATAAACTGCTCAGTTAGGTTAAGGGGAATCGTGATCAAATTGTGTTGAGAGCTGTCAGGAGGGGATGCTGGACCCAAGAGTCAGTTAAATGAAGGTATTTGCAGCAGATTGGGAGAACTGTATCAGGTCATTTTCCTCATGAAGAGGATTTATGGAGTGGTTCTATGACAAAAGATCCATCCTGTTCCCTTCCAGGGTCTACAGCGTTCCTCTCCAAGTGCCTGAGGTTTTGGTCCGTACTCTGCAAAATTGGTCTGTTACATCCAGTAGCTCTAACTTCACCTTTTCCAATTATTTTCTGCTGATACCTGGAACTTTCATCCTGAAGATTCAGGTGCAGGAGGGTCAATATTGCTTTTTGAAATTCACAGAGATGCGTCATGCCTCCTACTTTGGCCTGTTTGAGCACCGTGAGGGGATTTGGACAACAGCGTCTTCAACCTACTGGCCATCACCTTTTTCATCCAGGAGCATGTCAATCCAACAAGAGAATTCAGGCAGCCTAACCAGATTTAAGCATGAGTCCCCTAGATCCTTTTGTAGCCAGGTTGCTACCCAAAGGGTGGGCCAACTATGCTGGCCTGGGGTTGCTGTCAAGGGAAGAAAATAACTCATGTTCCCAGGAATGGTCAAGCAGAAATCCTGAATTTGAAAAAACCTTCATTGTTCCCTCCATTTATTTTGTCCTGTTGATTATGCAGGAAATGGCAGGAAAGAGATGATCCCTTTCTTGGATCAGCCACTTTCGGGGGCCAAAGCACCCTATTAAGGTGTGTGGAGTGGGAGGACATGAGGGAAAAAGAGACAGAAATCTTTCTGATTCAATTTTTCAGAGGCTATTCCAAAGCTTGGTGATACCAGATGCCTGTGGATGATGGGGAGAATTAAAGCCCGTCAAGTAATCCTTGACTATCAAATCCATTATTTAATCATTTTTGTGATGAAAGGTGCAGCATTGCTAGACTGAAGATACTCTGGAAAGCCTAGCACATGACACAGGTTGGTCTGATGAAAGGTGAAGCATTGCTAGACTGAAGATACTCTGGAAGGCCTAGCACATGACACAAGTTGGTCTCAAAGGCCACACTAGCATGGGGAGCAGAATCAGATTACACTGGAGCAGCAGCACTGTATCCTGCAAGAGTGGCCGGCAGTGAGGCAGCATCAATAGCCCTGAGAGGGGGTCAAAAGTCAGACTGAGTGAGTGAGTCTTCCAGAACTGGGCAGGGGTAATTCCCCATGCCATGCAACCTTTCCCACTGAGACAGAGATCACCTTTTGTCAGGAGTCACCAAGTGTGAAATGCAGTGGTAGTCCCTGCATTCGAAACATAGAGTCTTTTACTGTGTGCCTAGTCTAGGAAGGCGGACATGTTGCCACATCTAGGATGATGATGGATCCATGCACCAATGGTGTCCATGTTTCACCAAGGCTCCATCAGCAACTTGATTTTGCCTGGTCTCATGAGGGAACAGGCGTTTGTTGTGTCATCTCTGTGAGTGGCCTAGGTGGTTTGTGGGTGCCTACACCCATCAGATTCCCTTCATTCTGAGCCCCTTCCCTCCTTATGGCTCCTTAGCATACTTTCCTGGGTGCATATGTCCTGCAATACCTCTTGAGGGAGCACCAAGAAATACCAGCCCCTCTCATAATCATCTTTCTCTTTAAAGCAGTTGAGGTCAGAGTAGAGGGGGTAGGAAGGATCAAGGGGTGTGAAGGTCGAGAGCAGTTTCATGCCAATAAGCAAGGCACAACCAAACACATTTCTAATGTTATGGACTGCACAATTGTGTCCTTCCAAAATTCACCTGTTGAAACCCTAACCCTCAATGGGATAGTTTTGGGAGATGGGGACTTTGAAGGTGATTGGATCATGAGGTTGGAGCCCTCATAATGGAATTAGTGCCTTTATACGAAGAGACACAAGAGAGCTCCCTCTCTGCTGTCCTCCCTGTGAGAACACAACAAGAAGGCAGCCATCAGGAAACCAGGAGGCGGGCCCTTGCCCTCCAGATCTGCTGGCATCTGGATCTTGGACTTCCCAGCCTCAAAAACCCTGAGGAACAAATGTTTGAACCACTCTGTCTATGGTAATTTGTTACAGATGATCTAACTGGCCAAGACACTAATGTTTGCAATCCACACAAAGTTCCGTGTCCTCATTGCTTATGCCATTTACCCTGACTGTGGACCCTTGGGCTCAGCAGCTGCAGCCTTCTTGTCAGCTGGGGCTCAGGTTGCCACCCCATTTTCATGAAAACATCCCTCCCTCCTTCCACCCCAAGTAGTGTGAGCAATGACCACACTGTCCTTCAGCAGCTCGTTTTATTCCTACTTCTCACTGCAACCTCCAAACGTTCATTAATAGGTCGGATAGTGAAGATCCTTACTCACTGCATCCCCCACCCATCAGTGTGAAATAGCGTTTGCTACAGGGTGTCAAGGAGTCATTTCATATCCCTGACACAGCCTGGGACGCCCACTTCCTTACTTTTCCAGAAAGCTACATCTTTGTCAGCATCCCATTCTCATCACTGAAATCTGTCAGGAACTGTGATGGATCTGAGATTTTACCCAACAAAAGACACGAGACTCCTGGGTCCTAGGCAAAAGACTTTATTACTGTGGCACAGCCAGTGGTATGAGCTTCAAGTTCACACCAGCTCGCCATGCTCCCCAAGCACCCCAAATCCACAGGTGTGACCCAGAGCAGCGCAAATGGAGGCTAGACACTTGGGTTGTGTTTGCATGACAGCTGGATAACTCTGAGTTTGGGGAACCTGGATCTTTTATAATGGACTGCAAGTAAACCTGCTCAACTTTTGCCTGGGAGGGAAATATTATTTTTGTTATACTGGGTGTTAAAGAAAACATGTCCTCTGCTCAGAAGGGAGATATTATCTCTGTCTTTCAGGTTGTTCAGTCTACAAATATCCATGAAAAGATAGGTCCTCTTCTTGCAATATGTGCAGAAATGCAAGACACCCATGGAGAATATCTCCTGTGACCTTGCTAAAAGGATTCTAGCCAGAGGCACTGAGCAGGTTATTGTTGGAGCTCTACTCCTATGTTGAGAGCATCCCTTGATTCAGCCATTATGTAGGATAACATGCCAGGCTCTGGAATAGGCACAGGGTAGTGAATAAATAACACAGTAATTGTTTCTGCCCTGACAGAGCTTATACAGACAAAATAATAATGATGACAGCTACACTTATATAGTGCTCACTATGCACTAGGCCTTTTCTGAGTAATTTATATGTACCTACTTATTTAATCATCAGAATGACACTTTGAGGTAGATACTGTGGCTATCATTCTCATATTTATGGATCAGAAAACAGAGAGAGAGTGTTAGAGTCAGAATCCAAGCCCAGGTAGTTTCTGAATGTATGCTTCTAATCTGTCTTAGTATAACTAAGTACGCTAGTTATACTTAGTATAAGTCTGTCTTACATGGCTTCTAGTGGAATTACCACACAGGATTATAAATTCAGTGATTTTATAATAAAAGATGAACTGGGGACATCTAGGAGGAGTTTCTAAGCCAGACCAAAGGGCTGCCCAGAAGAAGAGATATCTAAGAACAGTCCAGAAGGGTGAGTGGACATTAACCAAGGGAGCTGGAGAAGACAGTTCTCAGCAGGGAAACCGCGTGTGCAGAGGCCCAGGGGTTGGTTGGGGGCTTCCTGAGATGACAGTAACATCTACTTAGATGGGTCATTTGTTGTAAGGCACACATTTATTTGGAATGAGTCAGCTGGTGAAATTTCCCCCAGACTTCTAATTCACAGCTCTTTGTTTTCCGTGTATTTTTAACTAAAATATGCAACACTTCTACTGTTGAGATATCACAGCAGCCTCTAAAGTGTCAGCAAAATAAGCCAGGGCATAGCCAAAGTGACAAGTGAAACCCAGCATTATTTGAATTTATTTTGATTTTTGTAGAATTCAAGTGTCTAATTATTAATATTAAGCAAGTAGAGAAATTAAGGCAAGATACACATGGGATTATGGGACACAAGAAAAAAATAAATATTCAAAGCTTCAAAGACTTTTTGGATATGAATAGCTTCTTTGATGGTCTCTCTTCATTATGGAATCCTGTTAGGCATCATTGTCCCTGTGATCAATGGCTAGATCTGGCCATCATCGTCAGCCTCCCAGTAGCCTGGGTGAGGCTCCCTGGGTTGTGAGTGAAGACTGGTTATCCTGGTCTTTCCCATGCTCATTCCACATTTTAATGCAGTATCACCAGCTTGAGAGTGCCATGTGATCTGACAGCTTTGAATAATTGATGCCCCTCATACTAAAGGAGAGTTTAGGTTTTGTGGTTCAGCAGGATGCTTTACTCTTGTTGACCTTAACCTTCAGAGGCACTCGGGCATTACCAAGAGATCAATAAAACTTACCCTGGCTGGTCTGTGAGGACAGGAGCCTGACAGAGAGTGATGATCAAGAGGAGAGGATGGGAGGATTACGCTGGAACCTGGGGAAGAAAAGGGAGGATGTGTGGGGTAGAGTGGGGAAAGGGGTGGAAATAGAATAGGGGAGCATCGCAGAATGAGGGAGACAGGAGCTCCGAAAACGATGAAGTGCATGACAAAGCAATGGAAAACAAGGGTTGAACAGAGGAGAAAGAGTATCAGGAGGAACATATACAGAAGCCAAGAGGATGAATGAGGGACGCACAGGCCAGGAAAGGAGCTCTGATCTGTAACCCTCCTCCAGTCTGTGGTTGCAAAGCTGTACAGTGGAGGGAGGTCACCAGGGACTCAACGTCTCCTGGAAAGCAGACAAGGAAATAACTTATAGAGTGAGGCAGAATAAAATAAGGGTTGTAAGAAAGGAATGCAGTCACTGCTGGGCATTGGAGGCACATAAAAGGGACTTTAATGCTTGAATGCCAACTACATGCTAAAAGGGCATCGGCACATTATTTTAATTAATTATTATTAATTGTATTATTAAATATTGTAATTATTACATAATATTTAGACTAATTGTCAAATGAAAGTCTCAGGTAGGAATTATTGTCCTCATGCTAATGATGAAGAATAGAAGCTTAACGAGGTTGAGTGCTTTGAGTAAGCTCGCTGATCAGTGGTGGAGCTGGAGGAGGCTTGTGACTCTGAAGCATCTTTCAACTCTTGTCACTGTCTCAGGCTGCCGCCCAGAAAGGCAAACATTGGAGTGATTTATTCTTACAAAGGCACTGGAGAAAACTTCAGTGGACTATCAGCTAATTGAAGGTGAGGACTGTGTCTGAGTTTTCAAATCTGCCATGGCTAGCATAGTAAACACTGCATAAGAATACTAAATAGTACATGGAAAAAGGAAGGGTTGGAGCTTGGGTAGGTAGGTAGAGAGCAAAGGAGGGAGGGAGGGAAGGGGGAAGGAAAGGAGGGAGGGAGGGAGGGAAGGGGGAAGGAAAGGAAACATGAGAGGGAAGGGAGGAATGGTATTTGTGCTGAATCCAGAAAAACAAATTGCATTTTTCTGGGGGTGATGGTAGGATGAAGAACACTCGAGGGTGAGTTAATAGCATAATCAATATAGAGTTTGCATTTGTGTGATAAAAAAATGACAAAAATTCACTCTAGCCAGAGTCTAGTTGGAAGAAAATAGTGGGAGATGAGTTTGCTGAAACAGAATGGATCCTGATTCATTCATTCATTCAACAAATATTTACCGAGGCAGAATAAACTAAGAGTTGCAGTAAAGGCACAGCTATGAATAGGCACTGCTAAAGGAGCCTAGGATACATCAGTGAACAAAACCAACAAATACACTTTCCCTCACAGAGCTTACATTCTAGTGAAAAGAGACAGACAATAAACATAATACATGAATAAAGTCTACAGTATGCAAAAGGTGACACATGCTATTGGGTAGGGGAAAAAAGCAGAATAGTTGAACAAGAGATACAGGGACAAGTCCAAATAGTATATTTAGGTTAACCATTATGGAGGCGATGTTTAGCAATATCTTGAAAGAGGTGAAGGAATGATTAACGCATTTTCCTAGGAAATAAATTCCAGGCAGAAGGGACAGGCTATGTAAAAACCTGAAGACAGAAGTGGACCTGGAGTGTCCATGGGCAGGGGTGGCTGGGATGCAGAGTGTGGTGTCAGGTAAGTAGTTGGAGAGGTGACAGCAGTCTCGATCAGGTCAGGTCTCAGGGACCCTCTCACCATGACAGAAACAGGACCCAGTGGATGGCTTTGAGCAGGGTAGGGGTAGAATGGAATGTGTTCTAAAATGGGACGCTGGCCTCTGTGTGAGGACAGACATGGTGGCAAGTGGTCAGATAGGAAGCTGCTGCTGTTGTCACTCACAGATGGTGGTGAGGAAGGTGCCCAGGGTCAGATTGTGAATACCTTTAGAAGGAAGAGCCAGTAAGACTTGCTGATGGGTTACATGTGGGATGTGAGGGAAAGAGAGGTGTCAAGAGCAATTCCAGGGCTTCTGGCCAAGTTGCCACTATCTAAGATGGGCTATGATGTGGGCAAAGCAAGTTTGCTGGAAAAGATCAGGAGTTATGTTGTCCACATTAAGATGAAATGAGTGTTAGACATAAAAGCGGACATGCCAAGTGGACAGGTGAATATAAAAGAGGCTGGCACGGAAGAGTGATGTCTTGTAGGAGATTTACACTGGAGTGGGGTCATCAGCACACACATGGTATTTAAGACTGTGAGATAGAAGAGATCATCAGATGGAGAATAGAAGAGGTCCAGGCATCGTGGGTGGTCTCAAATGCCATACCCACAGTTCGAAACTTTAATTTATGATCAGTGGGGGGCAACTGATATATACTTTTGGAGGATAGGCATATCACGGTCTCAGCTGGGCTTGTTTCATTGATGCTTTTTTTTGTTTGCCTGTTTTGTGCAGAGACCACGCTGAGGTCATGTGTAGGTTGGCCCTGGGAAGGCCAAACAGGAGGCTGGTGCACCGAGCCACATGAAGGTGGGATGAGGACCAAGCCAGGACCATTTTAATGGGCCAGGGAGGAGCAAGGAGCAGGCAGAGATAAAGGGAAGAAGGGAAAAGACAACCAACTTCCCTTTCACTCAGTTCAAAACAGCAATCACCAGATCAATAGAGAAGAAAACATAATTTAAGCCTGAAACGAAGGTTTTTGTGTTTTCTTCTCTCTCTTTTTTGCTGCTTGAGGCATGGCAATGCTTGATAATGCTTTGCTTCCTGGGGGCATAGCTGACAACAGTGGGGAAGGAAATAGAGACAAGGTTTTCAGTATTTTAGAAATCTGGTTTCTATCTGAACTGTGGAGGGTGAGGAGCCTGCTTTTCTCATTAACTGGTCAGCATGTTCAGAATCTGAGAGGGAATTTTTGAGACAAACAGATCTGAATGCCTTCAGATAGAAAGATGGAAATGTTTCTCCTCCCCAAAGTCCCTTGACCTTTTAAATAATTGCCATTATACCAACCGTATATAGGAATCGGCTAGAAATAACATAAATAAATGCGAAACCATGTGCCTACACGTGCTAGCTAGTGTTTTACCAACAAGAATGGGTACAATTTAAAATCACCTTTATACAATTATCACAATGCACTCTCACAATGATCTTGTAAAGTGAATAAGGATCTCCTCCCCTACATATTTTACTGGGAAATAAAAAACAAAAAACTAAGACGTAAGCAGGCTGTGACTTGCTCATGTCAGAGAGAAACAGAACCAAGAATCAAACCAATTTGTGAGCGGAGGTCTGCTTCTCCACGGTGTTTGCTCTCTGGAGACAGAGGGACCATGCCACTGAATACACTGGACCCTGGTATCCAGTGCATCCTCAGGCCCATAATTTGCCATTGAACAGTTCATGATCCTCTAAACTTGGCGTCCTCCCCAGCACCTGTTTCTTAAACATATTAAGGTTAAAGAGTGGCAGGTGGCGGCCCTTCTTCCAATCGTACCCAGCAAAAGTAGGCTCAGGGGCTCACATCTGGAGATACAAAGGGATGCCCATTTCTGTGTCTCTTGCCTGATCTTGAAATTACCCATCTTGCCTGATCAGCGTTTCTGTCTTCCTGACTCCATGTGCTTTCCTTCTGAGTCTTTCTGGACTGCCCTCATGTGCTGTAGTAAAAGTGTAGCAGCGTTTCAAGCTATGGGGTTATTGCTGGGATATTTTATATCTAACAGGCATGGGGGTGATAATTCCTTTTTCACTTTTATAATTCACACATATCCTCCCCCGAAATGCATTTCGTATAGAGCTTTTAGGCAACTGAACACAAAGAGCCTTCCACCCCCTTAATTCTCCTGATCCTTATTTCAACTATTTTCCCACTGGCTTTTTCTCTTACTGCACTTTGGGCCAACTGAAAGCCAGTGGTGTTTAAGAACTCCCTTATGGATTATTTGTCAGTAGGCAAGGGGATGCTACCTCTATACCTGAAACTTCCATAATCAAGCACAGTTTATTACAGAGCAAATACAGGACAGTAGCAGGGCTTTTAAAAATCAATTAGTGTGCAATTCAAGATTAAAAACAGAAGAGGGCTAATTCTATTTTTCATTTGGATGGTAGGCTGCTTAAGGAATAATAGTACAAAGACTGAAGTCATTACAGGAATAATCAGAAGTTTACCCAGGTGTCTTTCTGAGCCCCTTTCCTCCTCAAGGCTCAGTAGCTTACTTTCCTGGGTTCATGTGTCCTGCAGTTCCTCTTGAGTGAGCACCAAGAAATACTAGCCTCTGTGAATGACAGGTGGGGGCTTCATGAGAGCTGGAGGTGATCGAAGACAGGTCACATTCTCCTAAAACCTCTGATGGTGTTTTCTCTTCCTATGCTAGAATCTACTCCATTCTTTTAGCTGTACTCTGTATGAATCATATGTACTTGTTCATGTTTTTCTGCAATTACTCAAAACTGTGTCTTCTTGACATATGCTGTTTGTCCATCAGCTCCAGAGAGCAGGCTCCTTTAATCTGTTGGCTTTGGAGACTGAGCAAGGGGAGGCAGGGTGAGTCCTCCATGCCTTTCACTATGGATTAGCCACATAATAGATGTTGGGGTTTCATAGTTTGGGGTTTTGTGGCATATGATGTGAATAGAAGCACTTTAGACTCTCGGCAGATCTATCTCTTTGAAGTTCTCTTATTATGTCTAATTTTGAGTACTGCACAGAATAGCTATAAATTTTGACAATGATAACCTGCTCTCTAACCCCAGGCAACCTGCTCCTCTTCCCTTTTCAATGTTTTCATTTTAGTATAAAGAAAGAGCGATGATAAATTTTTTTATTTTTATTTTTTGAGACAGGGTCTTGCTCTGTCACCGAGGCTGGAGTGCAGTGGCACCATCGTGGCTCACTACAGCCTTGACGTCCTGACTCAAGAGATCCTCCCACCTCAGGCTGCAGAGTAGCAGGGACCACAAGTGCGCAGCACCATGCCTGGCTACTTTCTTTTTATGGACATGACGTCTCACTGTGTTGCCATGCTGGTCTCGAACTCCTGGGCCCAAGTAATTCTCCTACCTTGACCTCAGAATGTGCTGAGATTACAGATTTGAGCCACTGCACCCAGCTAATAATTCTTATATAAAGGCAATGAAAGCAATGCAATTAGAAACTTCACCTGCACCCTGTCACAACCAAATCATAATTGTCCTCATGCATCCAGGTCAAGAATAATGGTGTTAAAAGCCAGTTATCATGGCTCCAATTTTTCTATGTTGACCTGAACTCAGCTTGTGCTAGTCTTGGGATTTGATTGTATGTTTTCTGTTTGGCTTCCATGTTCTACCTGCCAGTGGGCTTGGGGACCTCTTGCCACTCTGCACCAGGTAAACTGGAACTCCACATGGACCTTCCGATTTGGTACTGAGCTGTCATTCATTTGTCAGGCCTAATGTTGCTAATCCTCTTCTGGAAACTTTATCCTTCCCGAATTGGGCCACCTGATTCCTAGCTGAATGTTCACATCTGCTCCCCATTCCTTCCTAGGACCTGCAGACAGAGGCAGCAGGTACAGTTAAACTGTGGTCCTAGCCTCTGGGATTCAGCAACACTTCCGCCTCGCTGCTTATCTGACCATTTTTATTCCCAGGCTTATGCCAGTTATGATATACATTCCAATCTTATACCTGGGCTCTCCCCTCATTCTTCATTCCTGATCCCACTCATTATTCTTCATTATTTTTACCACAGATGCAGGGTGGCTGAGGGTTGAGTTAATCACATTCCTCAGTTCATAGCACATCATCATCCCTGACAAGGGGATCATTGATCCCCAAAAGTGTTATCTTATTTTTCCCCTCATCTCTGATTCTATGCCTTGTCCCTTTCTGCTACAGCTTCCCACACCAAAGCGTTTCATAAATTTCATTAAATGTGCATGTGTCTTTATAAAATGTGATGGTGCATTGTATGCATATGTCACTGATTTATCCATTTATTTGATTTATCAGGGCTGTCTTTCCAATTCCCCTCTAACCCAAACAAGCCTATGACAAACAACCCTTTACAAACCAATGAGAAATTTCCCTAGTTTCATAGCCAGCGGTGATTTTGCTGGGTCATGGGACTCCACAGGCTTAATTGTCTAAATAGCTGCCATATTGCTTTTCAATATGGATTTACAAGTGTACACTCGCCAGTAGAGTGCAAGAGTGCCCATCTGCATGCATCTCCAACAAAACTTAGTTTTCTCTAATCTCTGATTCCCATTTTTAAAACCATGTTCACGGGTGTAAAATGACACCTCACTGTTATTTTCATTTGCATTTCTCTGGTCACTGGTGTGAGCTCTTTAATTTGTGTGCTTTCTCGGCTTTTTCTTATGTGTATTACCGATTCTTTGGCCTATTTTTTGATTGAACCACCTATCTTTTTCTTGTAGATTTTCAGGAAAAAATGCTTGGTATATTCAAGATGTTAATTACTTCTCAGTTGCAGATATTGAAGATATGTGTCAGTAGATATTGAAGATATGTATCATTTTGCTTTGTCGTCTCTTACCATTTGTCAGTGGGGCTCTTCATTTGCGGTATAGTGATTAAGAGCATATATGCTGGAACCAACCTGCCTGGGTCCAAATCTTAACTCTGCCTCTGAGCTATGTGACCTCAGTGATGGTCCTTAATCTTCTATCTATATGTAAAACTGATATATTAAAATGACCATCTCAGCTTGAGCAACATTCTGAGACCCCACCTCTACAAAAAAAAGAAAAAAAAAAATTAGCTGGGCGCAGTGGCTCACGCCTGTAATCCCAGTACTTTGAAGGCCGAGGCAGGTGGATCACAAGGTCAGGAGATCAAGACCATCCTCGCTAACATGGTGAAACCCCGTCTCTACTAAAAATACAAAAAAAATTAGCCGAGTGTGGTGGTGGGCGCCTGTAGTCCCAGCTTGGGAGGCTGAGGCAGGAGAATGGCCTGAACCCTGGATGCGGAGCTTGCAGTGGGCTGAGATTGCGCCACTGCACTCCAGCCTGGGCGACAGAGTGAGACTCCGTCTCAAAAAAAAAAAAAAAAAAAAATTAGCCAGGTGTGGTGGCACACAACTGTAGTCCTAGCTACTTGGGAGGCTGAGGCAAGAGGATCCCTTGAGCCTAGGAGTTTGAGGTTGCAATGAGCTGTGATTGCACCACTGCACTTCAGCCTGGGCAACAGAGTAAGACTCTGACTCAAATAAATACATAAATACATACATACATACATAAAAATAAAGTTACCTTCTTCATAGGGATTTACTAAAACTGAATGAGTTAAATTGTGTAAATAACTTACAATAGTGTCTGGCCAAACACATACATACACATACATGTATATATATAAATTATATATGTATTTTCAAAGAAAACAAATAATAATTTCTTTTTTAGCTTTATAATTTTGCCTTTTCCATTTAGGTAATTAAGATGAAGTCTATCTTACATAATAAAAAATAATCTTAATGTAACAAAAGGTAGGGCTATAGCTTTGTTTCCTCCCACGTTGTGAGCCAGTTTTCCAGTATCATCTACTAAACTGTCTGTCATTCCCATTGCTTTGAGGGACTACTGTTTTCATATGTTGGGTTCCTGTATTTACATGCTTCTTTTTCTGTGTTTCTGCTTTGGCCTCCACATTGCTTTTCTGTTCATCTGTGCTGATGGAACCCCCGCATAATGTGGCTCTCTTGGTTTCCATAAGGCTCTCAATAACCACCCTGGAACAGAGGCAGTGTCAGGGTATTAACATAAACATGTTTTTAAAGATAAAAAAGAGTGCCACTTACAATCTCATGTATAATTTTAAATGAAAGAAAGCCTGTGATTTTGGGCCACTGTTGAGTGAATTGTGTGTCAGCATTCTCATTTTGAACGTGTCTCATTCAGCGATGTCTAAATCACTTTGTGCCATCTTACTAAGTAGAAACAATTCAACAATAACCAGGCAGATAAACAAATAATCAAGCAGACCAACAAAAACAAAATAAACAACATGTACTTAACAGTTTACTTAAGTAAAGAAAAGATTCGTTCTTTAGGATCTGTGAAGAACTCTAAATGTATTAGAATGACTCCACTTTCCCTAAAGAGTGTTCTCCCAATCAGGGCTGCCTTTTTCCTCTGTTCCCATCTATAGTCATGTCACCAGGGATGACTGCGCACAAGTGAAGTGGAAAAAACACAGTCAGATGTCATATCACCTCTAATCCTTTTTGTGCATCCAGTTCTTCCAATAGGATACAGAGGGGGAAGTTGAGCACAAGATTCTGCAGCGGTAACTCAGGACTTTTGGGAATTTCAAAGCCTAGAATTCTAAATGTGAGGCCTCTCACTTAGCTCTTACTTTACAGCATGTGGAATAGTTCAGCCCCTCACCATCCAAGGCAAGACTGGTGAACCTTTATTAGTGCTTCTCATGTGAAGCATCCATGCTTGTTCCTCCACTCCACAGTGAATCCCTAAGGGCAGGAGGGGAGTGCTTTGTTCTTCTCATCTTGTTTTTAGAAGACTAACTGGCACAGGCCAGGCGCTGTGGCTCATGCCGATAATCCCAGCACCTTGGGCCACAGTGGGCAGATCACCTGAGGTCAGGAGTTCGAGACCAGCTTGGCCAACATGGGGAAACCCCGTCTCTACTAAAAATACAAAAATTAGCCAGATGTGGTGGTGAGCGCCCGTAATCCCAGCTGCTCGGGAGGCCAAGGCAGGAGAATCGCTTGAACCCGGGAGGCAGAGGTTGCAGTGAGCCGAGATTGCACCACTGCACTCTACCCTGGGCGACAGAGTGAGACTCAGTCTGAGAAAAACAACAACGAAAAAAGAAGAGTAACTGGCACAGCATAGGCATTCAATATGCACAACATGGGCTTGGACTGTGTGGTTCACTCATATGCAGATTTTCTTCTGCCTGTGCCACCCCTGAGGCTGGAAGACCAACTCCTCAGCCTACTCCAGCTGGAGATGGTGAGGACGAAGACCTTTCAGATGATTCACTTCCACTTCATGAGTAGTACATATATTTTTTCTTTCTTGTTATTTTCTTAATAACATTTTCTTTTCTCTAGCTTACTTTATTTTAATAATACAGTATGTAATACATGTAACATACAAAATATGTGTTAATTGACTGTGTTATCAGTAAGGCATCTGTTCAACAGCAGGCTGTTAGTCATTAATTTTGTGGGGTGTCAAAAGTTATATCCAGATTTTCAACTATATGGGGGCTTGGAACCCTAACTCCTGAGTTGTTCAAGGAACATCTGTGTTCAAATGAATGAATGAATGAATGAATTGTGTTAAAATTGTGTCTGTGATAACTTATTCCTTACCCAAAATGCATTTAGGCTAGCTTTTTTTAAGATAGGAGTCCTTTTGCATTTTCCTTAGCACCTCAGAATATTTGTCCTATAGACAATTTGAACAGTGATGAGCATTTGCATATTTATAATCTACATGTGAACTTATACCTCTTTGCTCTCATGTTAATGAGTTCAACACATAGTGAGTTAGCATCTTCTGTGAGCATAGCATAACGTCTGAGAGGTGCACAAAAGATACGTGTAATGTGAAAAGAGATTAGAAGATGTAAGCATGGGCTCTTGGATCTGACTGCCTGGGTTCAAATTTTGACCCTGGCATTTATAAAAAACATGACCTTGGGTAAGTCACTAAAATGCTCTTTGCCTTAGTCTTTTCACTTGAAAAATATTTTTTTTTCTCATAGAGTTATTGTGAAAATTTAGTGAGATAACATATGTGCAAGGCTTGGCACATACTTAGCACTGCATAATTATTAGGTCCTAGTGTTTTTACAGTCTGACCTACAAAACTTTCAAATTTAGAGGGGGAAATAAGACAGAGACTGGAATAGTCTAAACTTTTGAAAAGGCTAAAACATATCACAAATGTCCTAAATTATGCCTATATCGTGTCCTTCTGCGAGCCTCCACTCCATTTATTAATAGTTTGCAAAAACCTTCAGTAGATCTCCCTGCATTGACAAGTGAGTTTTCTTTTCTTAGTGGAGTTCTTCAGACAATGCAATCTGACCTATCTTGTGCCTTAAAAAATATTCAGGTACAGTAATATAACTGCCTAGTTTCCTTGTTTTTCTTTCTTCTTATTTTTTGCCTTTTCAGGTAACAAGTGGGACCAAAATAAGAATCTTGCCTTCTTTTTTTTTGAGACAGAGTCTTGCTCTGTCACCAGTCTGGAGTGCAGTTGAGCAATCTCAGCTCACTTCAACCTCTGCCTCCCGGGTTCAAGCAATTCTTCTGCCTCAGCCTCCCAAGTAACAGGACTACAGGTGCACGCCACCATGCCCAGCTAATTTTTGTATTTTTAGTAGAGATAGGGTTTCACCATGTTGGCCAGGCTGGTCTCTATCTCTTCACCTCATGATCCACCTGCCTTGGCCTCCCAAAGTGCTGGGATTACAGGCGTGAGCCACTGCGCCTGGCCGAATCTTGCCTTCAATGGAAAGCCTAGTCTTCTAGATTTATAAGCCTTAAAATGTTAGGGGAGGGGGGAAAAAAAACCTCCAAACAAAACCCCAATAAAAGCTTAAATAAGGGCCTACGTGAATGAATTTGTCATCAGATGTGTTTGGGTTGCTTGCCACCCTATTTAACGGTGTGTTTGTTTTGTGCCTTTTCTGCCTGAGTTGGTGTAAATGTCTTTTCTCCACGGTTTCCTTCCTGTGATGACATAGATGGGTTGGATTCGAGAGTCCTCAGCTTACCGCTCTTCCACTTGAAAGGAAGAGGGTCATGAGAGGAGAGGATTTCTGGAGTGGAATTTCAATCTCTGGTCATCAGGAAAGGGAAAACATTCTGCCCAGGATTTCCTGTCATTTATTCTGGAGAGCTTTGTGTTGTGCTCTGTGCAGGATCCGAGATATGATTAACTCAACTCTGGAGTCTGTTGGCAGAACCAAGCAGCTCTGGCATCAGAAGAGAGATGTCCTTAGGCCTAACCTGCCCTCCCTGGGGTCTTGTTACCTGCTCAAAAAGAACCCAGTGGCCTTTGAATGCATTTTAAATCTGTGATTGGTGCAGTTTGATGGTCCTTCCTTCCCTCCTTCCCTCCCTCCCTCCCTCATTCCTTCCTTCCTTCCTTCCTTCCTTCCTTCCTTCCTTCCTTTCTTCCTTCCTTCCTTTCTTCCTTTCTTCTTCAGTTTAACTCAGCTTTCAATAAGCTTAATGGGATGAAGTCCAAGCGATGAAAAGAGAGGTGATAAGAGCACAAAGGGGAAGCTTATACCCGAGCATGGGTGAGTACAGGAGATGGGTTGTTCTGATTATTCTTGCTCCTGTTTTGCCTTGGCCACCAGTTGGCCAGGTCGGGGACAGTATGGTTTATGGACTGCTGTCACTTGACTCTTCCTTCTCAGTTGCCTTTTACCTTGGATGAATTTTCAACGTTCTCTTCCCACTTTCAATCATAAGGAGTTGTTGAATAGATTCATGTTTTCTTTCATTCTTCCTTCCTTTTGTCTTTTTTAACTATAGGAGATGGGCACACTGTTCAACACACAGATAATTTAGAAGAATGTTTCAGTGTCAGTTCTTCCTCTCCACCCTCTTTCACCCCAGTTCAGTCATAACTGAAATCACAAATGAATGGATCCAATTAATAGTAAAAATAAAATGTCCAGGATGCTCTCTGGAGTTCTGAGATCCATAGGTCACGGACAGACTCAAGAATACAAAGTCTTCTTCAGGCCTCTGTTTCTAATTTGCAGAAGAAAACAAGAGGGTGAGTAGTATTTTGCTTTGAAAAGCATCTCAGCGAAAGTGCTACATGATAACACAGCCCTCATTTCCATAATTCTGCTCCCTCCGGAGCACAGGTACATTTAATTTCTCACAACTGTTCCCTAAATGAAGAGCAGCATGAGGAATACACAGAGAATGAAAAATATCGGTGTGTGTGGGTAGTACATGACCACTAATCTTTCCTGACATTTACTTTCACTCATGAGCACAGGGGTGACCAGCCCCACCAGTCCTAGATGCTGAAGATAAATGTCAGCACCATCCATTGGAAGCTTTCTATGCATACATGCATATTGGAAATCAAATATATTTGGCTTATCACACACTGAGGAACCCATCCCTTCAGAAATGCATGGATTGATCTCTGCTACCCCACTCACCAGTGCCATTTGGTAAAGTTGGGGAATGGTAAGATAGTTCGCTGCATTTTTAATGGAAGGAAAACAAAAAGCGACTACGCGTAACAGTTTTTACATTATATGCCTTCAGTGCTGTGTGCTGTCACCCCACGTGTTGTACTGCCAAATTTCCCAAGAGCGTCTGCTCTTCCTATTGTGAAAACAATGAGCTGGTGTATGTCATGCAAGGCTATTCTGCCCATGCCAAATAGCTCTGTATGTTTTAACTGTCTTCACACTGGGCTCCACCAATCACTCAGGCGCATACCTCTTCCTCAGCCCTAGGCAATAGAAGTTACAGCATTCATGAGCAATTGCTTTCCTCACATAAAGGAAAAAAAGGATTTTGGTCTTAAGGTCTTGCCAGCTCATTGACTAATTTACTCCTAATCCTGAATGTATAAAGCCACTTGAACATTTCATTTGTGTGACATGGTTAAAGGCTTACGTAAATATAGCTGGTAAGGGCTAGGATTGTAGATTAAAGTCAGAAAGAGGTGATTTTGTTCTTTTTGACTAGATACTGTAAATTCTGATGTCCAATTAAGATCTGAAGGAGAAACCTTTGTAACCCAATGCAATGTGAGTTTCTCGAAGAAAAGGAAAAAAAAGGGAAACAAGTCTCCATTCTCAGGGACCCATTAACAGCTCAGTACAATGACTCTTTATGTGGCCTTTGATATGCAAAAACAGCCCAAAATAATTTATGGAGAAAATCAATTATGAGCTGAAGAGAAAAAGAAAGTTGCCCAGATTAATTACCAAGTCAGGAAGGATGGCAGTGCAAGCACCTGGAGTTATGTCCAAGGGGGACGCCCTTCTGCAAAAATTCTTCATGGTCAGAAGAAGGCTCTGTGGTCAGGAGAGAAGGGAGCCACATGAAGTCAGATGAGCTGAGCTGTACCTTCTGGAATGCTGAGAATGAGAGCGCATATCATCTATTCAGTGAGATAAAAAGGCTGCTTCAAAACTAAAGGTATATTTCATACCCTCGAGTGTGAAGTGCAAATTGACAATGGATGGAACAATAGCATTGGCTAGAAAGCCTGGAATAAAACCATCACAAATTGAATTTAGAGAACTTATGAAAGCTAATTTTATGCATGTTTTATTTTATTACATATTTTTCTTTAAAACAGTAATAGACTCAGGGATGTTGGCAATGGAGGGGATTTTAGAACACCTAGTCTGGTGGATTTCAAATTATTCGGGTCAGAGCACCTATTCTTTTGAACAAATCTTACTCATTATTAAGAAATTAAAGCAAACAAAGTCAGAAGAAAAAAAACAGTAGACCTGCTCTGGCTAAGGGGCTGATGAGGTTGGAGTCTCTTCCCTATTTCCTATGACTGTTCCCGAGGCTCCTGCAGCAGTAACCTAAGGCTCTAGAGTCTCTTCCCTATTGCCTATGACTGTTCCCGAGGCTCCCGCAGCAGTAACCTAAGGCTCTATGGAACACTATCAGAACTCAGTGATTCCTAATATTAGTTCCCACACTAGAACCATGCATCCTCTACCAAAATACGTTTCCTTAGTTTAATAAGTTTGTTAAATATTGCTTGCACAACCCAGAGTTTGGAGAATTACATTAGCACATTGAAGGCTGTGAGAGTAAAACTTCAGATTTGAAATGCATTAACCTATGTTTAACCTGGTTTTTCACCTGCATACTTGAATGTACCTGACCGGGAAACCCTTTTATCAGAAACACGTATTAACATTCTGTGGCAGATAAGTCCCCTAGGATGCAGTTTAGAAAACAAAACTCTTGTCTGGGTTCCAGTCTAACTCCCTTGTTTTTTAAGTGAGGGTACAGAGCCTCCGAGAGCATGTAAATCGCTCGCTCTTGGGTACATACTTGGAAGCAAAGTTAGGAACCAGACATAGGATTCTTGAATCCATGAAGCTAAGGGGATTTTCAAACATATTTTCTTTAATATTTCCACATGTCTGTGGGCAGGGAGCAGTCATGTTCTATTCTTTTGATGCTATACACTGAAACACAGAAAGTCAAGGTTACCCAGTCAAACTCTAGTATAATCCTTCCTTCAGTGCCCTGGTCGGCTTGCTTGGTGCTAAAAGAAAAAAATCAATCCATCTCCCTGCTGAGTGGAAGAGGATAAAGCTGTCCAATTTTTAGATCTTAGATATTTAAACTAAAGAAGTGTGTGATAGCATTATTAACAATTGGCGTAGTAATTTCTTGAGGTTTAGATAAACTAGTTTACATTCGCAACATTTAGTGATGATTTAAGATGCTTTGCTATGTTGGCATTCAAAAATTGGGCAAACCTCTGGCCAAAGTGAAGTACAGCCCATGTGAGCTATGGAAATGCAATTAAAAGGAGTCACAGAGCCTTCTCAACTGCCTGGGCTTAATTAAGATATGATCTGCCAGTCTCTTAGTGGCCATTAATTCATTGTCTGGTAATCCAATAAGGGGTTATTGTTTGAAGCTGTTTGAGAGCCACTTGCCTCACTATTAACTCAAAATTGCCCAAAAGGCGGTACTACAATGTCATTCTCCCTGCCCCAAAGAGGACATGACATTGAAAGACATTTGACATCCACATTTGACAACACTTGAAATGGCAACATTATGGCTTAAGCATTCACAAGTCTATGGATATGATAATGGAACTAGTGACATCTAATTACTAACTGGCAATTAATGATAATAGCCCTTTGTGAATATGTAGGGCCATTCTCTATAGGGAGCTCCTTGCTCTTTGCACATATTAATTAATATAGATAGGCAGGTAGGTGATAGAAAGGTGGCTTTATAACATTATTGCTGCTGAGTAAACTGAGTCAGGTTCCAACTGCACCTTGTAGATGCACAACGATTCCTTGCTGTTTTGAAACTAAATGGATTACAATTTTAAGAGTAATTAAAGAGGAATGAGAACTGTAGGGAAGTGAAGGGAATGGATGTCAAAGGAAAATTCAAGGTATCACTAACTATTTGAATTCTTGATTTACTTCCACCCATGTTTCTGGAATAGGAATTGGTCATTTTTCCCGGATTGGTAGCCAGATATGAAACATTAAGTCGGCTTTCAGCAAAATGATGTCTGGTATATTCAGAATAAGGCCGATTTATTTTCTCCCCACAGAGCCCCATTGATGCTGAATTTTTATTGCCCAATAGAATTCAACCTGGTTGTGATTATCCCATTGGTCCTGCTAGATAAAACCCATGTGTATTTGCCAAACACCCACTTGGAAATGGAAAATTTAATTAAAGACAGGAAACTGAATTTAATGATCTCTACTGATCTCTTAAATTCCCCAAATTATTTCATTATGGCTTACTTATTGAATTTTCTTAAGGAATTCTAAAATAAATGAACAATTACCTGAATTTTGCAGTGTTGTACATAGAAATAGAGTGAGTTTTCACCACACTTTCAAAAACAAGTGAGAGTCTACCCCACTAATTCATATATTCTTTCATTCATAAGCATTTATTGAGCACATACAGTGTGCCAATGCTGTGCTGAGCTCTGGGTGTACTGATAGAAAAAGCTTTGATGTGGCCCTTAAGATGCTCAGTGTGGTGATAGAAAGGAAGTTAAACAAATAAGTACAATCCGGAGTGACCAATTCTACAACAGAAAGATGAGCAAGTTATGGGGAGTAATGAGGGCAAAGAGGAATGAGAGTTAACTTTGTGAGTAGCCCCTGCCTGGCTGTGCGATAGGGGTTCAAATCCGACTCTATGTTTATGGGAAGTACTTTGTTCCATCTGCCTATCCACCTGTCATTACTTCAAGTTGATTTAATAGTTCTGCAGTTGGGACCTGTGGGGTGTGTGTATGTGTGTTTATAATAAGTTTAAATGAGGTAATCCTTTTATAACCTCACTACTCCCTATTGGGATTTGTTTGTTTTGATGGAAGGGAGGGAGATGAGATTTGGCACATAGCAGGTATCCAGCAAATGCAACTGCAGCCTGAAGAGTCAACGTGGACAAATCCCAAACAATGTGAGCCCTTTGGGAATGCTCCGCTTTGTGTTTCCTCTGAATTGCATGAGGCTACCAGATGAGGACAGGAGGAGAAAGAATTAAAGTGTCCTGACACCGTGTTCCAGGTTGTGTAGCTTTTAAGTGGGCACCCATTTTTCCACCTAAGAGCTCCAATGTGCCTCTGTTTGACCACATGGCTTTCCGGTTAGCTGTGTGACAGCTGGATGTCCCAGCATTTCTTTCTCTCCCTTTCCAATCACGAGCTGGAGCAGTCTTGATGAATCTCTGCAGGCACGTCGTCCTCAACTGAGGGATGATTCATTGGCATGAAGCTGTTAAGTGATTAAAATAAAGCACTTTTATGGAAACGTTCTGCTTACTCTGTGTTCCCAGACACCTCTGTAGTGTGTCTGTGGCAAGAGAGGACTGTAGGGGACACACATCGTCTTATCATTTTCTCTCTTGTTACAATATCCAATATTTCTGTGCTAGGGCAGAATTTGAAAATTGTAGTTCAATTCAGATAACCTTGCATGTGCTCTTGGGCCCTTGAAAGGAGAGAAAACAGGCCTGGTGCGGTGGCTTATGCCTGTAATCCCAGCACATTGGGAGGCTGAGGCAGGTGGAGCACCTGAGGTCAGGAGTTCAAGACCAGCGTGGTCAACATGGCGAAACCCCATCTCTACTAAAAAATACAAACATTAGCTGGGCGTGGTGTCAGGTGCCTGTAATCCCAGCTACTTGGGACGCTGAGGCAGGATAATTGCTTGAACCTGGGAGGCGGAAGTTGCAGTGAGCCAAGATTGCACCACTGCACTCCAGCCTGGGTGACAGAGCGGGACTCCATCTCAAAAATAAAAAAGAAAAGGAGAGAAAACAAGCAAACAAAAAAACCCACAGAAAACAACACAACAAAAAACACTAAAAGGAAAAAAAAAGAAACCGTGCAGTTTGAAATTATCTCCTAGGTTGCCCATCTGCCCAAGGGGAAAAGTCTATGAGAAACATACTGGGGTGGAGGGAGGGGGGACTTGGAGGCAGCAACACACTGTTCTCATGGGAAGGGAGGCTCCTTTTTGTTTGTTTTGTGCACAGGAACTTGCCCTGATTGGAGTAGAGTTTGCAACCCTCCCCAGTGTGGGGTTTCTTTGTTACGAAGATCAAGAGAAGGCATAGGGAATGCAAGAATGTAAAGAGAAAGAAGGGGCAAGAACAAGGATGAAAGGAGCTGGAGAAGGGAAAGGGACAGCGATGGCAGGAATGGAGAGACACGAGAGGTGGGATGAGGAAACAAGGAGGGTCATGGAACAGACACAGCTGCTCCTGAAAGTTCAGGAGCAGCTGGGAGAGGGGCTTCTGGCTTCTTCCAGCCAGGGTGCTCCCCTATGGAAAGCAGAGTTTCTGGGTCTGTCCCGTGTATGTGCCCTTTAAAGCAAGTGTCACTGGAGACACATAAAATGAAAGGGGGGGCAGGGTGGAATAAAGGGAAAAATTATTGTAATTCTTAAACAGACAACTTTAAAAAGCAGTGATTTAGGTTGTTTTATTCATTACACGTCATAAAGGACTCAGGCTGTGGTGCCCACTGGCTTTAAAATCTAGGACCCTATTAAAACCTTTCCTTGTTAGTAACTCAGAGCTTTGGAAATTTGATAAGAAAAAAAGCCAATTTAATCAAGGCAAGATTTAACACAAAGAAAGGACCTGGTCTTGCCTTTCTGCAGAAAAACTTTCAGGATCAAATGGCTTATGATTTTCATTTACCTAAAGAATCCCAGTGGAATCAGCAGTTGGGGAGAGGAGGGGTCATTTCATTAGCTTGCAGGGCATGCCCAGATTCAGTTTCTTCACACACTACTGGCTGCTTCCTTAGCTACTCAAAGGAAAATGATTTTTTTTTTTTTTTAGTCATACTACATGGAAGAACACCCATTGTCTAAAGAAGAGGCAAAAGCAAATCTGCCTAATATCTGAAAGTAGGAAAAGATTGGTTGGTTTATCTTGACCTCAGTAGATCCCATTTTCAATAACCTGTATTGTACCTTCAATCCTCAAATGATAATGTGGCATTTGTGGCATCACAAAAAGAGATGCTGGAGTTGGGGAGACACAGGGTTGAGTCCAACCTCTCTAAATTGTGTAAATTATTAAAAATAAAAACATAACAAACCTCATTTTTCACCTCTCTAAAATGGAGAGTATAAAATTGTATCTTTTTTTTTTTTTTTTTTTGAGATGGAGTCTCGCTCTGTCTCCTAGGCCAGAGTGCAGTGGTGTGATCTTGGCTCACTGCAACCTCTGCCTCCCGGGTTCAAGCGATTCTCCTACATCAGCCTCCCAAGTAGCTGGGATTCCAGGCATCTGCTACCACACCCAGCTAATTTTTTTATTTTTATTAGAGATGGGGTTTCACCACGTTGGCTGGGCTAGTCTTGAACTCCTGACCTCAGGTAATCTGCCTGCCTCGGCCTCCCAAAGTGCTGGTATTACAGGCATGAGCCACCACGACTGGCTATAATATTGTATCTTCTATTATATAAATAAAATTCTCTGAGTTGACTCAATATAAATTTATGACTTGCTCACTCAACAATCTACAATGAATGTTTCTGATTGTTGTTGAGGAGAGAGGCTCTGCTCCATGTAGTCACTCAGGGATCCAGGCTAACCAAGGCTCTGCCATCTTGAACACATGACGTCCAAAGTTCCCTGAGCATTAGCTTCCAGCCAAAGGAAGAGGACAGAATATAGAAGAATACATAAGGGAGATTGTTAAATGTCATATGGTATATATCACTTTTTCACATTCTTTTGGCTAGAATGAAATTACTTGATCTACCTGCCTGTAGAGCCAAAGAAAAGGAATGTAACCTAATTAATGCCAAGAAAAAATAGACACAGATTTTGGTGTACAGGTAGCAATCATAGCTACAGTAGGCATTTAAGTAAATATCCATTTGTACCCTTCTTCACATACTCAGAATACACAGCCCCAAGGTAGACTACTCAAAATCCAATTCAATTACTGCATTCAGCTCAAAGTCCGAGTTCACCTGGTGGTATTTACTCCTTTTTCTTCATGATCAGCCATGGCTGTTTATGGATCACTGACGTATAACTGAAAAGATTGCCACCCCTTATTCCAAAGTCCTTTTAAATGGGGTAGCAAGATGGGATTATCACAGTAAAACACCTTATTTGGAAAATGGAAGCATTGAAGATACACAGCAGTTACTGGTTCATGGGTGATATTTTTGCCCCGGCAGTGGAGAAGCTTCTTATCTATACTCTGATTCTGTTCTCCAGGAGGAGATTTCTTACCTATTGTTAGTGGTGGCTCCCTGGCGTCACACACTGGATAGTTCTTCTTTGTTCAGCATCCTCCATGGCCACATCTGAAGTGGTCATTGTGGAGTACGCCCTACTTGGGGGCTGAATGAATTATCTAGCCCATTTGCTGTGAGTGCATGTTGGGGTGTTTGGCAGTTGGTTTACAGTTCCAGGCTCTTTTAAAGGAAAATCATAGTTTTTCAGCTACACAAAAACTGTCAAAAGTATCATAAGCTTCTTCCCTATTTA